>NC_000003.12:134311634-134614664 GCF_000001405.40 Homo sapiens
CCTGGCAGAGCCTCCTCCCTGCCCCTACTTCCCCTGGAGAGCAGCTCCTTCCAGAAGGCCCACCCAGAGGTGGGTTCAGTACCCCTCGTGGTCCTCAAATTGCACACTGGGGCTGCTTTTGCCTTGTCATTTATCACTCTGCACTGAAATGGCCAGGAGTCTGCTTCCCGCAGGGGACCGTGAGTCTCTTGGAGGTAGGGGCTGGGTTCAGTAAGTGTCTGTAAAATGAATAGGGTCCTCACTGGGGCTTCTCTTGTGTCTGACTTAGTCATCATCACCTCGAGCACCCTCACATTCCACTGAGGCAGAGCCTTGGCACTGCCATTTGATGAACTGCCAGGGTGGTGTAAAATGTCTAGAATGTCCATCTTCTGTGTCATGGGGAAGAGACAGACCTTGAGCGAGGGCTACAACCTCAAATCAGGGCTGCATGGCCACTTGCCACCTGGGCACTCTGGGCCTACCTCCAGATATTGCAGGCCACACCCCTGCCAGGTAGGAAAGGAGCCATTTTATTTTCCTGCTCTCAGAGGTTACGAAACCAACCAAGCAAGGCAAGTCGGCCATCAGGCTCAGCCTCCCATGAAGCGCTCCTGACTTCCCACCCTTCCTCCAGGCCAGGAGTCTGCCAATCACAATCTGGGTTCTGTTTTCCCGCCTTTCCTGGCAGCACAAACCACGGCTCCGGATGGTGAGCAATGCAAGTTCCAGGCATGCCTTGCTGCATTACTGGGTTCCCAGGTGTCACTTCATCCAGAGGGTGAGTCCTTCACAGGTCTGTGGGCTGATAAACATGCAAATTTCCCCACGCAAATGATGTTAGGCCGTGGCACCTTTCCCACTGAGAAAGCGCCCTGTCAACAAGCTGGGAAAATGGGTGAAAGCCCATGCTTTGCCCGCCCTGGGTAGCACACACTGGCCAAGAATCTGGGCAAGGCCCCCTGCAGGGGCAAGCGCACATCGCACACTCCCGCCTCGAGTCCCTGCGGGAAGGCAGGGACTTCCGCAGGCCTGTGGTCTGGCTTTAGGGAAAAGTCCATTTGCTCACTTGATTCCGTGGTGTTTCCACGTGAGCGCAGCTGTGTGTGTCAGCTGATGTGTGTGATCTGAGTGGTTTCTATACCGTCGTGGAAACCCCCAGCCCAGTGGTTATGGACTTTCTTGGGGCCTCAACTCTCCCCAAGAGCGTGATCCTCACTACGGGGGAGCGGCGCTTTATCCGGCGGGGCGGGTGGACACTCCTACAGACCCACTTTGACCCATTTTCTCACAGTTTCCAACCCAGAGCCGCAGGGACAGGGGCGGACTGCGTTTCCTTCCCTGAGCCCTCCGCAGAGCCTCTGGGCAAGGCGGGCAGGGCCCAGGCTGCAGCGGGGCCTCCGGCCCGAGGCGCCTGCGTGGGAGCCGACCCTAGGCGCCGGGAGCCCCGGCGGGAGCTCCAGGGGGTGCGGGCGTTAGAGAGGGCTAGGGCCGCGCCCAGGCGGGGTGCGGGGAACCCGGGAGATGAAGCCGCCCAGGGGCGGGGGTGTTTGTCACCAAGGTTCTGAGGGGCCGTGGAAGGTTTTTACCTGTTTTCATTGGGAGCAAATAACAAAACTAAAAGCGATGGAGGAGTGGGGCTGCAGAAATGGAAGCAGCAGTGTGGGGAAGCCGGACGCTTCCCGGGGAAGAGGGAGAGGGGACGCTCAGATCCAAAAGGCGGGCTGGGAGCGGAGTGGGGCAGCCGCCGGGGGGCGCCCGCAAGGGCTAGGGCTCGGGGCCGGGTTTGGGGGCGGGTAGGGGCGGGCAGGGGCGGGGCAGGAGCCGGGGCTGCGAGCTGGCCGCGGCGCAAGGAATGCGGCCTTTGGCTGGTCCCGGGCCGGCATTCCGGCCGGCGCAGGAATGTGAGCAGGGTGTTCACTGCGCGCTCTGAGCGCACAAGTTTGTTCTCCTCTCCTTGGAGAACGCCGGCCCGCTCTGTGCCACCCTCTCCCCAAGCCCCCGGTACGTCCGTCTGTCCGGGTGGAGGACAGGGCCCCGAGGGCCGCGACCAGGAGGGACTCGCAGGAGGCACCGGACAGGGGTGCGGCGAGACCAGTCGCGCTGGAGGAAAGGAGGGAAGCCCGCAGTGGTCCGCTGAGGCACTGAGAAAGCCAGGCCAGTAGCTCAAAGAGGAGATAGGACGTGCCCCTCTCCATCATCAGCCTCAAGGGGCACAGGGTTCAGATCCCAAAATGTGCCCATTTAGGGGGCACATTGTGAAGGGCAAGACCTGGGGAGAGAAGAGGGAAAGCGGACAATCTAGTTTAGGATTAGGTGCTTTCTGATCGGCCAGGGAGTGACTGAATACCTAACAGCATTTAACTCATTCAACAAATATTTGCTGAGCCTCTGCTCCGTGCCAGTTCCTGAGATTAATTCTGGGGGCACAGAGGTGAAGTCATCCTGTCCTTGAGGGGCTGACATTCTGATCCTCAAGACAGTCTCTGAAACACCGAGGGAGAGTTGGGGGAAGCCCAGGGTGTGGGGGAACACCGAGGAATAACACAGATTGGGGGTGGAGATCCAGGAGGGCTTCCTGGGAGAAGCTGCAGAGTGACACGGAAGATCAGTAGGAGTCAGCCCAAAAGATGGGAGAAGAGTATTTTAGACAGAGGGAACCTTATGTGCAGAGGAAGAGCCTGTGCTGCGATTGGCCCCCAAACAGAGCATAAGTCTGCTCCTGGCCTCTCCCCATGCCTGCCAAAGGCCCAGCTGAGTCACAGTAAGGGTCAGGGTGTCCATCTCAGTCCACTCATGATGTTGGTTGGTCTATGGAGCCCCTCTTCTGCGAGAGGCACAGCAGTGGCCCGTGAAGAGTGAGAAGAGAATCAGGACTCAGCACGCTGCTGTGGGAGTATTGTGGGGACTGATAGATAATGCCCATAAGCATCTGGTGTGGGGCCTAGCACCTAGTAGGCGCTCTGTGTACATTGGCTGGTCTCTCAGCACCTTGCCTGATTGACTGACTCCTCTTCCCCTTCGTAGTACTGATTTCTGGTTCCGAAAAGGCAGCTGTCCAGCTCTTCATCCCTGCGGAGGGGCCTTCCCAAGGGGAAGACCATGTGGGTCTGGTCATGGAACTTCCTGCTTTTTGTCCTTCCCTGATTTGGGGGTGGTAGCATGCAGGACATGAGACTGGCATGGAAGAGGGCATCATAAAGATCCTGGAATACATCCAGGGCACCCAATGCTGTGGGCAAGGAGGAATTGGAGCAGAGAAGGACCTTGCTTGCAGGTGCAGCATGGGAGATTGGCCCATGGGCTGAGAACAGGATGAATGAAGCAAGGAGGGTCAGGGCCAGGAAGGCTGAACTTGGGCAGTATCCAGAAAAGGACTAATGGGAGCTCGGAGGGCAGGGACAGAAAGCAGAGCTGGGAGGTTGTCACTGGGGTGGTAGAGGAGATCAGACCCTTCAGCTGATTAGCTGAAAGGTGGGGCCAGGACTGTAAATCTCCTACTAGATCCTCACTCGGCTTGGGTCAGTATGGATCTGAGCACATGAGGCCACACGGGATCTTAGTCTCTGTGTGTCACAAATGTCACTGAGTGATGGAACAGAAATGTTTATATCCAGAAGTTCTTTGTCCCATGAATGCACTGGGACCTAAATTCTTATGTGCAGAGGAAAAGTGCAGGCCTTGGAATGGCCTCTCCAGCATTGTTCCTTGGCAAACACAGGAAGATGGGTTTCCTTTAGCTTTGTGGTGCTGACATCTGAATCCGGACCCCTCCCCCAGCCTTTGGGGTCAGGGAGGGAGGCAGAGGACGAAGCAGTCGATGGAAAATAAACAGCCACCTCTGCTTTTTTGACTTATTTCATGTTCTTAGAATTTCCTCTCTTGGATTCTGGCTTTGTTATTTTAAAATTCCACACGTTGGTTAGGGTTGAGAAAACCCCCTGTTGCTATTGCTATGGAGAGGCAGCTCTACGCTGGGGGCACAGAGTCTCGGCACCCCTGGAGAAGTAAGCCGGCCAGCGGGCCTGCAGCCCAGTCTCCAAGTGAGTTTCTGAGTCAGCCTGTGCGAGGGAGGCTCTTGGGGCTGGGTGTGTGTGCCGCCTCTGTGTGAGCATGTGCTAGTCACACAGCTGGGATATGGCCGTGTTTTGGTTCCAGCTCTTTGGGCTAGAGCCACGCCGCAGTAGTGATAGCTCCATTTGGGGACTTCCAAAGGGGGTTCCAGGTGGGCTTGGATAGTGCATAAACTGAGAGGGCAACTCCAGCCCACTAGAGCCCTGCCTCACGCCCACACACACATGACTCAGACTGCTGCCTCCCCTGGACTGTGCTGTGGACACCTGGTCCTGTGCTGTCCTTCCATTAAGGCCTCTGCCTTTCCTCCTCCTCTCTTGACACCCATTCCCTTTTCCTTCAGGGGATGTGTACAAAAATTTAGGCACAAAAATAATCATTGCAGTGTTTCCTTCCTTCACCAATTCATTCATTCATTCATTCATCCGTCCATTCAGTCATACAACAAATATTTATTGAGTGCTTACCAGGCACCAGGCATTGTACTGGATTCTGGAAATACAGAGACAGAGAAACTGGAATACTGGAAACAACTCAAGGATCCCAACATTTAGTGGCATAAAGTATGGAGTATCTACATGACACAGGGCTGGAATGAGGGTGAAGCAACTGAAGTAGGGGGTACCCCAAAACCCCATAATCAAGACAAGTAATATTTTAATGCAACTTTTTAAAAATAAAGATTAATCCATGGTGAACCAAACATCAAAATTTTAAATAAAGTCAGGATCAGTAACAGTTCTGTGCTAGATCATATTTAGACCCCAGGGAAAGGAAAAATTAGTCATACAACACATTGACAGAATGTCATGCAAACATTAGAATATGTCGAGGAAGTTTGCTTATTGACGTAGAAAGAAACTCATGGCATATTGTTGAGTGAAAAAAAGGGAAATTACCAAGCCATATATAAAGTATAAGCCAATTAAAATATATATCTAGGTACTGGAAATGCTGAAAAAGCCTATGTCCAGATGTTAACAGCTCTTTCCTCTACAATTAACAGTTATGTTTTTGACTTCCTTTCGCCTATCTGTGTTTCCTGGATATTTTAATGACAAAGATGTAATATGTGTATAATTTTCTCAAATTTTTTTTTTGTTTGTTTTTGTTTTTTTTTCTGAGATGAAGTCTTGCTCTGTCGCCCAGGCTGGAGTGCAGTAGTACGATCTTGACTCACTGCAACCTCCACCTCCCGAGTTCAAGTTATTCTCCTGCCTCAGCCTCTTGAGTAACTGGGACTACAGGCGCATGCCACCACACCCAGCTAATTTTTGTATTTTTAGTGGAGACGGGTTTTCACCATGTTGACCAGGCTGGTCTCGAACTCCTGAGCTGGTGATCTGCCTGCCTCGGCCTCCCAAAGTGCTGAGATTACAGGTGTGAGCCACCGCGCCCGGCCTCAAAGATTTTTTTTTAATACAACAGGAGCATTGGAGCAGAGTATGCTGATCTGGAGAGACTCCCCACATCACCCCACTTCTCAATGTTGAGACTGGGGCAGGTCTGGGATTACCCTCTCACTTCCTCCATGAGAAAGCTGAGGCTCGGTGAGGCTGAGGCATGTGGTGGCGCCAGCCTCTGAAGGCAGGCGAGTCTTCAGGGTCCACATTGCCCCATAGGATGGCTGCGGCTCTTGTGTGCCAGCTTATGAACTTTTTCTGTCTTTCCCTTCATGGCCCAGCTGCTCTCCACTGGCCTACCTCTTCCACTGATGTTGTTTTTCAACTGAGAACAGAACTGCAGGAAGAAAGCCTGGATAGATGTGCCTAGCCCCATCTCTGGGTCCTCAATGAATGACAAGTGGGCTTGTGAGTGACTGAGTGAGGGAGTGAGTGATTCTGGTTAGAAAGTATTTCCAATGTTGTGTTGTTCTCTTTGGCACAGACATACCCTGCAGACTGGCATGAATCATAAGTAATTCCCTAAAGCCCCCATCTGCCTGGAAATGCCTAGTGGTATTTCCCATAGTTCAGAAGCCATCAGCCCTGCATGCCAGCAGGTTTAGCTATTCTCCACCCAGCCACAAACTCTTGCCCATCCCCTGGGGAGAACACTGGAGGGAGAGGAGCTTGAGGGAGAGGAGCTTGAGGTAGAGGTGACACCTCTGGAGACTGCAGTCATTCTGGGATTTTGCTCACAGAAGCCTCAGGGCTGCGATCCTCCCGGTAGGCTGTTTGTGACTTAGTAGGCCTTGTGTCTTAAGCATGATGCCTGAGGGCCAGAAGAGAAGCCCTTTCTCCCTCTCTTTTTTTAATTTATTATTATTATTTTTTAATTATACTTTAAGTTCTAGGGTAAGAGGTGGGTTCCCAGGCTTCAGCTCTCTCTCAGCAGCATGTGGTCTCAGCTTGTCTACTGAATGCTGAGAAGCAAGAGTGCTCTTGGTTCTAAGTGTGGGTATAGCAGGTTGTATTTCTCAAAGATGGTGGTGACAATATTGCAGCTAACTATGGCTACTATGTAGACATAACTAAGTTATGGCCAGTGACATGCAAGTGGAATTATTGTGTGTGAATATCTGCAAAGATGTCTTCAAAGGGAGGTGAAGTGCCTTTCTTGTTCCTTTCTCCATCCTGCCGCCTGTAATGCAGATGTGATGACTAGAGCTCTAGCAGCCTTCTTGGACAATGAAGACTTGGGGTGGGGGGACGCCTTAACAAATACCAGAAACCCAGAAGCTATGAAATAAAAGATAAACATATTTGGCTAGATTAGAATCTTAAATTTTTGTGGCAAAAGATAGCACAAAGAATAGATGAACAGATTTGGAAACCATACTTATAAATCAGAGGACAAAGGGCACAAAGAACATTTACAAATTGCCAAGAAAAAGATAAAAGATTCAATAGAAATGCAATTTATGGAATGGCAGTTTCAAAGAGCCAAAAACATATGAAAAATCACTAGCAGTTAGTGAAATGGTTAGGTCAGCTTGAAAAAAATAAAAAGACTGGGAATGCTGGTGGACCTGCAGAGAAAGGGGTATTCACGTACAGCGTTACTTGAAATGTGACTTTCTCTAGCCTTTAAAAAAGTCAATTATGTGGCCGGGTGCAGTGGGTCACGCTTGTCATCCTAGCACTTTGGGAGGCCAAGGTGGGTGGATCACCTAAGGTTAGGGGCTCCAGACCAGGCTGGCCAACATGGCGAAACCCCATCTCTACTGAAAATACAAAAAATTTGGCCAGGCACAGTGGCTCACACCTGTAATCCCAGCACTTTGGGAGGCTGAGGTTGGGGGATCATGAGGTCAGGAGATCGAGACCATCCTGGCTAACATGGTGAAACCCCGTCTGTACAAAAAATACAAAAAGTTAGCCGGGCGTCGTGGTGGGCGCCTGTAGTCCCAGCTACTCTGGAGGCTGAGGCAGGAGAATGGCGTGAACCTGGGAGGCAGAGCTTGCAGTGAGCTGAGATCGCGCCACTGCACTCCAGCCTGGGAGACAGAGCGAGACTCCGTCTCAAAAAAAAAAAAAAAAAAAAAATACAAAAAATTAGCCAGGTATGGTGGCAGGCACCTGTAATCCCAGCTACTCGGGAGGCTGAGGCAGGGCAATTGCTTGAACCTGGGGGGTGGAGGTTGCAGTGAGCTGAGATCACACCACTTTACTCCAGCCTGGGCAAAAGAGTGAAACTCCGTCTCAAAAAAAATTAATTATAATTATTACATAAAATTAATAATTTTATATATTATAACCTGTACAAATTATATATCTATAAGTATATTTGACCACCAGTTCAGTCCTTTTCATCTGTCCTCAAATATCTGTACAGGATAATGTGTATTACAGTATTGTTCATAGTGTCCAAAAATTGTAATTAAAGTGAATGCTGACCAGGTGCAGTGGCTCATGCCTGTAATCCCAACAGTTTGGGAGGCCAAGGTGGGCAGATCACTTGAGGTCAGGAGTTCAAGACCACCCTGGCCAACATGGTGAAACACCATCCCTACTAAAAGTACAAAATTAGCTGGGTGTGGTGGTGCACGCCTGTAATCCCAGCTACTTGGGAGGCTGAGGCAGGAGAATTGCTTGAACCCAGAAGGTGGAGGTTGCGGCTAGAGTGCCGAGATCACACCACTGCACTCTAGCCTGCATAACAAGAGCAAAACTCCATCTCAAAAAAATAAAAATAAGAAAATAAAAAATAAAGCGAAGCTGAATAAATTATGGGGCATTTATATTTAGGAATGTTACGCATCCATTAAAAAGAAAGAAGCAGAGATAAACCAGTGATTAATTTTTATTAGATATTTATGAAAAAGAAAAGCAAGATAAGGAGAAGTATATACATCATTTAGGTAAAACAATGATTTAAAACCTATGTGTGTATATGTATGTTTTGTTAGTCTGAGTTCTGCAAGGATCGGTGACTAAGATGGAATTCCACTTGCAAGAGATCTATTGGAAAAAGCTCCTGTGAGTGAACAATGGGAGGTACATTCTCAAAGCTGTAGCATATTCACACACATGGCTATGTGTGTGTATGTTTATGTATAGATATACATATCTGTATATCATATATGTGAATACGTATTATATATGTTTATGTACATATATGGATATATGTATGCACATATCATGTGTATACATATGGCTCTGTCTGTGTGTGTGTATATGTTCATATACATTTGTATATGTAGGCATAGAGAAAAGTATGAACGGATATACACTAGGTTATTATAATACATAGGTTATGGGGAAGGGGAGTCTTACAAAAAAAAAAGAAGGAAAAATTGCACTAAAACCCCTCACATTTCAGACTTCTATATTCAGTTGTCCATACCACATTTGAAAAGTTTTAATACTTTATAAACTGAATTCCTGAGTTTGCCTGCCTCCTCTAATCAAACCTGCAGCACCCCCACCCCCCAGTCTGATTCCTGTTTCGTTCTACATGACCTGTTTTCTTCCTGCTGGAAGACTTTGGAATCTTTCCTTTATGCCAGGTGCTCTGGAATCTCCCCACCACTTCTCCTGCTATGGGTCTTGCCCCATTTATTGTATTGGGTACTTGATAGGCACTTAAATCCTTAGGTTCTGGAATCTGACAGCCTCACTTTGGGGCTCTGTTAGGGAGATGTGGCCGAGGAGGAGCCCGAGGGGCAGCTCTTGCCCCTTCCTGGGGAAAGGTGCACAGAAGGCTGATGAGGAGACCTGTGGCTTTCTCACCAATTGGCCCATATGAGTTCTTGCCACTGAGTCACTCTCATTATCTCCACTTTTCTAGGGAGGAGGCCTCGCCACCATGCCCAGAGCAGCACAGTGAGTCAGAGATGAAGCTCTTGTCCCACCTGCCCCAACCCTCGAGCCCTGCTTCCCAGGTCCGCATTCCCAGGCAGCCTGCCACAGCCAGTGCCAGCGAGAGAGTGGATCAGGCTTCAGGATAGCCCAGCACTGAGGACATCTAAAACAGTCTTCATTTATTTATTTATTGTTCATAGTGTCCAAAAGTTGGAATTAAAGTGAATGGCTGAATCAATTATGGTGCATTCATATTTAGGGATGTTATGCATCTATTAAAAAGAATGAAATAGAGGTAAACCAGTGATTAATTTTAATTAGATATTTATGAATAATAAAAGCAAGATAAGGAAAAGTGTGTATATTATTTAGGTAAAACAGTGATTTAAAATCTATGTGTGTATATGTATGTTTTGTTAGTTTGAGTTCGCCAAAGATCAGTGAATCAGTGACCAAGATGAGGTTCCATTTGCAAGAGATTTATTGGAAAAGCTCCAGGAAAAATGTGTGTATATGGATATTTTATTTCATCTAAAGTATATAGAATAAAATACCTTTAGATGGAATAAAATATCCATATTACTTTAAAATGTTTGGATTGAAATACAGTGAAGTGAAAATTCCCCCTCCCAGTCTGGTTGCCCTTTTTTTTTTTTTTTTTTTTTTTTTTTGAGACAGAGTCTCACTCTGTCGCCCAGGCTGGAGTGCAGTGGCGCGATCTCGGCTCACTGCAAGCTCCGCCTCCCAGGTTCAAGCAATTCTCCTGCCTCAGCCTCCCGAGTAGCTGGGACTACAGGTGTGTGCCACCATGCCCAGCTAATTTTTGTATTTTTAGTAGAGACGGGGTTTCACCATGTTGGCCAAGATGGTCTCGATCTCTTGACCTCGTGATCAGCCCGCCTTGGCCTCCCAAAGTGCAGGCATTGCAGGCATGAGCCACTGCGCCTGGCCTTGGTTGCCCTTTTTTAGAGGCAACTGGTGCTAGTTTCTTGTGTATACTTCAAGAGATATTTTAATGCAAAAAAAAAAAAAAAGGTAGATAATCTTATGGTCCACAATCCCTTATCTGGAAGCTTGGGGGCAGTTGTATTTTGGAGTTGGGAATTCAAGGAGTGTAGAAAGGTAGTATGTATATTCTATCACACTCCCAGCAGAGCCTGTGATAAAATACACAAATATTTCTGCACCAAGTAAAATAAATAAAGCCATAATCTGCCTTAAGTCAGTTGAGTTCAGCCAGGTTTTGCTACCAAATGTGTTTGTGTTATTTATTTATTTTTTAATTGTGTTCTTTGGAGATTTTTGAATTTTATAATTGTGGATAAGGGAATGTGGACTTGTTTTTGTGCTACTCTCCTTATTTAAAAACTTATGGCGGCATTCTGCACCTACTGGATCAGACTAAAGAGCTCTTTCATTATTATTATTATTTTGTATCCCCATAGTATTGCATTATACACATGCACCATTGCCAGCTTAGCTTGTTCATGGACATTTGAATTGTTTCCAGTCTTCTCCTCAATGGCATCAGTGCTGCAATGAATAACATTGTGTACTCTTTAGCACATGTGCAAGCATATCTGTAGGATAAATTCCTGGTAGTGGAATTGCAAGGTCAATTAATAATAATGATGGTTAACATCTGCATGGGTATTTACTAAGAGCTGGGAACTGTTGTAAGTGCTTTACAATAATTAAGGTATTTTAATCCTTGCAACAATCTCCTGAGGGAGATACTATTATCATTCCATTTTGCAGATGAGAAAAACTGAGGTACAGAGAAGGTAAAGGACTTGTAGAGCTGGAATTCAAACCGAGGTGTTCTGACTCCAGTCTGTGCGCTTAACCATTACATTCAACTGCCTTTTGAAGGTCATGGGAATTTGTAACTTAGAGAGACACTGCCAAATTGTCCTCTGCATGGCTTTACCAATTCACGTTCCCACCAGTAGCCTGTGAGCCTGCTTGTTTCCCCGCCAACGCTGCGCTGAATCAAACTTTTTGATCTTTGCCAATCTGATAGCCGAAAACGGTGTCTTACTTGAATTAAATGGTGTTTAACTTGAATTTCTTTTACTATGAGTCAGGTTGAGTGTCTTTTCACCTAAGGGTCTTTTGGACTTCCTTTCCATAAACTGTCCATTCATATCGTTTGCTCCTTTTTTTCAGTTTAGTTATATCTGTGACTTGTATTGAGCTTTTTATGTCTTAGGAAGATTAGCCTTTAGTGGTTCAAAAGGTACAGATCTTTGCCTAGCTAGTCATTTATGTTTTGATTTTGCTGGTGATGGGTTTTGGACAGAGTGTTAGGAGGAGACAAACAAAAGAAGAGGACTTCAGTGTTAAGAATTGAAGGGAGGGAGAGGACAGAGTAGATCCCTGGAAAGAGGTGCCCTCTGCCTGCTGAGGCGGCAGGGAAAGAAGGTGATGGGGATAGTGAGGAGGGCTCCTTATGGGGACTGGCACAGAGGGTTCAAACATGCTATGTGTGGCCCACTGAGACTGGAGGCTGGGAGGAGGGAGGACTTCATGACAGACACGAGGATGCGTTGCTCAGCTGTGCTGCTCCAAGATGCGTCCAACAGAAGACACATTGCCCCAGTAAAAGACTGCCCAGCTGTGCCGGGTGCAGTGGCTCACGCCTGTAATCCCAGCACTTTGGGAGGCCGAGGCAGGCACATCACAAGGTCAGGAGATCGAGACCATCCTGGCTAACATGGTGAAACCCCATCTCTACTAAAAAATAAAAAAAAAAATCAGCAGGGTGTGGTGGCACGCGCCTGTAGTCCCAGCTACTTGGGAGGGCGAGACAGGAGAATCGCTTGAACCCAGGAGGCAGAGGTTGCGGTGAGCCGAGATCGTGCCACTGCACTCCAGCTTGGGAGACAGAGCGAGACTTGGTCTCAAACAAACAAACAAACAAAAAAAAACTGCCCTGCTTCAAGGCTGTGCTCAGCTGGCAGCCTACCACTGTTGGCTCCTACAGGGTCTACTCAGCTTTTGGACCAAGTTTATGATTTTCTTTGGGTGTCCCTGTCCAATGACTGAGCAAGATGGTGGTATGAGGGCCCAGCCATTCCATCGTTTCCACATTTCCAACACAGGAGTCCTCTAATGGGCTGTTTTTGTTTTAGTTCACTGGATGACTGGCAGAAAGTCAGGCCTGCAGGTCTGAGAACTCCACTCTTACTTTTGCCCCATTTCATTCCCAGGCGTTACCCTCACCCTCTTTAACCTTGCATTCCTAACCCTATCTCAACATCAGCTTCCTGGAAAACCCAAGCAGCCCAGACTCTGAAATTCTTTTGGTAAAAATTGGCATACATTTTTTTAAGTCGCTGATATATATTTCATATTGTCTGAGCCTAAAGATTTGCTTGTTTTCTATCTGGTGGTGACTATACATATCCTTTGGCTTGTACATAAGGTGAAAATGTTGGGCTGTGTGTGAAGGCAGCTGAGGTTGGCCCTCCCAGCAACTGGGGGGCTATCTGACCTCCGCTCAGAGCCTGGAGCAGTGGCATGGAGTGGCCAGTTAGCACTGGGTGGAAGCAAGTCTTGGGTAAGGTGTGTAGGAGCACCTTCAATGCCAGCCCCAGGCCTGAGAACACACCACACAGGGAACGGGGCATAGAAGCATCTTCTTCGGCAACCGCAGGTGGACCTGATAGTGGCTGGGCCACATCTCCCAGCCCTTTTCTGCCTGGCCCTTTCTCCCCACCGCTGCTCTAGTGGCCTGACGGTGTCCTGCCCTCTGCATGTTGCCAGAGTGATCTGATCACACCACTTGTTAGTTGTAGGCTTTGGATGGTAAAACCTGGAATCTACCCCCTTGGCTCATGACTCAAGCCCATTTGTATACTGGCTCCTTCTCAGTCTCTTTTAACCATTCCTCCCTACACTCCACACTCACAAGACCTCTTGCCATTCTGAGAACCGGGGAGGGCTTTGTGTCCCTCTGTCCCCATCACTGCTGGTCTCACTGGCTGGAATACATTTTTGTTTCTCCTCACCCCTCAAGGCTCCTCAGTAGATATAAATGCATGTGTTTGGTTTGCCACATTTAAGTTTCCTCAAGAGACTGTAGTAAATATTTGAAGTGCTTTTAATTAGAAAATACCTGTCATTGCCTACTGCCCTGTGGAACTACCACATCTTTGAAGATGTTCAGTGCAGGGACTGGACCACCTGAGGATTGGGCTATATGGGTTATACATACCATCTTGGGAGACAGCCTGAGAGGCATTTCTTGGCCATTCTTCCTATACCATTCCTATCATATACATCTCTATCACCACAATCACTGATCACCAACAAAACCACTAATTTGAATCAGACATTCTTTCAACTCTCTTACCAAGATTGCTTGAAATGTTGAAATGCACTAGGATGTAAGTCAGCCAGAAAACACTAATTGAGCATATAATGTGGGCAGTGAATTGTGGTAGGTGGTAGGTCAGCAGGTTGTGAGAAAGCATGATGGACAACATAGTACCTGCCCCCACAGGAATGGATTGCTCAAATGGACGGGCAAACACCTGTCAGCTGATGGCTATGTATGGCTATGCAGGTCCTCAGTGACAGGGGCCCTTGAAGAAAGGCACTCACTGCAGCTGGGGCAGCCATGGAGGGCTCCCATCAGGAGGTGGCAATGGAGATGGATGTGGAGGAATGGCAGGGATTTGGAGAGACTAGAGTAGTGAAGAGGGCCTCTAGAGAGAAGGTAGCTTGATGAATCACTCAGGAAGAGCCCTACTTGTTTTGTTTGATGAGCCTGGGATGCATCAGATATCTCTTTAAAGCACTGGTTCTCAAGCATGGCTGAATATTTTAATTACCTGGAAATTTTAAAAATCAGAGACGCCTGGGTCCTACCTCCAAAGAGTTTGATTGGATTGTTGTGGGGTGTGGCATGGGCACTGGGACTTTGACAGCTTTCCAGGATGGTCAGGTGGTGAGAGCACTCTCCTGCCAGGCCTCCAGCTCACGCCTGTCAGGCTCTGACACTTCCCAGGTGTGCCTCTCACGCCCTCCTCCTGGGCTGGGGCCACCCCGGAAGGGGCGCTGGCCTCTCTTAAATCCCACTCATACACCTGGCCTCAGGTTCCCAGGAGGATTTCTCTGCCTGCTTTACATTCAAGCAGTTGCAAGGTAGTCCCCTGAGCCACAGGCTGCTTAGCTTTCCCTCTGCCTCAGTGCCCCTCTTCTGGCGCTTTCCTGGAGCTCCAAAGAAGCAGTGGATGAGTTCCGTGTGGTCCAGCTGTGGCCACTTCCAGAGGGCCTTGGGCTGAGCTTCCTGAGGGCACGTCTACACACACCCGCTGAGCAGGGGACCTGTGTGCTGGCCACAGAGGTGGCACCGGAAGGGGATTTTCTCTCGCTGCATTTCCTGGCATTGAGCAGCGCCTTTTGAGGTAGTCTCTGCTGAGTGGTCTCAGGAATGCCATTCCTCATTCCAGGGAATTCTGTAGGTGGGGCTGCTGGTCACCAGCCAGTGTGTCTAATGGCGAACATGCACCAGTCACAGGTTTGAGCCCCCTCCCGGAGGCCACGACTCTGTTTCCTCTTCAGCAGTGCAGCAGGCATTCGATCGGCTGCAGGAAAGAGGACGAAGGGTTGACATGATTTTCTGGCAAGAAAGATTGCTCCACTCGGGGGTTTACTGTCAAGGCAGGAGATAAAATGCCCTGGCTCTTGAGGCCTTTTCATTTAGTTATTAATTCAAAAACACCTTTAGGGATTTTGCTTTTAAATGATACATATTCTTTATTTAAAAAATACAAACAGCAATGTACCCAGAAGAAATGGAAAACCACTGGCTAGAGAAAACTACTGTCATCAATGCTTTCTGGGCCTCTGAAGAAGCCCATTTCTGCTGGCACTGAGTGTGTGTTTCTCCGGGCAGGAGCTGGTATAACATGACCCTTGAAAGCACTCGCAGCCCTGGGCTTACATAAGTAATGTGATGACTCTCTCCACAGAGCCCCTCTAGAGATCCCACCACTCCGCCCTCTTGGAAAGAACATTCAGTGTCTCCCACACCAGAACCCATCCAAGGAGAGAGGATGCCGAGGTAGTGGCTCATCTTCCTTGGTCCCAGAGAGGCCTCGGAGCAGTCCTCTCTTGCTTCACAGCCCTCCAACTATGCTAAGAATGCGAACCATTTCCCATGGGACTGGCAAAGCCATGAAGCAATTCTGAGCCCAACCTCCCCAAATATCTGCTTTGCAAACAGATAAAACAGAGAAGTATCCTGAAAATGTGCTGTTGGGCCATTCACCTTAGGCGGTTGTGGTGTCTGCTTGCCTGCCAGGAGGGTTTCTGCTTCCACAGTCCAGCCTGGAGCTGCTGGGGAGCCAGTTTGGGATGTGGCCATGTTCCCTGAGGGGCAAAACACAGAAAACTCTCCGGAAGGGGCTTCTCAAGGAAATGGGGACCAAGCAAGGCTGTGGGCTCTTTTCAGGGATCCGGCTCCCATCCCAGTGCTGGACTCATTGCTGACCAGTCCTTGGGGTCACCTGGGTGCCCTTTGGCTCCTGAGATGTCTGGGCATGGGGCTGCCTTCACCAGCTGCAAGAGCCCAAACCCACCTCAACCAGCCTTTGGCATCTCCAGTCTGCACCAGCTGCAATTTTGTGGCCCGGGTGGGTGAAGGCAGTGGCAGGGGAGTCCATGCCAAGCCTGGCAGTGGGAAGGAAGAGGAAGAGGAAGAGGACTTAACTTTCTCAGCAGCTTCAGCCTTCTGAGAAACTCTAGAATGCCTTGCTGCACTATGGCAGGCATAACCAGGTCCCGGTGACCTACATAACCTTCCAGACATGGGGCAAGTGGGAGCCCTGATTCATGTCAGGGGAGCCTGACAGAGGAAGGGTGGGGGCAGGGAGGATTTACAATCCTGAGACGGTGAAACCACCTAAATATTTAGTGATGACTAAGTGAGTCACCGCATGTCCACAGGGTGGAATATTATGTAAAAGTGATTATTATAATAATAAAGACTATTTAGCAATATTGCAAGTGTTTATGATATAATATTAAGCGAACAAAAGGAAGATACATACCTTTACGGCACCTGAACAAGAGAAGATTGGAAGGGGATTTTAAAAAATAACAGTTGCTCTGCTACAGTGGTGTGATTAGGGACCTTATTCTTGGAAAAGAAAGCAGCAGCTTTACAGTCAGACAGATCTGGACTAGTAGCTTAGATCTATTTCTTACTTACTAGAAACGATCTTGACAGGTGGCTTAAATGCGATTGGTTTTCCATCTGTAAAATGGGTACAGTAATTCCTGCTTTACAAAATTCTTGTGAAGATGAATCTGATTGTGCATCTCCTCCCTTCTTGCCTTCCTTTCTTCCTCCTCTCTCTCTCTACATATTTTCACTAATACTGCACAATCCAGTTGCCCACAAAGGATCCCACAGCTGAGTCATCCTTGGGTCTGCTGAAATCTCTTTTGCTTTAGGGAAGGTGCCTTTGCCTGTTTCTGCCCTAAGCGGAGCTGTGGATGAGGAGGGGCGCTAATGATGAAACAGTCCGGGTGGGCTTGGCAGGGGGAGGCTGGGCTGGTCCTCACTCTCAGAGCAGCCACAGTGCTGTGCGTTGCCAGCCCAAGCAAAGTCACAAGAGCCTTGAAGGTAGAAGCAGGAGTAAGGGAGCCTGCCTGGCAGATACCACACTGAGCAGAGCCCGCTCCTGTCTCTGCTTCCATGGCCTGACTCAAGCTCTCTTTTAAAAAATTTTATTTTTGTATTGACAAATACAAATCGTATATATTTATGGTAAACAACATTGTGTTTGGAAATATGTATACATCGTGGAATGGCCAAGTAGAGCTAATGAACATATGCCTTACCTTATACTAATCATTGTGTTGTGGGGGAGGTGGCGGAGGGGAAACGTGTAAAATCTATTCTCAGCAATTTTCAAGTATACAAAACATTCTTATTGTAGTCACCATAGTGTACAATAGATCTCTTGAAGTTATTCCTCCTAACTGAATAACCAACATGTTATTTGTATAACATGTTGTATCTTTTGACCAACATGTTCCCAATCCCTCCCAAATCAGACCCTCTTATCACTAGCAAGATCCATGGTTCCCCAGGCCTGAGTCACATGCCACTGGTGGGCAAAGACGTGACCAATGGCAAATGGACATATTCTTTTCTTCCCTCCCTTCCCCTCCCCTTCCCTTCCCTCCCTTCCCCTCCCCTCCCTTTCCTCCCTTCCCCTCCCCTTCCCTTCCCCTCCCTTTTCCTCCCCTCCCCTCTCCTCTCCTCTCTTCTCTCTCTTTTTTTTTTTTGTGATGGAGTATCGCTCTGTCACCCAGGTTGGAGTACAACAGCACAATCTTGACTCACTGCAACCTCTGCTTCCCGGGTTCAAGCGATTCTCCCGCCTCAACCTTGCGAGTAGCTGGGACTACAGGAGTGCACCACCATGCCCAGCTAATTTTTGTATTTTTTAGTAGAGATGGGGTTTCACCATATTGGCCAGGCTAGTCTCGAACTCCTGACCTCATGATCTGCCCCCCACTTGGCCTCCCAAAGTGCTGGGATTACAGGCGTGAGCCACTGCACCTGGCCTAATTTTTGTATTTTTGTAGAGACCGGGTTTCACCATGTTCGCCAGGCTGGTCTCGAACTTCTGACCTCGGGTGATCGGCCTGCCTCATCCTCCTGAAGTGCTGGGATTACAGGCATGAGTCACTGTACCCAGCCTTCCCTTCTTTTCTTTTTGTGAGACAGTCTTGCTCTGTCCCCCAGGCTGGAGTGCAGTGGCACAATCTCCACTCACTGCAGTCTCAACCTTCTGGGCTCAAGCCATCCTCCTGCCTCTGCCTTCCCAGTAGCTGGGACTACAGGCCCATGCCACTACCCCGGCTAATTTTTTATTTTTTGTAGAGACGCTGTCTTGCCATGTTACCCAGGCTGATTTCGAACTCCTGAGCTCAAGCAATCTGCCTAGCTTAGTCTCCCAAAGTGATGGGATTACAGGCATGAGTCACTGCTGCCCACACTTTTCTTTTAAGAGTGTGGCATTTTTATGCATATATTAGGGAAAAAATGAAGTGGTGGCTATAATGGTACAATAGAAGCAACATAAAATGGTTTAAAAATGAACTAGCATAAAGAGAAATACTATGTAAGAAATGGTTCGGGTGGTCCCTGATAGATCAGGAAGGAGCAGGGGAATGACTGAAGGGTGGGGTGCCTGTCCTATCCCCTTACATCCATCTTCTAACTCTGACCCAGCCTCAGTCTCTTCCAGAGTGTGCTCCTGTCCTCTTCCCACTATGGCCAGAGAGGTCTGCCTAGCAGGAAACCCTGACAGTTGCATCCTTCACTACAGGGCAGTCACCTTACGGAAAAGTTTAGGTCTTTCCTTGGGGAGGCCTCAAAAGCCTTCCGGGATGGACTCTGCCCATCTTTCCAGCTTCCCATTACCCTTGTCTCTTCCCATTTTAGATACCTGAACCCTGGACTTCCAAACTGAGCTTGATGGCTGGGCCTCTGAGTCTTACAGTGTTCTATCTCCTCTAACTGTGATGTCCTTTCTCCCTTGTTTATCTGAAGGACTCCTATTCAACCTTGATAGCGTTTTTAGGGGTCCTTTCCTCTGCGAAACTGTCTTGATCTCTTTGTAAAGGGTTAATCCCACCTTCCTCTCTATCTTGAATCACACATTTAATTGAATCATGCATTTAATCATGCAACTCCCAAAGCCTCCTGTTTCCTTGTCTGTCTCCTTGCTGAGGTGGTCTCTGAGGGCCTGGCACATATCTAATTTAGTTCAGGATCCTGGATTCTTATACAGTAATTGGAATAGGACAAGTGCTCAGCACTAACGAAGATGCAATTGTTATAGCTATCGTTTATGAAGTGCTCTCTGTGCATTACCCATTCAATCCTTACATCCACTCTAAGAGGAAGAAACTGTTGACACACTTCTTTTAGGCATGAGAAAACTGAGGCTCGGAGAGGGGAACTCATTTGCCAACAGTAGATAAGTGGAGGAGCAGATTTGAACCCTAGCCTGACTTTTGTCCTAGGCCCTCACCTGCTCATTTCCCACTCTCCTGAGTACAAAGTTGATTCCTCAGCGGGGTGTACAGGTGACCCCTCAGTGGGGTGTACAAGTGGGCCCTGGCCTCACTGAGGTCAGGGGACTCCCGGGCACCAGGTGCAGCAGTACCCTCATGCCCAGCTACAGAGCACCCGATCCTGGGGCTGCCCTTTCAAGGTTATGGTGTTGGAGAGGGGGCTGGGAAACAAGAGAAAGGAGAAAATAGAGTTGAGTCAGATGCCCTGTGGAATTTCTGGCCTTTATTGAATTCTGGGAAGAGAAAAAAAAAATGGCTGTGCTTATTCCAAGTATGTCAAGATCATAAGGAGCTCTTTACTGTTTATATGCAAAACTTTCTGGCAGCCGGCACCTGCAAGCAAGAGGCCAGGAATCTGTGAGACCCAGGCACCCTAAGCTGGAGCCCCAGGCTCCACAGAGGGGCAGCTGGGCCAGGCAAAGTGAGAAGGGAAGGGGTGGACCAGACTGTCCTCAAAGCCCCTGCATGTCCTGCAGCAGAGTTCCATCCCTGATCCTGGAATGTGGGCGAGCCCTTCTTGCATGGAAAGGGAAGTGAACTGGCTGACTCCCTCTGTCCCTCTGGGCACCCCACTCCTTGGCTCTCCAGACTCATGAATACTTTTTTGGGGGAGGAGCACTGGGCTGTCTAGTAGTAGAGCCTCATTCCTCAGCAGCCCTCTCATCTGAGGAGAGGCCCTGCTGGCTCAGAGCTCTGCAGAAATACATTGAGTTGGTTTCAGAATCCCTGAATCCCCTATGCTACCCCTTGTTCAGGGCAGAAGTCAAAAAAGCAGAAGAGACCCAGATAATAGGTAATGGCATGTTTTGGGGGGATGGGGGTGGAAGGACAGTGATAACAACAGCTTCGGGCTTCAGGCTTCCCATTCCCATTCTCTCTGGAATGCTATTTATTTATGCAATCTCAGACGTCTGAGTTGAAAACTGAAAAAAGGCAGTCAATTAGCTCTGTCCGTCCATGAGTTTAAATGTCCATGAATTCAGTCAACAAACATTTGTTCATTCATTAAATGTGTACCCTGGGGCTGGATACGATGCCAGGTGTTGAGTATTTGGAAATAGCTGAGAATGTCGAGACTGATGTTTCTCACTAGGGAGGGGGCACACATGAGAATCACATACTCATGTGGGCCCCTCTCAGGACCCTCCTTCATCCAGCCTGATAATTAAGAGTTTTGGGAAGGGGCCTGGGTATGAGGATTTAGAAAACTCCCCAGCTGATAAGGATACGAAGCTCCGTTTCAGATACATGGACCAGATTGGAAGTCTATTCTTCCAAATGTACCTACAGTGCTATCTCTCTGGGGAGGTGTGGGCATAGTCTCCTGCTTGGATTCATTCATTCGTTCATTCATTCCAGTGGAATTTTTGAGTTCTTGCCAGGTGCCATGCCCTGTTCTAGGCATTGGGTTGCAGACCCTGCCCTCCCGGGGCTCTCGCAAGACACCATTCCCATTCCCTGCAGCACTCCCGTTTCATTCTCATAAAAGTCCAAGGCCTTACAGTGAGCCAGTGACCAGGCTGGTACCCGCCCGACCTCCTCTCCCCCTACTCCCTTCTGCCCTGCTCTCCCCCTACTCCCTTCTGCCCTGCTCTCCCCCTACTCCCTTCTGCCCTGCTCTCCCCCTACTCCCTTCTGCCCTGCTCCAGCTGCCTGGCTCCTGCCTGTTCCTCCCACAGGCCTCTGCTAGTTGCTCCTTCTGGAATGCTCCCCACAGAGGTTGCCCCTGCTCACTCAGTTGAGAGCTACAACCTCCCGACTCCCCAGCAATGCTTTACTTGTTCTTAGGCTTCTGTTTCTCTAGCACTTAACACATTATTATTATTATTATTATTATTATTATTATTATTATTTTTAGATGGAGTCTCACTCTGTTGCCCCAGGTTGGAATACAGTGGCGCAATCTCGGCTCACTGCAACCTCTGCCTCCCGGGTTCAAGCGATTCTTCTGTGTCAGACCCCCTGAGTAGCTGGAATTACAGGCACGCGGCACCATGCCTATTTTTTTTTTTTTTTGTATTTTTAGTAGAGACGGGGTTTCACCATGTTGGCCAGGCTGGTCTCGAACTCCTGATCTGATGATCCGCCCATCTCAGCCTCCCAAAGTGCTGAGATTATAGGTGTGAGCCACTGCGCCCGGCCACACTTATCCCCTTTTACATGCTCTGTCATTTTGAGATTTATGAGTCAATTGTTTGCTGTCCTCTACCTCCCCCACCAATCCTCTGGAATGGAAGCCCCTGGACGACAGGGTCTTTGCTTTGATAATGGATGTAGTGCAAGCATCTAGAATAGTGGGTGCTCAATAAATATTTGTTGAATGAATTAAACAAATAATAACACAGGTAAGTGTAAAATTACACCTGTGGGAAGTGCTGGCTACAGAGAATGAGTAAAATTAACTGAGCTCCTCCCAGCTCATCAACTCTATAATTTTTACTTTTGTTTTTCTTTGAAACATCATTCTGTGTTTACAATTATCCAGTGTGGCCAAGACCATTCCATTCTATTTTTGCGATCACTGTGCTTTTCCCACGGCCCTGGCCTCAGGAAAAGAGACTGTGTTGAAGTCGGAGGAGCAGGCTTTAGGGAGCCCGCAGCCCAGGGCTCTCTGGCATCCCCGAGTGAGGCCAGCAGGGGAGGATTGGTGGCCAGTCACGTATTCAGTCAGCACGAGACACTGAGCCTGTTCAGAAGGCTGAGATAATGGGATTTCAGAACAATTGTAAAAATACCTAACATGCCAGCAGGGAGTTAAACAGCAGATTCACAAGATTCTGAGGCTTTTGACCCTTCATGGAAGCCAAGGGAGACAGAATTCCAAGAGCATGTTACAGCATGTTAGGTATTTGGAGGGGGCAGTGCTTGTCATGGGCTGATCACAGCGACCCCATCCCCAGGATCCCAGCAGGGATAGGAAAAGTCACCACTCTGAGGCCAAGGACAACCATATCACAGAATTAGCCCATCAAAGAAAAGATGTGTCAGTAAGAGCCCTGAAGGAAGCCAGTCCTGTCCCAGCCCGGCCCAGAAGGCAGAGATAACAGCAGCCTTAGCCCAGCCATCTGGATCCCTCACAGTCCCAAGGATGGGGTAGGGGCGGCAGATTATTGTGGTCTAATGCTGACAGTCAGGCCCCTTTCTTCTGTCTCCACACTCTCCTCCAGGCAACTTTTGGCATCTGCCTATTGGGAGTGAAATGAGCATCCAGTATCCTGGTCTGGGTAACCCTGAGGGTTAGTCTCTGGTTTGGCTGAACGTGTCCCTTTCCCAAAAACCAGGGATGGGCTCCAGGAAAGCTGGGATGGAGAGCAGACTGCACTAAGGAAAGAGTGCCATCCTGTGTTCTCTGGAGTAGGGGGGCACCTGCCAGCATTTTCCTGATGCCCCAGCCACTGCTTTGTGCCCCAGAGGCACCACCCTTCTTTAAAGGCACTGGGGACAGTCCCTGGTGAGCAGAAAGGTGGTGGCCACAGATGGCTTAGCTGAGGAGCCTGCAGTGAGCACAGGAACAATGGAAAGAGCCTGGTGCAAGGTTCTCAGCGAGGACAATGTGAGGTTGTCCACAGGAGTTTGCAGGGAAGCAGAGATGACAGAGATGCCAGGCCAAGGAGGCTGCGGGAAGGGTGGCCAAGGCAGGAGGTGGCATGGGCTGTGTCAGAGCTGGCACATTGCAGCAGGAGTGAATTGAGCTCACAGGGAGGAAGAAATGCCTGGAATCCCTTCTGCTGGCAGTGAATCCAGGCTAGAATTGTTTGTGAATTTGATTTAGTCATCCCTGTCTCAAGTACCTTCTATGGTTCTGATAGCTCCAGATTCCAGTCCAAATCCCTCATTGCCTACAAGGCCTCTACCACCAGTACTGATTTCCTTTCTTGGCTTCTTCCAAGCCTCAGGCCCTATGATCCCTGCACTTCCTTTAACCGTGGCTCCTTCCTTTATGCCTTTGCTCTTGTCTTTTGTTCTTTTCCCACCTTTCCTTCACAGTAAAACACTACCACTTCCTGGAAGCCTTCCTGAAACATGCTGGCACCGTTGGTGACCCAGAGCAGCTCTTTCATCTGGGAGTGTCCCTTCTTGAGCCACAGACACATTAACATAGGTGATCCAAGGCCTTAGGTAATATGCATGGAATGAAGAAGTCTTTTGTGAAGGCTGGAGGACAGGGGAGCTTAGCTTCCCCATTCTCCTTCACCCATGCTCATGTAAACCTCCAATTAAAAGCCAATCTTCCCAAATGCAATCGGAAAATCAAAAAAGGACAGTGCTAAAGTCAACATACAAAGAGCATAGAGCAGGGAGGCCTCCAAAATCCTGTCTCTGACCCTACAGTTCAGACAGCAGGCCCCAGAATAGGCTCCTTGGAGACAGCAGATCCACTGGGGATGAAAGGAGTCCATTCGGGACAAAAGGAGAAAATGCGTCTCTCCATGTTATATAAGCCTTTCATCCACTGTTACATTAAAGATTCTGAAAAGTCCTGCAGAAAAGTGCCTGTTTGTGTAGCGTGTGACACCGATTAACGTTGCCCAAAGCTTTGGCATTGGACAGCCTTGAACCCCCTTCTCCGCTGGTGTGCCCCATGACTTCAGTCAAGTTCCTTGGCTGCTCTGAATCTCAGATGCCTATTTGCAAAATAAGTTATTATGTGGTCAGTGAAAGCAAAGCACTGGTTTGGCTGGGGTCCTGGGAGGACAGGATAGCTCACATAGGACACTCTTGTGGTTCTAACTATGTAGTATGGTCCAGGACTCACAGGACAGAAGCAGGAGTGAGCCACTTGGAGGGCATTATTCTGGGTTGTGTACCCAGGACGCTGGCAGGAGCCGCATCCCCCTATCCAGCCAATGGACATCTCACTAAAAAGCACCCTGACTGGCAGTAGGCATTTCCTGGAGCCCGTGCTATCCTGGCCACTCTCTCTCCGGGCTCATCTTGTACCACTTGACCCTCCACTCTCTAGCCATGTAGAATGTCTGCTGTCAGCCGGGTGTGGTGGCTCACGCCTGTAATCCCAGCACTTTGGGAGGCCGAGGCAGGCGGATCATGAGGTCAGGAGATCAAGACCATCCTGACCAACATGGTGAAACCCCGTCTCTACTAAAAATACAAAAATTAGCTGGGCATGTGGCGCATGCCTGTAATCCTAGCTACTTGGGAGGCTGAGACAGGAGAATTGTTTGAACCAGGGAGTCGGAGGTTGTGGTGAGCTGAGATCGTGCCACTGCAATCCAGCCTGGTGACAGAGCGAGACTTGTCTCAAAAAAAAAAAAAAAAAAGAATGTCTGCTGTCCTCCCTGTACCTTCCTGTCCCTCATGTCACCCTGGCTCATCCTCCTTCTAGCCTCACTCTCCTTCTTTAACTGGCCAACTCAACCTGTAGGCCTCAGCTGAGATGGTCTTCCTCTGAGATTTTTCTGGCTGCCCCTAGATCACAGGTCTCTGTTCCTGTGGAACCTCTGCTTCCTGCTTCATAAACACCTGCTCCATATATTATCAAATTCCTATCATCTACCTCCAGCCAGCTTGAGCTCCTCCAAGGCAGAGTTGCTGCACCATCTGTGCCCAGCACAGTATCAGAGGAGGGGCTAAAAACAATGCTTGGACATATGATTCTCGGTTCCCTCTTGCCCCCTGGACCTGCTCCTGGTGTCCCCCTCCCTCCCTTCTCCTATGGGGATCTGTAGATTGCATCACCCTTCTGCTGTTGAAAGTAATGAATCACCTCTCGCCAAGTCCCCACGTGGTAAAAAATCTCCCGGGATACAGGAGAAGTGCCATAGATTACGGCTTGGTGTGGTCATAGGGAGCAAGTGAGGGGTGGCAGGGTGCCTGTACAAGCGGGGAAGGGTTAGGGATCCCAGCCCTTATCCTGTGCACAGTTTTGGTTTCTGCCAGCTGGAGCTGTGCAAAGGATTGGCAGTGTGGCCCTCACCTGAGGCAGGGCCTGGGAACCTGAGCATCCCTGGAAGATGCTGAGCTGGGCCTTGGTGGGGATGGGGGAGGAGGGGGCTCAGAAGTACAGCCCAATCCAGGCTGTCTGACAAGCAATGGGGACGGGAGAGTCCCGGATAGCTGGTGAGGAGCCAGGGCTCAGGGTGGGCCCTCTCCTTAAGCCCGAGGTAGGAGGCTGGCAGCAGCACTGACGCAAGTACAGGTGAGGGCAGGGCCCAAAATGTGGCCCTGGGGCCTTCCAGCTTGGCCAGACCAGCCCAACGAGAAGCCAGGGCTGGGAGGGCCAGGCAGGTGGGGAAGGCTTGCAGGCCAGGCCCAATACCTTGAGAAGCCAATGGGCTCCTCAAGGGTACTTCATTCTGGGTGAGGCCCAAGACGTGGCGGCCACACTTCCTCCCATGCCCAGGGATTCTGAGTCTACGCAAGCCCAGGCCTGATCCCTGCCATGGTCACTGCCCAGCAGGGAATCTCCTGGAGTGAGGCCCCAGGGTGGAGCTGCCCATGGGCAACTTCCCTGCTCCCACCCCTGTCTGTCTCTCCCAGACCTCTTATAGGTCATTGTTGAGAGCTCAAGGTCATAGCTGCCAAAGAAATACCACAGGGCATGGCACTGTAGGCCTTGGAGTGGAGGATGGTGGGGAAGACAGGGTGAGTCTACAATTCTTCCAAAAATGCTAATCTCACTTTGCCACTCCTTGTTTGCAACCCTTCCCTGGCACCCTGCAGGCATTCAGGACAGCATTCAACTCTGACCTTGGCCTACACAGCCCTCCTGGATGGTCTCAATTCCCTCTCCAACCTCATCCTTCCCTCTTCTCCACCTGGTGGGTCACTTTCCATTTCTCTCTGTCCTGGGTGCCTGAGTGCTTGGACCTGGTACTCAAAGGCCACCCAGCACCCAGATAAGTCCTGCTTACCCTCCACTTGCTGTTCTAGCAACGAAGTGACTCTGACTCCCAACCAGAGTAGAAGTCACTCCCTGCCTGCAGCCCCACAGCTCCCACCTCTCCCCTGCCAACCCAGTGTACCACTGAGTGGGCCCAGATGCAACACTCCTGACAAGTCACTGAGGGTATCACAGTAACAGCCTCTGCCCAGCAATTTCCTTTTCAGCCTGCAGGGTCCTCACGCTCACCGGTCTGGTCACAGGGTTCACCCTGTTTTGCCAGCTGCCAGCTCATCCAGCCTTCCTAAGTGTGAGTCCTGGGGTTACACTGAGCCTACGTGTGAGGCCTTGGTCACTGTGGGCATTATGGCGATGTCCAGGCCAGTGCTGAGATCTTTCCTGTTGCTGAGATTATGAGGGACCCTGAGTCCTTATTCTCTGTCCTGAGTCCCCTCACCTGTGGGTTCTTCCCATCCCAGGTCCATCACCTCCCTGCATCCCTGTCCTCCCTGCTTTTGGCTTCCTCTGCTGGGACACTCCTGGTGAGGCCACCTGGCCCAGCTTGTTCCTCCCCTCTCCCTGAGCTTGTCTCAGATCAGGCTTTCTGGATCTGAGTTTACTGCTTGTCCTGTGGCCCTTTTCTGAGATCCTCTCTTCCAGTCTCTGGGGCTGTCCTCACCCCAACATGCACCTGCTGCCCCAGGGTGCTGGCGAAAGCTCCTCAAGTGGTCATTTATTCACTAAAAGCTCCTATTTGCAGCCTCTGCCCCACGCCAGGCCTAGGCTGGAGCTGGGGCTGCAGTGTGAACAAGCCAGGTCCTGTCTTCAGAGCCTCACAGCATGGTGGGCAAACAATTCACAGAATCATGTTGCCTGTCACTGCAGGAGACAGAGCAAGGTCCTGTGGAGGATGGCGGGTAAATGGGGTACTGTCTGGCAGAGCAACTGGGAATATGTATTTGAGCCTTTGCAAACTCTCCAGCTATTTGACCTCAGCTGCTTACCTGCTCACACCACCTCCTGATAGCCTCTGTGGTGCTCACTGATCTCTGACCACAGCTTTAGGTACAAGTGTCCAAGAAATTCCTTCACCTTGAGCTGACCACCTGCTCTTTTCTCCAGCTCATAGGCTCCACATGGGCTGACCTCTTGGCTGCCCCTGGATTGGGGGCCCTTCTGCTTGGTGTACCAAGCCCCCGAGAGGGTGCCTGTCACTCAAGGACTGCTGGAGGAAAGAAGGGCTCTCTGATCCCTAGAAGGAGGCCACCTCTGGTCCTGCGCAGCTGAGAGGGGCTCCACACAGATCCTCCTCCTCTAAATGTCTGTTTTCCTCCTGTGTGAACCAAAGGGCTCACTTGTTGTTTCTGCTGCTTTTAAAATTGTGAGTAGATATGTTTTTTGCCAGGGCAGCTTGCTCCAGGATCTCACAGGAACAGAGGGCATGGTGCCTACAGCAAAGCCAGTCTGCCGTGGGACTGCCGGCCTCTGCCTGCTGCTGAGTGGGGCAGGCAGGATGTGCAGAGGGGCTGGCCTGATCCCATGGTCCTGAAGACAGGACCAGCTTTGGGAGGAAGCTGAGTTTGTCTGCATGAAGGAGCTGCATTTGCACCTGCCGACCCCCTGCAGGTGAGTGTCCCAAGGTGCAGGGTGAAGGCTGTAGGTAGAAACTAGGTAACTGCCTTAGCATGCCGTAAGCAGCCCTCCCAGTGCCTGTATCTCGCCTGGTACACCTCTTCCTACAAGTACGACGACCCCGGTTGCACCCAGCTCCTCAGCAGCCGCCCACTACTGTCATGCTCTGAAGCCTGGTCCACAAGGCCCTTCTGATCTGACCCTGTCTCCTTCTCCACCTGAGTCCCAGCCCCCAGGAAATGCTCTGTTCCCCGACAGGGTTGTGTCAATCCATATCCTGTGCCTTTATACACACTGTTAGGGCTTCGTCTATCCCTCACATCCCAACAGTCTTCTGCAACTCCCCACAGCCCTGCACTTCCCCACCCACCCCCGCCTCACCACTAGGGAGTCTTACCTAAGGCTCTGGGTAGGCACCTCTTCCTCCTATGAGACGTCTGTGGACTCCCCTAAGCAAAGTGGAGCATGCCTGCTCTGCGCTACGACTGTGGCAGCCCCCATCACCTGCCTGTTGTCTTCTCTGCCACTATGACATTTCAGAGGAAAGGATCCATGTCTTCTCTGTTGTATCCCCAGGGATTGGCAGATGGAATTGCTCAATAAACATTCAACAAAGTATCTGTCTTAGTCAAGATTCCTTTGCTTACAAGTTTAAGCAAAAAGAAGTTTCTCTGGGAAAGTTCTCATAACTGCAGGAAGAGAAGGGTGTAGGTGGGCCTCAGAGACAGCTGGAACCAAGGACTGACACCGCACCAAAATTCACTTGCACCTTCTGCCCTCGCTCCAGTTCCTCCCCATGGTGAAAGACTTGACTATAAATGGCTCCAGCACTTTCTGGCTCCAAATCCACAGGGGAAATAAGCTACTTCTTTATATTCTCACACTGAAAAATTTCAGGGAAGAATGCTGACTGACCCAACTTGAGCCAATTACTCAACCTTGGACCAATCACTGTGAAGAGGGTATCCAGGAATATGGCATTTCCCATTCAAAGATCATGGTCAGAAAAGAGTGAGGAGTGGATCCTGGGAGATGGAGGATGCTGTTCTGGGCAGACAAAATGGAGTTAAACATTACAAGAAAGAATGATTAAGTAAATGAATGAGCCAAGAGCTACACATGTCCTTACAGATAATGGCACAATTTCCACAGTGTTTGCAAAGAATTCTCTCTGGTTCTTACTGTAGCCCTATGAATCCACATCTCACATATGAGGAAAGACGGTCAAAGTTACAAGTGAAAAAAATGCAGCCAGGATTCCACCCCCTGATGGCATATTAGATGTGTGTACTTGGAGTTTTTCCTCCCACAGAAGTGTGGGCAGCTAGACCTCTCCTGAGCAGTCACTGGAGAAGAGGGCAAGTGTTTATCTGTGAGGGAGGGAAAAGGGATTCTGTCAAGGGTTAGCTCTAAGCCCATTTCTGCACCAACTCTCATGTTGGGAAACCTTTTCTTGCCTCAGTCAGCATGAGAACATAACTGCTTCTTTGGGGATTTGAGACCATGCCATCTTTGCTTTAGTGTTAAACTGTGATTATTTTAGCTTGTATCTGGAGCCCTAAGGGCCCAGGACATGGAGGTCATTATCCAGAACCAGACACAGATGAGAGGCCCTTGACTTGGGACTTAGAGGGCAAATGGGCAGCTCAGTTTTCACTTCCTACTAGCTCTCTGACACACACACCAGGGAATTCACTGCTTTTTCCTGTGCCTTTATTCTAACACATGGCACTTGCTGCAGTGCCTCATAGTCAGGGGGCTAGACTTGCTTCTTAAGGTCAAGGCCTGAATCCGTTTATCTTATCCTCTCAGAACTTGAAGTCTATGGTAGATGGTTTGCAAAGATGGCTTCAATAACCCCTCCCATTCCTATGTGCATGCCCCTTTGCAACATAACTCTGCTACTTTTTCCTTGAAGAGGTCAAGTCTCTTTCCCTACCCCTTGAATTTGGGCTTGCCTGTGACTTGCTTTGACCACCAGAATGCAGCAGCCTAGTCCTCAAGAGGCGTTGCAGCTTTTGCTCTTGTCCTCTTAGCATCTGCCAATCTACATGTGAACATGCCTGGGCTAGCCTGATGGAGCATGACAAGCCACGTGGAGTAGACAAATACCATCCCAGTTGAGGCTCACCAGACCAACTCACTACAGCCAGCACCAAGTGTCAGACATGAATATGACCTTCTTGGACCTTCCCCCTCAGTCAAGCCACCAGAAGACTGCAGCCCCACTAATGAGCCCAGGGGAGACTAAGGAAAGAATCTCTCAGCTGAGCCTAGCCTTAATTGCTGACTTACAGAATTATGAGCAAATAAAATAGTTGTTTTCAGCAGCTAAGTTTTGAAGTGGTGTGTTACACAGTGATAGAAAATGGGTACAGGGTAGTTCTTAGTTGTAGTATGTTGAATTGCCTCTTCCCAAAAAATATGCTCAAGTCCTAACCCCTGATACCTGTGAATGTGACCTTATTTAGAAATAGGGTCTTTGCAGATGTAATCAAGTTAAGATGAGGTCATACAGGATGAGGGTGGGCCCTAAATCCAATGACTGATGTCTTTATAAGATTTGGATACAGAGACACAGAGGAGACACAGGGAAGAAGGCCATGTAATGACGAGGGTAGAGATTGAAGTGACTCAACGTATAAGCCAAGGAATACCAAGGACTGCCAGGAGCCATCAGAAGCCAGGAAGAATTCCCCCTTAGCATCTTCAGAGGGAGCATGGCCCTGTGAACACCTTGATTTCAGACTGCTAGCCTCCAGAACTGTGAGAGAATACATTCCTGCGTTAAGCCACCCAGTTTGTGACCATTTGTTATGGCAGCTCGAGAAAATTAATACACGAGTTCAGAATTTTGCTCAGAAAGTGCCAGCTGGCTGAATGGAGAAGCTGAGAAGTGGAGGATAATTAACTTGCCCTTTTGGCACCTCGCCCCTCCATTGACTTCAGTCACCATGCTGCTGGGTCACCACCTCCCAGGGCTCAGACACCTGCATCTTCTGCCCAGCCCTCGGGGGTCTGGCTCCAGGTCTGCACACACACACGAACCCGGGCACAGTGCTCAGGGCATTCTTTATGTATGCGTATATACACACTTTTTTTTCTGCACATAAAAATAGTTCGTGAAAATCTAAGTAAGCTTAGAAAATATAGCAAAGTAGGCCAGGCGTGGTGGCTCATGCCTGTAATCCCAGCACTTTGGGAGGCTGAGGTGGGTAGATTACTTGAGGCCAAGAGTTCAAGACCAGCCTGGCCAGCATGTCAAAACCCCATCTCTACTAAAAGTACAAAAATTAGCTGGGCATGGTGGCGGCCACCTGTAATCACAGCTACTTGGGAGACTGAGGCAAGAATCACTTGAACCTGGGAGGTGGGGGTTGCAGTGAGTCGAGATCATGCCACTGCACTCCAGCCTGGCGAGAGAGCGAGACTCTGTCTCAAGATATATACATTTATAGCAAAGTAAAAAGAAGAAAAAAAATACCCAAAACTTTATCGTCCAGTGATAACCACTGTCAACATTTCATTTTTTTTTTTTTTTTTTTTTTTTTTTTTTTGTGAGACGGAGATTTACTCTTGTTGTCCAGGCTGGAGTGCAATGGCGCGATCTCAGCTCACCGCATTCTCCGCCTCCCAGGTTCAAGCGATTCTCCTGCCTCAGCCTCCCGAGTCGCTGGGATTACAGGCATGTGTCACCACGCCCGGCTAATTTTGTATTTTTAGTAGAGACGGGGTTTCGCCGTGTTGCCCAGGCTGATCTCGAACTCCTGACCTCAGGTAATCCGCCCGCCTTGGCCTCCCAAAGTGCTGGGATTACATGCGTGAGCCACTGCACCTGGCAACATTTCATTTTTAAATTGTTATAGTCTTTTCATTTATACAAATATTGGTATATGATTTTTCAAAGCAAAAAATGGGATCATACTGTTGATCCCACTGTGCTGTTTTGTATCCTAGGTTTTTTACTTAATAATATGCAAAGGACATTTTTCTGTGTCAATAACTATGAATCTGTTTATTCAGCGCATATTAATTGAATACCCACTATGTGTAAAGCACTTTCCATAATACCAGGATTCAATCATGAATAAAGATAGTGCATTCACAGTCCCTGTCCACATCCTCATGAAGTTTATAGGCTCCCAGGAGGGGACACAGGCATCTAGCAAATAATTACACACATACCTTTTTGACTTTTTTCAATTTTGAGATGATTTCAGACTTACAGAAGAGTTGCAGAAATGATGCAGAGAGCTTCCACATACCCTTCACAAGGCTTCCCCGGAGATTAATATCTCACATAACTATACAGTATGACAATTATGAAAACTAAGAAATTAATATTGGCATAATGCCATTCAGCACAGACTTTCTTTTCTACTTTTTTTTTCCTGTTCTGGGATCTGATCCTGTGTCTCACTTTGAATTTGATTGTCGTGTTTCCTTAATCTCCTCCAATCTGTGACAGTTCCTCAGTCTTTCCTTGTCTTTCATGACCTTAAGGCTTTTCTGAGTACTGGGCAGTTGTTTTGTAGAATGCCCCTCAGTTTGGGTTTGTCTGATGTTTTCTCATGATTAGATTGAGGTTATGCCTTATTGGGATGGATACCACAGAAGTGACATGCCTTTCTCAGTGCATCCTATCAAGGGGTACAGGATGTCAACGCAACTTATTACTGGTGACGTTAACCTTGGTCACTTGGTTAAAGTGAAATCTGCTAGGTTTCTTCACTCTCAAGTTACTATTTTCCCCTTTGTAATTAATAAAAATTTGTTTTGGGGAAAATATTTTGAGACTATGTAAATATCATATTTCTTAAACTTTCACCCACTGAGTTTAATATCCATGGGTGGATCTTGCCTTCAGGGGCATCTGGTATTCTAATGGTGACTTTGTATTTCCTTCTGTATTCACTGAGTGGACTTCTTCTGTAACAGAGAGCTGTCACAGACACTTCTTTAGTGACAGTAGTGAAGAGTTTTACAAGGATGCAAGGAGAACCTGAAACAGGATGACCCAACTCACTATGTAGTAGTTGGGGAAATCTTCCCTGAAGAGGTGACATTAATGCTAATTTTTGAAAAATCAAAAGGACTCATCAGGGCACTGGGTTGGGGGTGAAGAGGAGAATGTTCCAGGCTCAGGGAAGAACATGCACAAGATCTCTACCCATAGCTGACAGATACTGACATGAAACTGCATGAGAGACAGGGTGGGTAGAAACCTTGGCCACCTGGAGGGACTTCCTCATCTGAAGGACGCAGCTGCTTCTTGCTCCAGCCAGAGTCATGTCAAGTGGAAATGAGGGTCTAGTGTTGCCAGAGTTTTTGATGTTCAAGAGAAGCTGGACATCTGGATTTTTTTCCCATAAAACTTCTCAATCTTCTTAATGTTCGCAAACAATCCCCTTCTCCTTCATAGCCAAACAAAACCTGTGAACTAATGTTTTTTTTACCTGTGCATGGCTGAACCACAATTTATTTATTTGTCTCCTGGGGCTGGACCTTGAAGTTATTTTCGATGGTTCCCTGTTATAAACAATTCTGAATGAACATCCTTGGACAGACAACCTGAACACCTTCTCTAGCTATGAAAATTTGCACCAGACAGCCACTTGTGGCCTCACAACTGCCAGACCCTGTGGCCTCTTCAGGCCCATCCTCTTTCCCTCTTCCTTCCCTACAGGTCTTCACATCCTGTTGGTGCCCCAGTTCTCCTTCTACTTTTCTAACTGTTCTTTTCAATTTCCTTCAATGTCTTAGTCAACTCCACCTATGGCTGCAATGGAATCCATATCACTTGTAAGGAGTCTATGAGGTGATCTGGGCTGTGGTCCCACAGAAGCTCACCTGGGCTGAGAGCACAGCTGGTTGGTCATGGGGGCATTTCAAGCCAAAGCCCTGGCCTGGCTGACTCTGCTGCTCTGTTTCCTGGAAGGGAAGGGCCTGAGGCTGGCTCAGCAAGCACACTGGTTGCTAAAAGACCAGCAAATACGTTCTTGCTGTATTCTGCCTTGCTCTGATAAGGCAGGTATGGAGGAGATGAAGAGCTAGAAGTCTGGTGCCAGAATCCAGAGAGGAGTTCCCACCACACAGGACAGAAGAACCAGGGATCCTCTTAGAGCTGGCAGGCAGGGCACCCAGCTCTCTGGCTGTGCCCAGCTTTCTTCCTATGGTGCCCTCTTGTGCCATGGCCTTTGTGTTGTGACTGGACTGTCCTTATTGTGGGCATAAACAGCCAGCCTGAAATGGGGTAGGGGGACAGAGGGTGAGAGGGAGGGCAACTTCCCTTGCCCCCAGGGCTTTTATTCAGGGAGAAAGAAAAGCTTTCTTTCCTGTTTGTCTTGAAGCACCCCTCATCTGTGTCCAGATAGCAGGTGAGGGTGGTGCCCAGCCAGCTGCTCCTGGGGAGCACCTTGTGCTCTTTGGGTCTTGGATTGACTCAAATGGTGCCTACTGGAAGAGACTGCCACATTTTTGAAGTTATGAATAAAAAGAAGCTATAACAGAGTCTGGCTGTCAGTGGACATCCTTCTAAAATAATTGTAAAAATAATAAAAGCATAAAACAATAATAAAAGTTAGCATAAAACAATAATGTCCCCATTTACTGAACACTTAGTCTATGCCAGGCATCATGCTAAGGGGTCGTCATTTATTATCTCATTTAATCCTCATGTCAGCCCCCAGAGTTTAGATTAATAACTGTGGTCTCAGGATGAGCTTAAGAAACCTGCTTAGAAGTTGCATTAAGATCATACCTGTCAACAAGGACAAGCTTGACTGCCACAGGGTCCACAGATCCCTACCCAGACCACAGCAGATAAGACCCTGCTTTCCACAAAATATCCACTCATCTGTCTTATGTTTGCTCATGGCAGTCCTAGATCATATGTCACCACCTGAGACCTTGGCATGTTTCCTTAGTCTGGGGGGACCTGTATGTGGAGAGAGGGCCCCACGTCCCCATAAGCTTCTGCCTCTTGGTCTGGAACCTAAAGTGAGACACCCTTGACTGTAGTGGAGCAAGCCACCCAATGCCCCCTCATTCAGCAAGGGCTTCATTCTAAGTTTGGGTTTTTTATAACCTCCCTTGACTCTCCAGTTTATGTGGATTATGCATACTTAGACATTTGTGATAATATGATGGTCACTATTCCTAGTGTGAACTCTTTGGAGGCCCATGAGATCCTGTGTTTTATAGATTGACTTTTTCATTCACTTGTTGAGGTTCACTGAGCACTCTCTGTGCCTGGCATTGCTAGAGGGAATGGGGACAATGTGGCGAGTGGGGCATATGCAGCCCTTCCTTCCTGGATCACATTCTTGTGGGAAAAATACTCAGTGAAATACTAGCAAAATGAAGTTAGTAACATATATGAAGGAGTATACTGTATGACTCAATGAGATTTATCCCAGGAATGCAAGGTTGGCTTAACATCTGGATATCAATGTTATCCAGAATTAATAGAATTAATGACTAAACCACATGATCATTTCAATAGATGCCAAAAAAGCATTTGAAAACATTTAATACTCTTTCAGGATGGAAACATTCAACAAACCAGGAATAGAAAGGAATTTCCTCAGTCTGATAAAGGGCAACTATTTTCTTTTTGTTTTGAAAACATCACAGCTTAACATTATATTTAATGGTGAAAAATTGAATGCTTTCCCCCTAAGATCAGGAACAAGGTAAGGATATTTGTTCCCACAAATTCTATTCAACATTGTACTGAAGCTTAGGCAAGAAAATGAAATAAAAGGCATCAAGATTGGAAAGAAAGAACTTAAACTATCTTTATTTGTAGATGCCATAATCTTGCAGTATATAGAAAATCCTAAGGAATCCACTAAAAAACTGTTAGGACTGATAAGCAAGCTCAGCAAGGTGACAAAACATAAGATCAATATACAAAAATGAATTTTATTTTCATGTACTAGAAATAAAATATCAGAAAATGAAATCAAGAAAGCAACTACATTTATAGTAGTATTACTAAGAATAAGATATCTAAGAATAAATTTAATAAAAGAAGTATAAGACTTATACATTGTTCCTACTACATTCTAGTGGCAACAGTTGAGAAAATGGAGGGACGTCAGCTTGGCCAGGCCACATTGTCAGGGAGGTACAGGCACACCCAGCAAGAATTCTCTGTCACAGCCTTGGGAATTCATGCCAGTTTGCAGCTGCTCTGCCCGACTTCAGCGCCCTTTTGCCCCATTTAGGAAGGTGGTGTTGGCTGTGATCACAGCCCTGCAATTAATGTCTCTATTTCAAGTTATGTAGGTGATGGGAACTCAGTGGTACAAAGTCCAGAATGGCCTCTTATTTTGAGAAACTTTCCAGGGGCCCTGGCCTCTTCAGGCCTTATACACAGGCTGCACCTTGGAATGTTGGTTATCTACTGCTTCCTGCTGCTGGCAAAAATGCAAAGTTTAAAAAATAAGTCTTTTATTTTAGGACAGTTTTAGATTTGAAGAATCATTAAGATAGTATAAATAGTTCCTGTATACCCTGCACCCAGTTTCCTCTATTATTAACACTTTTGCATTAGTAAAGTACATGTATCACAATTAAAATTGTCATTAACTAAAGTTCATGTTTATTTTCTGTCCCAGGATCCCATCCGGGATACCACAGTACCTTTAGTTGCCATGTCTCCTTAGATCCCTCTTGCTTTTGATAGTTTAAAATGCAAGTTTTAGCTTCAACATGAAGATGTTGAGAAAGTCTGAGATCTGGAGTCAGACAAGCCTTGACTCATATCTGAGCTCTGCCCCTATTAGCTGAAGACCTAGAGTAATTTATTTAAGCCCTCTGAGCCTCAGTCTCCTCATCTGTAAAATGGAGGCAATAAAATCTAACTTGCAGGGCTGTATCTTGCAAGATAATACATGAAAAACACCCAGCACAGTGCCTAACACACTGGTGTGCTAAAAAATAACACTATTCATAATGTGTCCCCTGCCTCACCCGTCCTTCCCAGCGCTACAGTCCCTGGTAAGCCACTGCCCTCTTCTTCTCCTAGTCTTTGCTGTGCTGAGCAGGAGCCCTTGCCGCTGACACACACTCCATAGCTCCGGTGCTGCATAGACCCAACCTAACTCACTGGTATGGGAAGGCAGCACCTACTAACACTGGCTGTCTCACAACAGCTGGATTTTCCCCAAGTCTTTTCCAGTCACCGTAGGTCCCAGCATGTGAGCCAGTGCTCCTTGTCATGGTGACCTACTTGTCAGGAATGCACAAGGCTGTCGGCCCCTGGCTTTGAGTCAGTACCCAGAAGCTCTGAGTGTTCTCCTGGCCAAACCTGATCCCCACCCTGGTCTTGCCCTTCTGAAGGCCTGCTGGTGAAGGGATAAGCCTGCTGCCTGCTCCTTCAGGGCTGTATTGGTAGGGCCACCAGGACACATGAGTGAATTTTGTCCCATTCATCTGTTTGCCATTGACTGCAGATGCTGGGTGTTTGCTCAGAATAGAAATTCTCCTGTAGGAAGACTGAGTCCATGTTTAGGGGACCCATGTGTGCCTGCCTGAGGGGGTGTGTGTTGGGCGTGGGTGTGCATTCAAGCCTCCAAAAATGTGTATGTGTGTGCAAGTGTGTGTATAAGTGCGCATGCCCATATTGTTTACCTGGAGGCTTATGATGGGTGTTTGTGGCAGGTGTGCATGTGGACAAGCCCATGAGTGTATTTCATGCCTGTGTGTTTGGTGTGAAAGTGTATGTATGCATGTGGTGTGCATGAGCAGGCGTGGAAGTGCATACAATGGAGGAAGGAATCTTCATCTTGCCACATGTCTCCTGTGCCATATAACCCGGGCTCAGATGCAGAAGCCAGTCAGATGGATAGAAACTTCCTCACAGTCATGGCCCTGTGCCTATAGATGCAGAAGCAGGGCTCAGACCACGTCCTGGGTTAAAGCACCTCTTGTGTTCAAAGCTGGAGGTAGATGCACTGAGCACAGAAAACAATGTCATTTTATTAAAAGAATGGCCTGTGTTGTGAGTGACCCTCATATCAGGTGTTGAGAGCTGGCTTGTAAAGAAAGAAGGTTCTGAAAGGAGAGGAGACCAGGTAGAATGTAACTGTGGCCCCACTCAGGATGCTGGTGGGCCTGGGATGATTTGGGGGGCCTTTCCTTCACAGGTGTCCCTCCTACAATGCTCCCTTGCTTCCTGCCCCTGCCCTTCGCCCCTCAGCGGGGCTTCAACCAGTTGAAGTCCAAGTTTATAAATTCTCTTTCCTTTTATTAAAGCTTCTATCTGGAATGCGCATTTCTCAGTTACACACATGGCTCACTCCCTTACCTCCTTCAAATCTTTGCTCAAATGTCACCTTCTTAATAACGCCTCTTTAAAACTGCAACTCTCCCGCAGCCCCACCACCTTGCTTCAAACTCCTCATCCCTCTTGTCCTTCCCTTTTTTCCCCCAAAGCTCTTGTCACCTTGGCACACAGTGTGGACCAGCACTGCAAGAGGACACACATACAGAAATTGAGGGGATGCATTTGGAAGCTTCTATGCTATAGCATCTCTAGCTATGGGATCTCTAAATTTGATATTGCTCAGAAATCCAAATGCAGATTGAAAAAAAACAACTGATTTTTCACCACAGAGAGTTTAAGAATTATTGTTCTCCCATACTCTATCAAGTTTAGTTTCCTGTTTGTCTTCCCCCACCCCACTCCTGCTAGAGTGAAGTTCCATGGGGCAGGGATTTTGTCTGCTTTATTCCCCATTGACTCCCCCCAGTATCTAGAATGGGTGTGGTACATGCTGGGTCCTTAATGGCTATTAGTTGAGTGCGTACATGTGCAAGGGGAGGTCTGAGAGGTGAATATCTTTCAATGGACAAGTGGTGGGATGGCTGCAAAAGTTCAACCACAGGCCCCTGAGCTGACCACACTGTTCCCAGGACCACGCCTTGACGGTCCAGCTTGGGGGCTGCAGGAAAGAGGCACAGGACTTGAGCACAGGCCTTTGAAAATGCTGCCCCAAGTAGAGGTACACTGACAGGTGTGAGGCCAGAGTCTTTCTTGTGGCACAGGACAGGTCCTCCTTTCCCATGAACTTGGGAACAGAAGGGGCAGGGACTGGGAGACAAATGCTGCCATTCCCCAGAAGGCATCACCAACCTCTCCCCCTCCCTTTATTGTGGTGCTCTGGCTTCCAGGGAGGAAGGGGTGGGAGGTTGGCACCTAGGGATGGCATGGAGGCTCTGGGGAAGCCTTTCCCTGGACCTTGCCTGGCTCAGATCTTTGTGGCCTTGATCAACAACCCCTGTGAGTTGTTCTTGGGACCCAAACACTACAAGGCATGGCTGGGAACTGCTGCCCTGATAACAAGTGTTTCACCCCACCCTTCCCTTGCTGCTGCCCCTGCCCCTATCCTCTCCCAGAGGGAGCCCAGGGCTGTCAGGGCCAGGCAGGAGAAGCTCCAGGCAGGTGCGGCTCTCCTAGGGGTGGAGAGAGTTCTGATTCCGCCTGCTGTTCCCATGGCTGGGGCTGGCTACTGCCCATGTGGCAGTCAGCGCCTGGGCCTGACTCAGGGACCAGCCATCTGGCAGGGCCAGTTCTGGGCTCACACACCTACCTCCACCTCCACCTGCTCATTCACTCTGCTCCCCAAGCCCTCGGGCTCAGCTTCTCCTTCTCTGACCTGAAGACTCCACCCACAGAGTCCCTTTTATCCTCTCCCACCTCTCCCACTTTCAGTGAATGGCAATGGGGGATGGGCACCTGGCCAAGGAGGAAGGGCTTGGGAACTTTGGTCAGAATATCCTACAGGGCTACTGATCAAGCAGGGCCACCTGTGACACCAGCGCAAGGACAAGAGTAAACACCTGTATAATTAAAAAGCTCGGTTACGTCTTTTTACCTGTGGCTCCTTCTGACCCAAGAAGAGCTACAGACTAATGTCTGCTAGCAAGAGTTCCTTCATTCTGCACATCCCAGCTGTCCTCCCCATCATGGTCCTGTGGGAGCAGAAAGGAAGCTGGAGAGGGGAGGCTGCCAGGAGGAAGCGATGTTCAAGCTGGAGGAGAAAAGAGATGAGAAAGGCATTGCGAGGAAAAGGATTGGGATGTGCAAAGGCCTGCAGTTCAAAGAGGCCACAGTGCACTTGGAGCCATCCCTGCGTGGTTTGTATGGCTGGGCATGCACAGAAGGCTGATGAAATCCGGAGCCCCTGGGAAGGAGGCCTATTTTTCTTTTTTTTGAAATGAAAGGTCTCATGTATTTATTACGGAACCCAGCCAACCAGAAAGTTCCTAACAGATTCAGAGAGAAAAAGTATATTCCCAAAAAAACATGTCCAACTGTCCAGATAGTGGTGACATTTTCAGCTTGATATGGTAACATGATTGTGACCTTTAGACAGCATAAATATGTGTGCCATCTCATGTTCAATTCCTTACAGACCTAGCTTGGTTCTTTTCCAATGTCTCCTCTTGGAGTTGTACCTGATTTTATTACCAGTTTTCATCCGAATCCACTGGGGAATGGGACGATTTTGCTTTTGTTTCTTGGCCAGGAATTGCTTAATCTTGAAAGTCTTGTGAGAAGACATGGAGAGAGGCGGAGCCAAACACACACTACAATGGTGGAGAAAGGAAGAGAGAGGGGCCTGTTTTTCTTTTTAAGTTAAAAAAGGTTATTGTGTTTTCAAGGCAAACCTAGCCGTGGTTTTTGTAGTCACTCTATGGTTGAGATTTTGGTATTTTTGCCATAATGCAATATGCTGTGAAGATTTCCATAGTACACTGTGTTGAGCAAGAAAGGCTTCAGAAGAGAGACTGGGCAGGGCTCTTTTCAAGGCTCCTGAAGCTTCAAAAGAAGGCCAACTTGATGCAAGAAGAGGCAAACCTGTGCAGGGAAATAACCAAATTATTGCCCAACACACCTGGAATGTGCCCCCAGGTAGGAGCCTTTGGACTTGCAAGAGGCATTTATCTCAGGACAGATCATGACACCAGGTTGGCTCAGAATCAAAAGCTGATGGGCCCACAGAGTAGAGTAGAATGTGTCCCTGTTGCAATCAAGTGCAAGTGGCATGGCTCTCCAGGGCACCGAGAGCCAACTGTCAGATGTGCCCCACTCCCACTCCTGCTGGGGGCTGGAGGTTTGGCTGGTGGGCGAGAGCAGGGTGCACATGAGAGTCATTTACAGTTTGGTCCTCAGCAAACTGGTCAGCCCTTTCATCCAGGCTCTGTGGTGATAACCCCATCCTGCGCCTAGACCGCAGGCTCCCTTTGTGGGTACCTCCACCCTACAGAGGGGGCTGTTTTTAGTGGATATCCAGTACCAGCCACTTCATCTGCAGAAGAAAAACTGCAACTTCATTGACTTCCAGATCCAAGCCTCACCTGGGAGAGACAAGGATGAACCCAAGTCCTGGGTACTTCCCAGGGCTCCATTCCCATCAGGGAAACACAATGCCCAATGCCCAGACAGACAGATTTACTGTGAAGCTAATGAATCTTGTACCTCGGGGTGCTCACTTGAAGAAGCCCCTTCCAAAACTCTAGATCTAATTTTGTATTCACCACTTTGCATTCTTTTTCTTCAAGAGGGTCCTCCAAATTATACAGGCTTCAGGCCTCACAAAATTGGACCGACCCCTGCCAATTCTCCTTGACTCTGGCAAACCTTAGCAAACATGGGTGCCTTGGGCTCAGGGCTCATGGGCCTCCTTTCCAAACCTCAGGACCTCCACCCTGGCAGCCTAGGGAATGAAATGTGGGAGATTCCAGCTCAGAGCAGATAGTGTCCTGGCTGCAGCCCAGCAGAGGTACTCTGGGGCTGCTGGGCCCAGGATGGGTGAAAGGGGACTCTCTGCAATAGAAAGTTCAAAGTGTCAGCCTAGGAAAGAGGAGCCGACAAGTGTGAAGGCAGCAGATCCAATAACACTTCTAATTGTGTCCACATGGCCCACTGGTGGGGCATTTGCTGATGACCCGTGGTTGACCGCTGGCTTAAAGTAGATGCTGTGATACAAAACACCACTGAATGGTGCACTTCAAAAGGGTGAATTTTATGGTATGTGAATTCTATCTTGTTTGGAAAAAAAAAAAAGATGCTTAGGGTTCAATTGCTGTGGCACTTCACCCATGTGTTAGATCCAGGCATGGCACGTCCAGGAATGCACTGCTGGTTGCGGGGGTTTCTGAACCACCTCCAGAGGGGTCGGTCGCTCCCAGCAAGGCCTGATCAGGGACAGCTTCATCCTGGCCAGCCCCTTACTTGTGCTAGTTGATGGCAGAGTGGTACTGCAAACAACTTTCCTGTCTAGCTGGAGTTCTTCGGGTGCAGTAAAGCGGCTTTGGCTATCTCTGGGTGACTGGGCCCCAATTTGCTGCCCTTGTCTTGGCATATTTTCACCAAGCTTGCTGAGCCTGGTGCATACTTATGCCAGGGGAAGAGTTAACAATTAACCAGGAGGTGAGAGGAGGGAGAGAGGCTGGGGCAGCCACTCATAAGCTGCCCTCCAGCCCTTGCAGCCATGGGCTGCCCCCTGAGCCACATCCCCAGCCCTGTTGGTGGGGACACTGGGTGGAGGCAGGGCAGGCAGGTTAGGGCTGCCCCCTCAAAGAGGAACTTGGCCTCCAAAGGGCCCCGCTGAGCCACCTGGGCTCTGGCCCAGGCTCCACCCCTTCACAGGTGTTAGACACAGAAGGCAAACACCTCCCTCCACAAGGCCTCACCATCCCTGCCACAGCCTGCAGCTCCACTAGTTCTGAAACTTCATTAGACTGCATTTCACAGGGCACCGAGCAGCTCACTCATCCCCTTTCCCGAGAGGAAATGTCACTCAGATGCACTGGTCACCATGTGGCAGGAGAGCACCCATGCCCTGCAGGGACACTAGCCAGAAGATATTGGTGCCCCTCACACCTTTCTCTGGGACACATGGTCAGGCACGCATGTACACATGTGCACACAAATGCACATGCACGTACATGTGCTGGGTACACTGGGACCGATTTCTTATTCCTCCTGGTCTGTGCCAAGGAAACATTAAAGTGACTTTCCACAGACTGGATCTCACAGAAGGTGCAGATGCTTTGGAAGCCCCTGGCCAAAGGTACTGGGGTGAGATGGCACTGTTGTCAGGGCTTATTGTTCACAGGTCTGAGTTGCCAAGCTGTCCTTTGGAACTCCCTGCCACAGGCACCGACATTTTGTTTTGGACAGCAAGTCAGCAAATGTAGCCATGGGCTGCTGTGGCCCAGGGAGGAGCAGCTGTGGGAGGGTGAGAAGGAGCCCTATTGTTCAGGCCGCCTCCATGCACTAGGCCTGCATGTCAGGTGAGTAACCTATTTGTGAAGCTGACTCTAGTTCAGGGCTCAATGGGAGAAAGGCTGGCATAGATAGTGCCCCAGTGGCAGGAGGCAGGCTGGAGGGTTGGGTGGAGGTGTGGCCATGGGGTGGGTTTGATGCCTCTGCATGGAGAGCTCCTCATCCAGTGGGACCCATCACCATCTGCAAAGTTGCTAGAAAAGTTTCTGGATGTTTCCAATTCTTCCACCTGCTTGTCTTCATACTTGTGGGCTGGTAGGCCAGCTCGGGAAGACACCTTCTCTAGGATCTCAACTTAGTTACTCATCAACATGGCTCCCGAGTTCCCACATTGGCCCCGAAGACACTTCACTCACGGCCATGGTGGGAAACTGTTCCTGTCACATGTCACGTAGGCTGTCTGGTAGCCTGCTGCTGCCTCATGGCCAGCTAACTGCTGGCCACATGCTGACTGGGAACCTCAGGGTCCTAACACACTTATAGAAGCACAAGACAGGTATTTTGTTTCTGATACAAGAACAAGCAAGACTGAGAATGGCTTTCTTTAATTTTGAATTGGAGCAATATGCTTTCCTGAGCATCAGGAAAGAGTGGTGATGTCACAGCAAAGGAGGGAGGCGGTGGCTAAGAACATGCACATTCTTGAATGTCCTCTGCATGGTGCCTGGCCTTCTGGATGGTTTCGGACAAAACTTTATGTGCTAGGTGGGAGTGGGAAAAGGAGTGGGGGAAGGATAAAGCCATCTTTGGACACCCACTCCCACTGTGGATAACCACAGCGTGTGGCCGAACAAAGCTGATTAGAACACAGCCCTACCTCGGGAGGCTGCCATCTGCCAGGCCCTCCTTCCCCTCCCAGCCTTCAAGAAATGTTATCTATGAAAGGGGAAAAATGCCAGCCACATCCTCATTCCAACTCTATCCTTAATGCAGCTTCACAAAATTCCTAAATTCTATCTTGGGTCCTTGAAGAGATTGGACTATGACTTGGGTGGCCCCCCAAAATCCTCACCCTTTCCCTTCCCTCAGTGCAAAGTCTCACCTGTGCAAAGACATCACTTTTAATTATTTTTTTTTAATTAAAATACTGTTATACCCAGTGGAATGCGGCAGCAATCCTGGTACAGGGTGGCATAACAAAACAGCCATGTTTACATTTTAAATATTTACGATAACTTAAACATACAGACACACATCATGGTCTTTGGCAGAAAATGTTCACAGCACAAAAAATACTTTAAAAGAAATACCAAATATTAATCCAAAATATATTAAGTTGTTTTTTTTCTTTCACAATATTTTTTGCCTTTTTTTCCTCTTTTTTCTTTTTGCTTTGTAAACAATGCACATGAACCAAATGTATTTTTCAGCTTTAAACAGGGGTAGGGGAATTTTTTAAAAAAAATTGCAATTGTCCAGCAAATGCAAATGTTTAAAAAGGAAACTTGAGGAACCATGGAAATAAAACAACACATACCAAACCTAAAAACGATAAAGGAAGAAAACAAAGAATCAAGGAGAACTAAAAACGGTAAAGACAAAACTGCTAAAACCCACCAATAGCTCCTGGGGCTGAAGTGAGGGACTCTTTAAGACCAGAAGTCAAAGTCACTGCTGCTAGCAGGCTGCCATGTGGGTGTTTCACCCCAATTCCAAAGCATCTGGTGCTGCTTTAGGGCGCTGGGCATGGGTAGCTTGAGGAGCCAGCCTCCTGGGCACTGTTTTGTGATGGGGGCTCCATTCAGAGGACTATTTGACTCTTGTAGCTCATTAACTAGTTTTCAACTGCTTTGCTCCTCTCCCAAACCCTCCAGGTGGGAATGAAGACACTTATGCTAACAAGACATCTCCAGTTTCTCAGAAAGAACTGGTACCGGGTAGGGCCACCGAAGCCCACCTGGGGGCATGGCAGATGTCTGTTCACGGTGGCTCATTTCATCTGGCTCAGGGTTTATGACCAAACTGACAGGATGTTCCAGGGACAGGAGCTGTGGAGCCACTTCAAGAGGCTGGTGGTGGGGGTCCCGTGGGCATTTATAGGGCTCAAGATAGAGGAAAAGGCAGCCGAGATCCTGGGAATCGAGCAGCTTTAACATCCACGGGCCAGGAACTTGAGGAGGAGGCATAACTGGGAGGCCAGTCAGAAGTTTCAGAAACTGACAGTAGGAAGAGGGGAGCACAGCCCATGGAGACACATCGGAACCTGCAGGCCTCAGTCTTCTGTTCCACAAGAAAGGGAATTATATACAAACTGCGCACTGTCTCCCAGTCCACTTAAATGGCCCCTCACCCACAGCAAGTGAGAAGGTGAGGCTGTGTCTTCTCCAAGACTAACACCCTTAATAGTCCCCAAAAAATTCAAGTCTTAGTATCCCAAGAAGGCAGTGAGGAACTGAAGAGCAGATGACGTTGGCTGGAACCAAACTTAGCCAGAGAACAATATGGCTGACTTGATTAGTGAACCAGTCCACCTGGTGTCCACGGGCAGCCGTCCGTGGAAATTAGTTCCCCAAACCAACACAGCCACTCCCTCCCTGCCTGACTGACAACTGGCAGGGCAGAGGGAGCTCAGCTCCTTTCTGAGCTGTCAGTTGCTACCCCAGTAGCAGGCCTTGGGCAAGAAGTCAAGGCTGAATCCTCATTCTCCATAAGGCCCGGAGGAATGTGGGCTAAGAAGCAGAGTCTTCTGGGGGTGCCGGTGCTCTCACAGCTCTCCTCTCCCCTGGGGTCCTCCTCCTGAGCTCCTGGGACCAGATGGTCAATGGGAATGAGTGTCTGGCTGGGGAAAGGGACGGAGCAGCGGTTGACGGGGCTGCTGAAATGGCTGAGAGTGGCACAGGGCAGAGGAGGGGAGAGAATGGCTCAGAGTCCTGAAGCACCACCTCCTTCAGATCAGTATCTCCACCATGTCTGACAAGTCCTGGACTCTGGATGTAGCTACAGAGTCTGGAGACAGACAAGAACACAGGCACATGCCAATGAGTGTTACTAGATTGCTTTTAAAATCCTGGCACATTTGAAAGACAAAGATCGTTCTTCACCAACTTTTCCCACCTCTGCTGCCCAGGTTCCCAGAACTCGGCCAACCAAGCACAATGCTCTGCCCCCTTTCAGTGCTCAGCCCAGCCCACCAACCTCCGATGTGTAGGATGCATTTGTTTCTAACTTTGAACTGGTTGGAGGGCTTAGAGAGAGCAATGGAGAGCCCTGAGGGAGGCAGGCTGCAGCATTCTTTTCATGCCTGTGGTTTTCTGAGATCATGAGGCACAGGCAAATATGCAAAGGCCAATGTGAAAGGGGAGTGGAAAAAGAAATGGCATCTTCTCAGATTTCTCCTTCCCGGACTCTTTAAACAGGCTTCCAGAGTGCCATCGGCATGACTTGCGAGCTCCATTCTCTTGGATAATCAAATTGGAAATTAACTATGTAGGGAAGACCATGAAAGAGGAGCTAAAGTGCCTCCCATCTGGTTGCTTTCTTTCTGAATTCTGGATCTGCCTCTAATCAGGGTTTCCAATTTCCCTATTCATGCAACCAGCCATCCCTCATGTTCACATTGAGGTGGGCCAGGCACCCTGCTCACCTCTGGCTATGCACGGCTCCCCATGGAGTGCGGGCAATGACCCGGAGGGGGTCTGGGAAGAAAAGGCCTTGTGTTCCAGTTCACACCCCAGTGCCCCCTCGGCCCTACCTAGCACAGAAGTGGGGTCAGGAGGACTTACCCAGAGAGGCTGCTCTCTGGCTACTGCTGCACCCCAGAAGGCTGTCAGGCTCCGGTGGCAGGCAGGTGGAGGTGCTGTCTGGGGGGCCCTCAGTCTGGGTGCTCCCATCTCTGCTCCCGTGTTTGGCATGGGCAGCAGGGGGAGCTGTGACCACTGGCTCCTCTGTGGGTGCTCTGTCTGCTGGAAAGGTAGGTGGATGGTTATTGCCATGCCTGTAAGATGTGGCCCTGGTGAAGGACACTCTAAGTTAACTGTCCCTGCTGGGGATTCAAGGTGGAGTGGGCTGCTCTTGATTTGCAAGAACTTTAAGACTAAAAATGCTCCTATTTTCAAATGGGAATAACTACCAGATTGGATTGGCTTCCAAATGTTTTGGGTGGTGGGACCCTTCCTTATAGATTAAATCTTCTAGAGTTTCTGTGGCATCTGCTTAGAAGGAAGAGTGGAGGGAGCTTGCATACAAGGTGTATCTGCACAGGAAGCTCTATTTTTCTTAGTTCAGTGGCTGGGGCTGAAGCATGATAGAATTTATGGTGATGGGGACTAAGTACCCCTCTTCACACTGGCAGGAGAGCCTTGCGCTGTAGAGTCACTAGAGGCAGAGAATAAGCCAGCTCCCCTGGAAGAGGGTCAGGAAGCCCTGGCTCCTATAGCCTCAGTTCTGGGAGGAAAGGTCTGGCAATCTGTGTTCAGGCCCAGGAGAAATTACCTCTCAATCTATCCCAGCAGTAGCCTCCTCTTACCTGTAGTCAGCCGAGCAGGGGCGTCTGCTGTTTGTCGCTCACTAGAAGAGAGCCCTTGCCAGCCCTGGGTTCCTGCTGCCGCAGCCGCGAAAACAGATGGCACCGACTTGGCAGGCCGCAGGGAGCCCTGGATGGCCTTGCCAGGGTCTCTCCTGGAGCGCTGCTGAAGGACCTTGATCACTGCATCCTTCTCCAGGATCTGGGCATGGAGCACCTTTAACCTGAGGGGTGAGAGGCCATGCCCACATTGTCAGACCCACAGATCCAACAGCCTCCACCCTTCCTGCCTCATAGGAGTTAGAGGAAAAGCCCCCCCCAACTCCCCCAACCCTGCCAGGCTGGATCCTTCTGTGCTTGTAGCAGGGACCCAGAGAGGGCTTAGAAATGGCACCACAGCTCTGGAATTTGATGCTCTTAGAGCCCAGGCTCTGAAAACCACCAGTGCATAAGGCCCTGGGCCCTTCTCACACCAGCAAAGGCAGGCCATTAAGGATGGGTTCCAGATTCATCAGATGATAGTGGCGGCACAGCCCTCATCCTGGAGGGCGGCACTCCGGAGAGGGGAGGCAGGGCCCAAGCACTGGATGGCACCCAACACCTCCACAGTAAGAGTCTCCTGGGCAGACCAAGGACTCGGTATTTCTGGGCAAATGCATGTTTACAGTGCCTGGTGTGCCAATCATGCAGGTTCAGCTCAGAAGCAGGAGGGACTGCTGAGCTCTATGGGGAAAGGGGCCTGTTTATCAGGGATCAAGGGCAGGGCAGTGACTGGACATTGCCACCCACCCCCCCAACCTCAGGTGCCTGGCCTGCAATGCCGAACCTGCTTTCCATCTCCTGATGCCTGTGGCCACCAGTGAGCAGACCCTCATTGAAGCTGCTGCTGGGTGAGGGCTGGGGGGAATGTCGGATGAGAGTGGTGTCACGCTGAGCAGCAGCCGTGGCAGCCGCATCCATGGCAAACTGCCTCATGGCACGTTCCTCCAAATACTTCTGCTCCCACTTGGTCATGTCGGCCTCCAGCGCCAGGATCTGCTCCTCCTTCTCTCGCAGTTGTTCTGACAGTCGCAGGGCGCTGAGCTCTGGAGACCCACCACTGCCACTGCTACCACCTGGGGCACCTGCCTGTCTCTGCAGAGCAAGGAGTAGAGACCGTGGTCAAGGGTGCAGGTTGGGGTGTGGCAGCCACTGGTCTTCGCCTCCACACGACTGTCACTTGTACATGTACGTGTTCAGCCATACACAGCATACATTTCCCCATCCTTCCTCTACCGAAATGGGGATACAGCACAGGTCCCCATACCCCTGCCCTGAATCCTAGGGCAAGGGCATAGAGACCAGACAGATAATCCTCCAAACTGGCAAAGGGGGTGCTATCAATAATTATACTGGGAAAACTGGTGTACATTAGAACAGAACTGGGCAAACCAGGGGGTTCAGTCACACTACCTCTGTGGCAAGGGTAGGTTTGGGAGTGGAGAAATAACTCTATTTGGTTTGTAAACACCAAGAGTTGTTTACACAGAAGTCCGAAGTGAGGCTAAGCACAGTGGATCTGGACAACCATCTTTCCTCCCAATCTTGGGGAGGCATATAAAAGCTGGCTGGTGGCCAGACGCAGTGGCTCATGCCTGTAATCCCAGCACTTTGGGAGGCCAAGGTCGGCGGACCACGTGAGGTCAGGGGTTCAAGACCAGCCTGGCCAATATGGTGAAACCTCATCTCTACTAAAAATACAAAAATTAGCTGGGCGTGGTGGCGCACGCCTGTAGTCTCAGCTACTCGGGAGGCTGAGGCAAGAGAATGGCTTGAACCTGGGAGGTGGAAGTTGCAGTGAGCGTTCGCGCCACTGCACTCCAGCCTGGGCGACAGAATGAGATTCCATCTCAAAAAAAAAAAAGCTCGCAGGCCTTCTATATCCAGGTTCCTGACTTACTTTCTCTAGAGGTCAAGGACAACTAGCCCTGCTGCTGCCGAGGACAGGAGTCCCCCGAGGCTGGACATGGGCCAGGTGGCAGGGCCTCTACTAAGACAACGAGTGGAAGGGAGCACGCAGCAAAGGTGGAGCAGAGAGCAATCATCCTCGCCGCCTTCCAACGGGCCTGCAGCCTAGATCTAAGCAGGGGCTCCCGGGGCCTCAGCCCTGGCCTCCAAACCTACAGTCCCCGAGGAGGAAGGGAAGCCAACATCCTCAGATGCTGCCCTAGCCTGGAGACTTTCTCAGCTCACCTGCTGTGCACGCAGGGCCTTGAGTTCCTGCTCCAGGCGAGTCCGCAGACGCAGCTCCAGCTGCTCCCGCTTCTCACAGGCTGCCTGCAGCTGCCCGAGCGCCTGCTGCAGCCGCTCCACTTTCTCCACATAGGCCTGCTTCTTGCGCAGCTCCTCTTCGGCTCGAGCTGCCCGGCCCTGCGCATTGCCCAGAGCCTGCTCCAGCAGCTCGGCACGCCGCCGCTGGTCCTCGATGGCGCCGCGCAGCAGTGCCATCTCTCGCTCCAGCTTCTCTTGCTCCTGCTGCTGTTCGTAGCCTGTAGGGAGAAAGAGGCTTGATCAGTGACAGTGACCACGTTGGCTGGCCCCATTGCCTCCTGGGCTCAGTGCTGACCACTGGATGAGCACAGTTGCTTCTCATTCTCTCAAAAATAACAGGAATAAGGTACCACTATTAACCCTGTTTCATGGAAGAAGAAACCAAGGCTCATGTTAAGTCAGGAGTAAATGACAGAGCCCAATTCCAGGACCCTTGCAGTAACAACTGGGCTACCCTGCCTTTCTACTGGGACATACTGCCATGGGACAGCCCCAAACACCATCCACTTGTGCCAGGGGCACCATGTCTAAAACACATCCACAATATCCCTTGAACCTTGTGACGGCTCGAGACTGTTGAGGTAGGAACTGTGATGCCCATGTACAGATGAGAAAATAGAGACTCAGGTAGGCTGTGACATGGTCCTCCTTCCAGTGGGAGAATGAAAGAAGGGGGAACAGAACCACCATCGGCTGTCGGCACACCAGGCCCTTACACATCTTATTCCACGAATCCTCCAGCCCCTCCAGGGAGGATTTGGGATCCCCAACTTATAGGGGAGAAACATAGGAGGTGAATGGTGCTGCCAAATGGAAACCCCAGTTGGCCACACTACAAAGGCCCAGGCTGCCTCTGGCTACATGGTGAGGCGTTTGTACTTATAGGCCACCCAGAGCTCTGGGGCTCCTTCTGCAGACCCAGGCCGAGAGGTCCGTTGAGGGCTACATTTCCTTCCATGGTCTGAAAAGAACACTGAGATGTAAGCAACCAGGCTCAGAAGGAAATGCAAAGTCTGCAGTACAGTGAAAATGACTATGGCCCAAAGATTAGTGTGTAAGGGTCAAGCTATCCTGACTTTTAAATCATTTTGTTAATTGCCCAAAGAAACTGCTCAGAGGCCCTCTCCATAGGGCCAGGAGAAGCCCAAGCCAGACCACAGAGCCCTCCATCTGATGTTCTAGCCTTAAATCCACCTCCCAGGCACCTGCCCCTTGAGAGTCCCAGGCTGCCCCCTGAGGAGCAGGTCAGCTGCCTACCTTGCTGGAGAGCAGGTGGGGGGCAGGGCTATGGGCTCCCGCTAATGAACCTAAAGGCACTGTCTCTAGAACAGCATTCTGATTCAGTGGAATTTTCTGCCAGAGTGGAATTGTTCTATACGGCACCCTCCAATGCAGTGGCTACTAGACACACGTGCCACTGAGGACTGGAAATGTGGCTAGTAAGATGGGAGAACTGAATTTTAAATTTAATTTATTTTCATTAATTTCAATCTTTGGGCCACATGCAGCTAAGTACCTATCATATAGGACAGTGCAAGTTCTGGAACAGAAGGGTGAAGGCTTGAGACCTTGGCATGTGGAAGGGAGGATTCATTTACTCAGGTCCCTGGGGCAGGGCAGGGAGGACACAGAGGCAACTCAGGTTAGCTCTTGATTCATTTTGGATGTTTGAAGGCTGAGCCCAGGATGGTATCATTCTGTGGCATGGAGGAAAATACGAGGAAGTCCAATAATATTGAAACGGATGTGTTCATACTTCGCTGGCTTAACATCCATTGAGTGGGGTGTTAACATCCATTGAGGAGGGGCAGCCAGGTTGGGACTCAGGCAGGGAGGACCCTCCCCTAGTCCACCTGTGCGTTCAGTTTGCCCAGGGCCTGCATCTCATTTCAGCCTTAGCATGACTCTGTGGGGAAGGACTCTGTCTCATCTTATAGCTGGAGAATCTGGGGCGCAGGGAGAGAAGAAATATTCCCAAGGGGGTGGAGCTAACAGGCCAGCCTCAGGCCTCAAGGCCAGATCCCCAGGGGGCACTGCTGGCCTAGAAGGGCCAGAAGGGCAGTGCTGGGGGGCTGCGTGGCTTGCCTAGGAGGAAAAGCAGATGGCATTGGTGATAATGGCCACACTTTCCTAGTGTTGACTGACCCCAGATAAAAGGGAGGTCAATCAGACACCTCCCTTTGCAATAGCTACTAGGGAGCAAGGAAGAGCTGCTTGGGTTTCCTCAGCCCTGGGGGAGGAAGGGGCCGGAGGACCCAGCCCTCTGCTTCCAGAAGCTTCCTGCAGCCTTGTCCAACCTCTAAGGCCCTGGTGGGGGCTGGGAGGCTTTGAGCTCTGGCCATCCCCTACCAACAGGACCCTGATAAAACCTTGGGCCTGCGGGATCTCGGGAAGGAGAGCTCCTTAGTAAGAAATAAGTGGTCTGGGTGCGGGTGGGAAGAGGACGCCCGAAGGCCAGCGGAGGAGGGCAGGAAGGCAGGCGAGGCGCCGACGGGACCCGGGATGCGCCTTGGGCAGCGAGCGAGCCCCCACCTCCACGTTCCAGGCTCCCTTTGTGCTCACCCTCCCTCCTCCCAAAGCCGGGCGAAGGGCGCCAGGCAGCGCGCACGGGAGGGAGCGGCGGGGGGCGGGCCGGGAGCGGAACAGCTCGCGGCTCTGGAATGCCAGGCATCCAGGTCACCCGCGGCTGCAAGATTAATGGCTCCAGCGAGGAGCCAAGAACAGCTCGGCGCTCACTCGCTCCCCGGGGAGCGGAAACGCCTCCCGGCCGGCCCCCCTCTTCTCACCCACTAGCAAGCTCCCAGAAACCCGCCCCATGGCTTCCTTTCTTTGGCAGAGTCAGGCTCCAGAAGTCCGCCTTCCTCCACAGGCACCCTAATCTGCCGTGCCCTTGCAGCTTCTCCTCCCCAGACTCCTCAGGGAAACCCCAGGGCTGCCCCCTCCCCTTTCTCCCTCCTTCCCTTTGACTCCTTCCCAGAGACCTTAAGCCGCTGCCATCTCACCCCACCCAGCCAGAAGAGACCAGCCTACCTCCTGCCCCACCCTGTCAATTCCTTCAGTGCTGTGTTCCCCCATTCCCTGCCCTAGTCTTTGAACCCTCTTTGAAGGAAGATAGGGGTGCTGCCAGCCAGAGCTAAGTCCTCAAGCTGCTCCTCCATTTCTGCACCCCACACTACCCTTTGTGCCATTCACAGTAGGGTTCCTGTGAAGACTCAAAGCCATGTTTACCCAGCTACCAACCACTCCCATTCCACTTCTCTGCAAACACCTTGAACAGCACTAAAGCTCCTAGTAGGAGCTCAATAAATAACTGTTCTTAGTCTCTTCTGATTGCTAGAGCCTCCTGCTGCTGAGCTCAGGGCTCCCTTTGCCACCCACCCCATGTACCTCTTGAACTGCCCAATAGCTCCTTCACCTCTGGCTGGCTCTCCACCCCTGCCATCCCCACAGAGCCCCTCTCTCAGGCCACCGGGGCTCCTAATCACCGGTTTCTAGGGCCACCCCCGTTGTTCTTTTGCATCTGTGGGAACCTGCTCCTTTCTTAAGCTCACCACTTCCTTCCTGACCTCCCTGCCATGGTACCTTCCTGGGCCTGCTCCCATTCTCTCTTGAACATCTGCCAGTTGCTTAAAACACATCTGCTAATGAATGAATAAATGGACTAGTCAATGAACTTGCCCATTCTTCAAGGATGCTTAGACCGCCCCGTTTAGAATGCATCTGTTGGTTAAGGTCTAGGATCCCATTTTTGGCTGCCTCAGATGCCTCCACTTGGCTTGCTATGGCTCAGCTCCACCATGCCCCCCTACCTCTCACATTCCCATTGCACACTCCCGACCTTTCTGTTGCCAGGAACTCCCTGGGAAGCTCTCAGACCTGTCCTTCTCCTTCACCTCATCTGTCTTCAGGGCTACCTTGCCTCCCGCACTGCCCAATGCACTGCACTGGTGGTCAGCACCGAAGCTCAGCAAATCACTGCTCCCTGGCTTTCCCTCTTGTGTCAGCTGATCTTCTTAAAAGATACAGAACTAGATCCTATTCTTCTTTGGAAGCCACTTATCCCCACTATCCCCAGATCCAGTCTAGTGTTGGGCATACAGTGGGCAGTAAACCTGCTCCCAAAGTACTACTTTGCAAGGGGGAAGGCCAATCTTCCTAGTCCAGAGGGTGTGCAGCAGTCCCATTGCCTGCACACAGGCCAGGCTTCTTAGTGGGGCCCCTACTCACTCTGAGCAAGCAGCTTGGCCACCATGTCCTGACTGCCGGCCTGGGCCTCCTGTGTCTTGCTTGCCAGGCGGCGATTTGCAGATTCCAATCTCTCTGTTTCAAGGGAAGGAAAGATGTTTTAGTGTCAGGTGAAGCTGCCAGCTTGGGATTTTTCCTGACGTCCTATCAGGATGGGGCTGTATCCTCCATATTGGGGATGGGTTCATAAGGAAACCCCAGCTCAGCTCAGGGCCCCATGGGTGGGAGCCTCCTCTGTCAAGAGCCATCATCCCTGAGGGGATCCTAGGCCCAGTACATAGAGACAAGCATCTCTCTATCAGGGCAGCTCCAAAGGGGTCTCAGCCTGGCTCTCTGAGTTCATCTGCACTTTTGACAGAGAATAGAGATTCCCAATTTTTCTCTAGAACAAAAGAAGTAAGTCCTCTGCAGAGGTTCTCCAACCTCCACCTGTGTGACTGGCTCTCACCTCTAAGATCCCGGTTGAAGTCTTGCAGCCTCCTCATTTCACTGTCCATCTTGTTCCGCATGGTCTTCTCCAGGGCCTCACGCTTGGAGGAGGCTCTGGTCAGGCTCTCATGGGCCTCAGAGAGCCGCTGGATTTCGCTTTCCAGCTGCAAGAGTCAGACAGCAGAGCTGAATGAAGGCGAGAGCTCCCAGGGAGTGATTCGAGGCTGACCCACTACTCTCCATCAGAAAAGGTGACAGATGAGAGGCCACCAAACAGGAGCAAAACCTCCAGGTGACTATGGTGGGATGGTCAGAAGCTTGTAGCCTCCGGAAGTAGAATAGACTGCTGGGACCAGCAAGCAACGGTCCCATCGGCTGCCCCAAGGACCAGATGCTGAGTGAACCCAGGGCCAGGTACTTTGGAAGTAGCTGCCTGCGGGGTGACTAAACACAGCTTCCCTGTGCCCAGTGTCCAGAAGGAAACATTCTACTCTTGGCTGGCTTCCACCAAGAAACTGAGTACAGTTGGCCAGAAGTGGGCACCGAAAGACTCCAGCCATGATGGGGTGGTTTGACCTAACTTGGACACCACAGGACAGTCAAGGGAGGCCTGAGGCCATCTGCTAAAACTGAGCCTCAGCGGAAAACTGGTAACCCTTCACTAAAGAAGCGGGCACCAGGCAGAGCTGCCTCTGCCTGGTGTCCCAGGCATCACCATCCACCCAGAGGGCCAGCTGGGCCCCGGCTGCTCCTCCCACTTGGCTGCTGGCAGGTTCCGCACGTGCTCTTAGCTGGCCTGTGATTCCAACAAGTCGCCCATTTTTTTTCCAAGAGGAGAAGTTTTCTTTTTGGCCAGGGCTGGCCTGGAACAGACTTGCTGTTGTGTGGGGGACACAAAGGGCTCTCTGTGGGAGGTGTCCATGGGAGGGGGTGTGTGCAGGGCAAGGGTGCGAGTGTGCAAGGAGCTGGTGAATGGGCTCTTTCTAATCACCACTGGCCAGCAACTGTTCATGCTCCAGGCCTGCTCTGCCGGCCTCTCGGCTGTTCCCCAGCTGTCTGGAGTCAGCTCAGGAGGGTGCATGAGGAGTGAGGGAGGTGGAAGACAGAGGGATAGGGAGAAATCCAGCCAAACAGTTTTCAGGCTCCTCTGCCTCTCCTTGGACTACCCACTCCCCAGGTAGCCCCTCGGGGTCTCTTTCTGGTCTGCCCTTCTGAAGCCCCAGCAGGGCCTACCTTCTCAATGCGGCCAGCCTTCTCCGCAGAGCTCTCCAGCTCCCTCTGCAGCCGCTCATTGTCTCTCTGCAGCCTGGCATTCTCCCTCAGCACGGCCTCCATCTGGGCCAGGTGGGCACTGCCCGAGGTGGCTGAGGAGGCCTGGGCACTCACTGGCCCCTCCACAGCAGGTGGACTGAGGGAGCTCAGGGGGCCATGGCCGAGAGCAGCTGGATGTGGGGGAGGGGGGTGCTCCTGAGATTGCTGCAGGTACTGGTACTGCTGCTGCTGTTGGAGGAACACAGGAGGCACCTGGGCCTGCAGGATCCTGGGGAACAGAAGAGACGGTGCTCAGAGACAGCACAGACCCTCATGGCTCCCACCAGAGCAGCCCGGGGTCACCCCACTCCTAGGCATACTGGGAAGATGGTTAATTATTATCAATAATTAATATATTATTAAAATTACTGCAGATAATTATTCAACCCTCTAGTGTTAGGCAGGGACCAGTAGGGAAGGCCTTTTCCAAATGTTTCTGCCTGAGGCTCTCAAGAGTCAGACAGCAGGGCTAGAGGGGATTAATGTCAGGATGCTTGTTTCATACCCGCCTCACAGTGGCTGGGGCCTTGGGGATCAGCCTGAGCAATCCTGGGCCTCCTAAGCAACTAATGCTTAAATACATCATCTTAAAAAATGCACCCTGACACTTCTAATCAATGGAAGGTTATTTTTGGGGCTGGAGGCCATGTCAATCATGACTGAGCATATAACCTTCCAGGCCCCAGGACAACTTTGGTGGCTGGGCCCCAGCAGCAACCTTGTGTCTATTACACGAGTCGCCAGTTTCAAGACTGCCAAAGCAGCACTCATTTTCTCCTTCCTATTTCAAGTCCTGCCACCCCCCACCCCCCACTCACCCAGAGTCATTTTTAGAAGACTCCAGTTAAGGTTAGAGCAATGAGACAAATGTCAGGGTAAGAGTCTGAGCTCTAGAGTCTGACAAATAGGGGTTCAAATCCCTGCTCCAGCTGTTTAACCTTGGGCGAGTGCCTCAGCCCCACAGACTGGGCATTGCTCTGTTGCATCATGAGGGTCTCCAGCCTCGCTGGGATTTGTTGAGGATGACGCTATGTAAGGCCTGGCAGAGTGCTGGGCCAGTGCTGGGCGGGTGGCAGGTGCTCCTATAATGGTGGCCCATCCTCCATCTCTTCTAGTAGGAGCCTCAGTTTACCCTCAGTTTAGAGAACAAATGTGGCCCAAACTCTTGGTTTCCTTGGGAGTAAGGGCTGCCTCTGGACTACTGTGGTCACTGAGTTCAGGGGACAATATTCTATTGGCCTCTGGCACTGGTGTAACATCACCCCCAGGGCTCCATGTTGAGGGAAGGAGCAAAGGGCAAGAGGCACGGGGAGTCCAAGGGCCTTCCTGGGACCTTGTGATTCCCAGTGTCACAACTGCCTCAGTTTCACAAAGAATCTTCCAAGTCCCAGAAGCCCCGCAAAAACCGAATTCCCCTTCTGGGTGCATCATCTCAGCACTAATGCACACCCAGCCTGCCCCTGACTCTTGCTGCCATGCAGCCTATGGCCCCCCTGCTCTTCTCAGGACCCTAGGCTAGGAGTCTAGCCCGTTTCCTAACAAATAATCTTCACTGGATCATCTGAAAGGAGATATTGGGCAGATGTATTTCTCCTACTACCTAAGGTGGGGCTTCCAGTAAGAGCTGGGAAGAGGGTCCCCACTGGAGTGCTCAAACTCTCCATTCCACTGCTAAAATGGCCATTCTCAAGGTTGCTTCAAGAACTTGCTCCCCCCTGCACTGGGCCAGGCAGACACAACTGGCATTCTTTGGGGATGACTTAGCTCTGAGAAAGAATAGCAACTCCTTTCCCTTCACACTTGCTTTCCTTTCTCCTCGTCCTCTCCCTCCCCTGCTTTTTGTTCTCCTGCAAACAGTCTACTTCCTTGCCGTGATTACTATCTTTTCCTGACAGGGTTCAATAAGGCTGGTCCAAAAGAAGAAACCACCACTCAGCTTCCGAAACTCTTCCTGACCGAGCCCTGAGAGGGGCGATAAAGTGCGAGTCTGGAGGGGTGGAGGCTGGAGAAAAACTATGAGGCTCCAACCTCTGGTTCCGCCATACCAACCCCATCATGTCACTCATTTCTCGAGAGCAAGGAAAGCCGGACGGTGGGAAAGTGGGTGTTTACTAAAGGAACACAGCAGGCATGAAGAGAACCAGACTTTGACCTTGGGCCACCAGAGGAAGAGTCTGAAATCCTTGGGGTCCCTTGGTGGGGTTTCTTGGACTCCCATAGGGGGAGATGCAGCAGTGATGGCTGTGTCTGCTTCTCTGGAAAAGATGCTGGGCAAGATGAGAAGCGTGAGGCAGGGCCTTGTTTCTAGGAACACTTATTTCTCCAAACTCTCTAGACTTCTTGCCTCCCCGGGTCTTCCTGCTTCCATTCTGGCCCCTTACAAACCATGCTCTGCATGTAGCCAGAGAGAGCATTTAGAAAAGGTAAACCAAATCACATCCCCTGAGGGCCTCCCAGCACACTCAGAATCAAACTCTAAGTCCCTACCATGGCCCAGCAGCCTCTCCTGAGCCTCACCAGAAAAGGGCCCACTTGGACCCAGAATCCTTTCCCACTGCAGGCTGCAGACGCAGGGAGCATATGGCAGGAAATGAAGAGGAGAGACAAGTAAGCTCCTGCCCTGGTGTAAGATGCTGAGAGGTCTCTAATCAGACCACTGGGCCTTTCCAGCCTCTAGTTAGGAATGCCTCCCAATAATCACAGAAAGCAAGCTGCTCATATTTTCTTAAAAAATCTCCAGAGAAGGAAGTCCCACCTTCTTCCTGCTTAACTTGGAAACAGTTTGGCAATCATTCCCAACCTTGCCTTTAGGAAGTTCTTTCTGAAATCTAACCTTTAACCCCCTGCTGCAATTTGTGTACTCTGGGGACTCTAGTTACTTGAATGCTACAGCTAAGCAGACAATGGTGCCTATCTCTGAATTAAGGCAAGGGACACCACTAACTTCTTAGGGGACCTCAGCTAAGTCCCTCTTCTCTGCCAGGCATTAGCTCTCCCTTCTCAGGTTGGAGGTGGGGTGGATCTTGCTAGCTCTGACACAAGCTGTGATCTTGAGGCTCTCCTCCCTGAGAGACCTGTGCTGGAAGAAAGCCAGGAGTTGGAAAGCCCAAGGTGGGGAGAGTTACCTGACTTCAGCATGCTGGAAGTGCGGGCTGCCGCGGGCACGGTACCGTGGGTCAGTGACAGCAGTGGTGGTCTCATGAGCTAGTACAACATGAGGGTACTGAGGTGGGGGTCCTCGGGACTCTGGGCCCTCAGCAGGGGGGCCCCTCAGTGGGGGGCCCTGCTGGTTGCGGGCCAGCTGTGGGAAGCTGTGGGAGGAGCTCATGTGGCTGGGGGCCCGGGCGCCGTTCCTCTCCAGGGACAACTGAAGGAGCCGTTCACTCAACGAGCGCACGTGCCCATGCCTCAGCTCCCGCAGGGCCTCGTCCTGCCTCCGACTGCCTCCCGGGGCCCCACGGGGATCTCGGTCCCCCGCATGTGGCCGGGTCCCTGCCTGCTGGGCCGCATAGTACTGCGAGTGGGCTTTGGCCTCCTCATAGGTGGGCAGCTCCTCTCCCTTGCTGGGCTGTGGGCATAGCCGGTAGAGGGTGTTCTCTGCCAGGTGGTTCTCACCGCCCTGGTGCTCCTGGCCCTGGGGCTCCTGCCTGGTGGCCTGCTGCAGCACCTGACTGTCCTCTGGGGCCAGGATCTCCAGGGAGGCCTGGGGGCTCCCTGTACCCCCAGTTCCAGCCCCACCCCTCAGGGCCTGCTGCTGGATGGCTAGCAGCGTGCGCGTCTCAGTCAGGTTGCCGTAGCGCAGCTGCTCCTGGATGAGGCGGTGCAGGACTGTCCCCGAGGAGTCTTCCAGTGTCCTCATGCTTCTTTGGCTTGCACACAGCTGCCTGGACAATGGCCGGTGGCACCTGGCCCCAGAGCACCTGGAGTGGGGTGGGGAGAGAGAGAGAGAAAAGCAATCAGTGGGAACCCATGGGAAAGGAGAAGGCTTTCCAGGATTTCCATTATTACTCTGGTGGAAAGCATAAAAGTGAAGAGCAGGGGTGGGGCGGTTCACACAAGCCTGGGTTCAAGTACCAGTGCTGCCATCTACTGATTAAGACAAGTTACCTAATCTCTGAGCCTCAGTTTCTCCACCAGAAAAATGCAAAGAATTCTGCTTGACTCATGGAGATGAGGAAAAAAAAAGAGGCAGTGGCCTGCGAGCTCCTGGCACAGTGAAAATCCTGGTAAACGATTACTAATGATAACATTCATGGAGACTTACTATTCCTGGAGAGAGACAACAGGAAACCAGAAGATAACCCACCAGGAACCACCACCCGTACAGCCAGCTACACATCAAACAGCCTGATGGGCAATTCTAAGGCAGGCCTAGTTCAGATCTAACCACTTAGCTATTCAGTCTAGGGGTGGATGGGGCCCCAATTTATTGGCAGGTGATAAAGAATGCATGCAGTCCAGTAGAAGCCCTAGGCGAAAGGCCTCTAGGACCCTCTAGACTGAGGCATGCCAGAGTCCAGCCTTGGTACAGTCAACCTACCACCCTCTAGACTGAGGCATCCCAGAGCCTTGGCACAGTCAACCTACCACCCTCTAGCCCGCTGAACCCCTGGCCACTTTTCCCACTCTCCCTGAACCAGAGAACTCCTGGAGGATGGGCTTGGGCTCTGCTTCATCAAGCGCTGCTGACAGAATGAATCTGGGGCTCCCTGTCATGGGATGACCTTGGCAGTCATTCTGCAAGGTGAACAGGAAGAAGGAGTAATTGCACCTGAATTGGTGAATAAAGGATGAATAAAAATGCTTCAAGAGGACAATGGTTTTGTAAGATGAGGCAAAAAGGTGCCACCCATTAAGGTTAGTGGGTCAGTCTTTTGTGCTGACAGTAACTGCAAGAGAGCTCCAGGAAAAAGGAAGGATGGCATGATGTCTTTGATTTTATGATTATCCTCCCCAACACACACACACACACACACACACACAAACACACACACACGCTACTTGGAAAAGCCCCCACTGGTCCTCTAGGCACATAAGGGATGGGCACTCAGCATCTTTCTTGACATCAGTGTCAAGGAAGCCCATCTTGACTTGGGCCAACTGGAGAAGTAAGGGGAGGCTGTTGGTTGAGAGACCTGGGGCAGGGGAGAGGGGACTGTGAGCCTAAAGTGCTGGGAGATTATATCGGAGAAAGGAGTTCCCTTCTAAGCCTGGGCTCCCAGTGGTTCATGGACTGGAAATCTGCCTGCCTCTCTCACCCAGCTTCCTTTCCACAGCCTCTTCCAACACAAATCTCCAAACTGGGATCCAGGGAAAACTAAACAGAATCCACACTGCCACAGGTCCTGTGTGTATGGGCAGGGGTTGGGGGGGTGGGTGGGAGGAATGTGGCCCCTCCTCTGCCACTAAACTAGCCCTAGTGTCCTGCTTCAGTTTGGGCTATGGCATGTTGGCAGAGCAGCCATTCCCGATCTTTTCCCTCTCCCCACCCCAGTACTCCAGCTGCCCAGAGCTGGGGAGTGGGGGATGAGTCTGGAGGGCACCTCTGTACCCATCCTTCCTGGCACCCAGTCATGCGCCCCCCACACACAACGAGGGGTAGATGTGCAAGACTCCAGAGCTACCCGAGGCAAAGCAAGCAAATGGGATTCAATTCGTATGGGATTCAGTTCGCCCTGGAGTTTTATCTGCGGGCATTTCCTATGATAATCACTCTCTGGGCCGACTCCCACAGAGAAGGCAGGGGAGCGGCAGGAAGGAATGCGGAGCCTTCCTGACAGATTCCAGGCGCTCCATAGTGTGCCCGGACTGGGAGCAAGGAACATCTCCAAGGCCTCTCATCGCGAATTTGTCCCGGCCAAGCCCCTCAGATTCACGTCCTTTCAGACATCAAACGCCTGGGCCTTTACAAAAACCTGCTTCCGCGCCCCCGGCCGCGAACCTCTGCTGCACTCGCCCGCTGCGCTCTCTGAAGGCCGCCTTTCTAAGCCAGCGCGCGTCTCCAGCCTTGGCCTGGGCTCCTGCTCGCCTAAGGAACCAAAGACAGTCTCCAAGCTAGGAGGTTCTGGCACCCCAGCCAGGGCTCCCGCCCCACCACGAGCCCGGGCGGACCTGGAGCACCGGTGGCCGCTGGTACGCCTGGGGCGAGCCGGTGAGGGTAGCCCGAGGCCCGGAGAGGTCTTTAAGCATCGCGGGTCCGCCTCCCTCCCTCTCGAGCCCTCTTTGTTTTCCAAATACTCTAACGCTGACGTCACCGGGCTGGACAGCAGGCTGCATTCTTTCTAAGTGAGGGCCAATTCGTGGCTCCAGAGAGGATTTTCCAAGGAAGACAAAGAGGAATTCTTGGACTAGTTGGGGGCAAAGGCACCTGTAACCCCCACCTAACCAAATCAGCCCGCAGGACCCTGCAACTTGAGCTCCAAGCGGCGCCTCCATCCCTGTCCCCCGCCACCCCCACCCCCGCCGACCTGCAACCCGAAACACTGTGGCTGTTGTCTCCGGAGTCGGCCCTCTCCCCTCTCCCCCAGCCCCAAGAGACCCGCGCGTTTCTAGAGCCCCGCAAAGCCCAGCGCGCTGCGCTCCCTGGGCAGAGCGGCCCTTGCCAGGCACTGCGGCTGCCTCGAAAGGGCGCACTGCGCCCCGAGGACGCTCGATCCTCGAGGCTCCGACTCCCGGAAAAGGCCGGGTTGCGCCGAGACTCCAGCTTTGGCTGGGGCACGTTTCTGTGGCCTCGCGCGCTCTCCCGAGCGCCGAGCGGCCTTCCTTACCGCTGCGGCCCGAGGGTGCCCAGCGCAGTCAGACACCACAACCTCCGGCTCGGCCCAGCTCAGCTCGGCGGCGAAGATGTGTTCTCGGCCGTGGCGCCGACGCTCTGGCTGTTCGCGCCCCAGCGCGCAGCCCCAGGGTCGGCCCGCGCCGGAGGCGGCTGCTATGCCAGGAATGTGAGAGTTTCAGGTTCCCCCTCGGGATCAAAGCGAACCACAAATAACCTCTCAGCGCACCGCCCTCCTCCGCCCTCCGCCTTCTCCCGCTCCCTCCTCCCGGCCCCCGCCTTCCTCCGGGGAGGCGGCGCTGCTGGCCGAGCGCCGGCCCGGCCCCCGAGCTCCGTTCCTCCGCGCCCAGCGCCCTCCAGGCCGCGGTGTGTCCGCCCCTGCCCCATGCTTTGCCTTCGGAGCTGCTGGAGACAATTTAATCCAACTCTGCCCATTATCGCCTCCACTCCCAGTCGCCGACCCGCTCTCACCCTTCATCCCTAAACCCATCGACGGGACGACAGCAAGGGCTGTACCACGCGTGTCCTGGGGTTGCTGCGGGAGGGGACTCCGGCTGTGTGTGTGTGTGTGTGTGTGTGTGCGTGTGTGTGTACCGGGGGAGGTGGGAAAGGGAGGAGGGACTGCAAAGACATCCATATCCTCTGGGCTGGGACAGTGCCCCGGGCTAAGTGAATGCTTCCAGCCACAGAGCCTCTTTCCCCTAACCCCCGCTGTTTTCACCCCCAGCGGCAACCTTTGAATGCACTTTTGTTTACAAACACCTTCGCCAGCTATTTTACGACCGTCTCGACAGGAAGTGTGAATCTGGGTTGGAAAATCCGGTCAATTTGACCCACCTACCCAACTGAATCACCCGCCGCCAGGCGCTCTGTCCAGTTCTTCCCCAAGGTGATAATAGGCGCCCCTTTACGCAGAGTGCAAGGTGTGCCACCGCTGGCTTTTCGCCCAGTCATCCGATTCAGCCCTGCCAAGCACCCTCCAACGGAGTTCTGTTATCATCCCTGTGTTGTAAATGAGGACACCAGGGCTCAGAGAGCTTAAGCAGCGTGCCCAGAGTCACACACAGTGAGAACCAGGTAATCAACCACTGGGCTGCTTGGTTTCTCATTCTCAAAACCCCTCCCTGGCTATCAGAATCCAGGCTCCCTAGATGGACAGGGCAGACACTGGGAGCCCTCCTCTCTCCACTTACCCTGTCCTTGCTTTAGTCTCTTCTTTACCTCCCCCTACACCCCTGCCAGCCAGGGGCTTTCCCCTGTACCCACTTCTGTGGCTCCTGCATGGAATCCTCTCCTCTGCCCCCAGGACACTTCCACTGCTAGATGGAAACCCCTTCTTCAGAAAGCTCGCTCTGACACATGCTGTCCCCGTTCCCCATCACACAAGCCCTCTCTACAAGTCAGTTGGGGTGAGGTGGGGGCAGTCAGGCCCCTGTCCACCCAGAGAGTCAGGGCTGATTTCTACCCCTGGCTGGGTCCTCCCATCAGCATGGAGTTTGCAAGTCCCAAATTCACTGGAGGGAAACAAGGACAAGGAAATTCTGCAAGCTTAATTGCCAGGGACATTGTTAATTTTTAATAAAACTCACAAAAAGTGTGTGTGTGTGTGCGCACGTGTGTGTTTTACTTGGAAGTCAAATACTGTGTTTCAAACAGTGATTGGATCTGAGATGATTGAGCAAATGGATCATTTGTGCCAAGCTACGGGATATTTGTCTTTCCAAGGATCCCCTTACGAAGAGAAGCTGTGATCAGTATACCACTGTAGGTAGGAATTTTAGAAGTGAAAGGAAAGAGGTCTCTGAGTGGCCTTACCTTATGGACAGCATAATTGGTGGAGGCAGGGGAGTGGTTGTGGACATGTGCACTCGGGTTGTAAAACCAGGGGAAAGACCACATGGTACAGTCCTGTCTTTCAGGCATTTGGGAGGATACCTGACAAAATGTTTGACAAATATTCTTGAGATGGTTGCAGAAAGGCGTCAGTTCAAGGCAGCTAGGGTGAAGGAGGTACATCTTGGAGTGGACAAGCCTGCTGCAGAGCCACACAGGCCCCCATGATTGCTAATTTCTGTCCCCAAAGGGACAGAAGCGGGAGAGGGATCCCAAAACCTAAATGAGAAATGTGCATGTACTTTTATTTTTCCTTTCCCTTTCTCTCTGCAGAAAGAACAGAAGGCAAGATCTGTCAGGCATGGCCTGCGGTGGAGCCTACCTAAGCTGGCGGCCACCCCAGCTCTGCAGGATAGTTGGTGGAGAAGGTGACCACTGTTCAGATGTGCCAGAGGCAGATGTGCACAGGGGACACTGGGCCGGCCAGCCTGCTTGCATATGAATCTTCACCTACAGCAGAGGGGAGAGAGGCTCTCTTAGTGAGCCAATGCTTTCTTCTTCCACCTTTGTCTCAATCTACTTTGTCCCATTCTCCTTTACCTCCTCTCTTCCTCCTACAGGTTATGATTCTTCCCAGATGACAATGTGGCTGGCTGGGTCAGGAATCCTATCCAGGAAAGATGCGGAGGTGACCTAATTCTCAGAGTAAGCCAGGCTGGAGGCCTTTGCTCTAGGAAGTGTAGCTCCTTGGGGTGTGGCTGCATCATAGGTGTGTACAGGGCTTAGCAAGGGATCCAGGCACCCACACCATCGCCTCTCCTTAGCCCCGGTCTGGGTCTGTGCCTGTTTTATGGCCTCAGTCTGGCCCTGCAGCTGCATCCCACTGCACCCAACCAGAACATGAAAGTGAGTTCTTGGTGGGACCCTAGCAGCCTCCTCCCATGGAGCCGGGAAGGAAATGTTCCCCTTACTTCCCAAATGGTTGCTTAGTGGAGGAGAGCTCCAGGGTGCAGGTGGCAAGATCAAAGGATGACTGTTAGTTGTGAAATTCACTTTTCCAGCTTCCCCTGAACACTCCCTCTGACAGGTTATGGAAACAGGAAACCTACCGGAATCTGGAGCATGAAGCAAATTCATAGGAAGAATCTGAACATTAGGATGGAAGTTCCAGTGCTCCAGTTCCAAGAACAGAAGAAGACCCAAGTGGGGGACTTTCTTCTCTTTGTCCTTCTGCAAACCCCTGTCCCCCCTTCACCCCTTTCTCCTCCCCTGCCTTCATCACTGCCTCTAGGTTTTCTCCCCCAAGTCTCCTCCTTCCACTGCTGCCCCCTCTCCCTTTCACTCTCATGCTTCAGGTCTGGAATCTCCGTTATGCACAAAGGGCCTCATGGGGTCTGTGTCTTTGGGGGTTAAATCCTCCAGAGTTGGAGATTTATGAAATTAGCCCCACAGTGGTTTAGGTAAGAGGATGTTGTCCTAAAAAAATGAAGAAGCAGCCAGGTGCGGTGGCTCACGCCTGTAATCCCAGCACTTTGGGAGGCCAAGGCAGGTGGTTCACCTGAAGTCAGGAGTTCGAGAGCAGACTGGCCGACATGGCAAAACCCTGTTTCTACTAAAAATACAAAAATTAGCCAGGCATGGTGGTGGACGCCTGCAATCCTAGCTCAGGAAGCTGAGGCAGGAGAATAGCTTGAATCCAGAAGGCAGAGGTTGCAGTGACTTCAGATAGCTCCATTGCACTCCAGCCTAGGTGACAGGTGAGACTCTGTTTAAAAAAAAAAAAAGAAGAAGAAGAAGCCCTGCCTCTCCAAACTGCACACATTCCTTGAGCCCCTGGCCTTCCTCTGTGGCCCTTTGCTTCTTTCTGGTGCCCCTGCCAGCCCAGGGCTAAGAGGATTCCTGTGAATGGTGAGGTTACACAATGGGCAGGGAGCTCTGAACAATGCTCCCACTTCCTCCCCTTTTTCTAGGGTGTGTAACTGCCCAGCGCCTTCACAATTTCCAGTCCTGCATGGAAGACGTGTCTGGATATTGGTGAATACATAGATGAACTACTGCAGGAGCGCACACTTGAGTATATTTTTGTGTGGGTAGCCATCAGACTGGGAAAGAATGGGGTGGGGATCTAAGAATGGGCACATTCTGGCCGGTGAATAAAGGAAGACCATTTTGAAATATCAATGTAACCCCAGACACCTGCCTTTTCTGCAAAGCTACCTTATACTGAGTGAATACTGATTTGGTGGATGTGCCATTGCTGCCTGGAAAGATCCTCTGCTCTTGGCAAGAGGCAGCAGGGAATGTGAAGAGGCCCCTGAGTTTGCAGGGAAGGGCCTAGGGCAGGGTTTGTGCCTGCTGGGGCAGGGCCAGTGTGATGGAAGAGTGCCCCCTAGTGAGTCACATCTCCAGTTGCTGGGGTCAGCTCAGCCCAGGGCTCCCCAGGTGGGTCTTGGGTCTGAGGTTGGGGGTGAGGGGAGGGGGAGGGGAAGAGATGTTTGGGACAGGATTTCATCCTGGGACAGGTGTCTCTCAGACCTCTCCAAGAATGGACTCATGGCTCCAGTTGTGTTTCTGCACTTTCCTCCCATTTCAGCCTCTGCTGGGCTTTCACGTGGTCTTTAAAGAGATACCATCTTTAACATAAACAGCCTTATATCATTGGCGTGGGAAAACACCTTGCATTCACTCACCCATTCACCCTTCCACATATCTATTCTGTCATGTATTTCATACCTTCAATCAACAAACATTCCCTGCGCACCTGCTCTGAGTCAGCCCCTATGAGTCAAAGGGGGCTTCCATTCTTGCAGGGCTCTCAGGCCACTTGGTGCAGGGGAAAAAGAAGCAAGTACACTACAAAGTGGAGAGTTACACCTTGAAGGAAGGGAGCATGGGCACAGGGAGGCAGTCATGACGGGCTTCCTGGAAGAGACATTTCTCAAGCTGAGTGCTGAAGGCCAAGTTGAACAGTGAGATGTCTTCCCCAGGCTGGCATCTGGAGAACCTGCACTAGAAGCACAGACCCCCTGGTTTACTAAAACAGTGGCAGGAACTGTTGAACCATTCTTGGGTGGCCATTGATCTGCAGCCATCCATATGTCCCTCCCTAGGAGTAATCCTGGAGGGAAGGAGGACTACAAAGGCACATGGAAACTTGAGTGGAGGGTGCTGGATATATTTACTCTCTTGACTGTGGTGTACTTATGATGAAACTTATCAAACTGTGCATTTTAAATAGGTGGGTTTACTATATATTAAGTATACCTCAAAAGAAAAAGGGGAAAAAAAGTCAAATAGTTCTACAATGTAAGAAAGCAGTCCCCTGTTTTACTCTTTCCCCCACCAAATTCCATTCCAAAGAGACAATCACTTTAAACATCTTTTAAATTTTATTTTTATTACTTTTTTTTTGAGATGGAGTCTTGCTCTGTCACCCAGGTTGGAGTGCAATGGCATGATCTCAGCTCACTGCAACCTCTGCCTCCCTGGTTCAAGCTATTATCCTGCCTCAGCCTCCCGAGTAGCTGGGATTACAGGTGCCTACCACCATGCCAGGCTAATTTTTGTATTTTTAGTAGAGGTGGGGTTTTGCCATGTTGGCCAGGCTGGTCTCGAACTCCTGACCTCAGGTGATCTGCCCACCTCGACCTACCAAAGAGCTGGGATTACAGGCGTGAGCCACTATGCCTGGCCTAAACTTTTAAATATGTTCCATGTTTACCCTTGAATTTCTATATAATATTCTTATTTTTCTTCTCTCATTATGCTTCTGCTTTAGGTGTTATCTACCTCATTCCTATTATGAAAGATTAGGATTGTACACCACACACACTTCTTTCCTTCATCCTCTTGACTTGGCTACATGGCATTTTTGGTTAAATTACTATCCAACGTTTATATTATTGTGACTATGTAAATATTGTTAAGAACAGAATCATATACTGTGCTGTGATCACATTTTCTTTCTTATACAACTTTTGTTTTGATTGAAGTTAAACTTTGCCTCATTTTGCATCTGCTTGGTGTTCTATATATTTAGCATTAAGTTGTGCCAAAATGGACACACATAACTCTAAGTTTCCCTAAATGACTGTAGACTCAGTTGTGTTGTATCAGGTCTATCTCTGGTCATCCCACCTGGAGAATTGGGATGATACACTCTTTGGTCCTACCAAACAGCTTTCATCTTGAGATCGTCCTCCATCTTCATTGTGGCCCTTCCTCTCAGTTCTCTTTTGTGTGGTCCCTCATTTCCTGGGTTCTTTTTCTTCCTCTTTCTGGGTTTACTTGTCTAGTCACTTTGTGAGAATGGATCTGCGAGAGGCAAATTTTTAAAAAACCACTCATACACTGTTGATAGTTGCCTGGGTATAAAACTCTGGGTGAGAAAGAATTCTCCCTCTGTATTTTGAAAGAGTTGCTTCATTGTCTTCTTGCTTTTGGTGTTGCTATTGAGAAAAATAACATACTTCTGACTGATGATCTCTGGATATAAATTGTTTTCTCTTTCTCTGGAAGCTTACAGGGTTTTCTCTGCATGCCTGGATGTTCTGAAGTTTCCCAGTAATGTGCCTTGATATGTTCTTGTCTTCTATTCTGAGTCTTTGGTGAGCCCTTCAATCTGGCATGTCATGTCCCTAAGCTCTGGGAAATTTTCTCAGATGATTTAGTTGTTAGTTTTCTCCAGTTTTTCTGTTCTCTCTTTTGGAACTTCAATTATTTGGATGTTAGAACTCCCCGAATGATTCTCCGACTTTTAATTTTTTTCCTATTATCTTTTCTTTTCTGGGAAATTTCTTCCCTTTTTAATTTTAACCCTTCTGTATTTTTGCTGTCATTTTTAATTTTCAAGAGCTGTTTCTTGTCCAGGATTCCTCTTTATAACATCATCTTCTTGTTTCATGAATTAATTATCTTCTCTTATCCCTTTAGGGGTAGTAATTATAATGAAAATTGTTTTCTTATTCTGATCTTCACATTTTCTCTGTTTCCTTAAGGTTCACTTTTTTCTGTTTGTTTTGGTTTCTGTTTTTCGTAGTTAAGGCTTCCCTCAAATGACTTTGATTCTTGGCTGTCTGATCCTATTTAAGAGTGAGGCAGTTAACAGCTAATGGAAGCCCTGTGTGGGAGCAGAGCTGGATTCTTGGAGGGTTTCACAGAAAAAGGGTGGGATAGGATTCTGGCCCTAATATTGGGGACCCCAAAGTAGCAGAATATGTAGGTCATTTCCCTTGGGCCAGCAAGATTTCCAGTGAAGGATCCTCTGAGTCTCCTGCCTGGAGGCTGGCAGCCAGCATTGGGAGAGCAGAATGAGGAGGGGGCGATGAAGGGGGTTGGGAGGAATAAGCATGACCAGGACCCCACCACTGCCATCCCTGCCTTTAGGCTCTCCAGATGATAACTCTACAATTTGGCAGTGAGGAGGGATACGGGGTAAGGGGGTTGATCTTCCCTTTATGAAGTGAGGGAGGGGATCTTGGAGAGTGCTCCCCTTCCCCTTCTTCAGGTTCTTACCCACAGTCCTGTTTTGGATCTCACCCTGGCCCACTTCATAGAGGTGTCTGGTGCCTCTTAAGCTTGTTGGAGATTCTTCCCCAAACGCTCAGCAGGGAGAAAGGAAAGAATCTCATTTTTCTGTTTTCCCCTTTCTAGAATTTTGTTGACATCCCTCTCCTGCTTCTCCTCTCCTGCCTTCTTTCGCTGAAGGGTTTGGCTTTTTCTTTCATCTCTTGCCATCCAGCAGGCAGGGTTTGGGGCGGAGCCAGGGTGAAGGTATTCACTCCTCCGTTTAGCTTCCTCTTCCTTTTTCCCACTGAGGTGGCTCATTCCAGGCCTTGTCAGGACTGGTATGGGCGCTTGCGCCAGGAAGCTGGCAGACTCAGGGTTGTTCATCTGGTTCTGCCACTTCAGGGCTTGCTTTCCATGCTGTGGGCTGGGCTCCCATACATCCGCCAAGGATAAACCCAGGGGTGGGGATGCTTCTGTGAAGGCAGTACTCTGGATGGTGTGAGGACTCTGTGCTCCAGCACTCCAGGGCCAAAGCCAAGACCTTCCAAAGAAAAACTTGAGGTCCTGGGTTGCAGAGGCCCAGGGCTAATCCTAGGACCCCAGGGGGATGCTTTTCCAGGAAAAGGCTGACCCAGAGCTGCCTTTGGGTCTAAACGGGTAACCTTTCCTCTTTGTATTCATAGGAGAAGGCGTTGGGAGGGAGCTCTGCCTCCTCCAGGCCCACCTTTTGCTGCCTTCTGAGGGCACAGCTGCCCTTCAGCCCCTTTGGGAAAGTTATGTTCTTTGACCTGGCAAGGTTGGGGCTGGAGTGTCTCTTGGGAGATATGATAATGTCTGCTTATTTTGTGCAGAAGCCCTCACGGTGTGTTGTGTGGGCACTGGTTTAAAATGCCAGGGAGATTCCATAATCAGTATTCTTTCTTAGAGATTCACAATGGCATCGATTTCTATGAAAAGCCTGAAAATTCCTGCAGGAAAGAAACCACATATTTTGTTTAAGGCACCCACATAAGTGAAGACAGGCTGAAAGAAATTAGACTGATCTTAAAGGATATCAGGCAAGGGACAAATTGGAGTATGGAGCCTAACATCCTAGTGGAGAATAAGATGGCTCCAGCATTGAAGACCATGAATAGTGCAGTCTTAGTTAAGATGGTCATTGGCTAAACTCTGTTGGGGGTCTGGTGTTTCCTGGTTCCCCAGCTTGCTTTCTCAGACCTTTGTGGCAGGACCCATCTTGCTCACCCCGGCACAAATCCAAAGTGACTGGGGCAGGAGGAGAAATGGAATCCAGCACTTGTACAAAGGGGTTGGCCTTGGAAAGGCTCAGAGAGTTTTTTCCTAGGAGTCAGAGGGAAGTACCAGAGAGACATAGGCTAGGCAGGGATGAGAGCACAGGAAGGTGGGAAAGGCAGGGACCATGGAGTCACAGCAATTATTAGTATTTTTTTTTCTTTTCAAGACAGAGTCTCGCTCTGTCGCCCAGGCTGGAGTGCAGTGGCGCGATCTCGGCTCACTGCAACCTTTGCCTCCTGGGTTCAAGCAATTCTCCTGCCTCAGCCTCCCAAGTACCTGGGACTACAGACACGTGCCACCCTGCCCAGCTAATTTTTGTATTTTTAGTACAGACGGGGTTTCACCGTGTTGGTCAGGCTGGTCTCAAACTCCTGACCTCGTGACCTACCGGCCTCGGCCTCCCAAAGTCCTGGGATTACAGGCGTGAGCCACCACACCCGGCCGCAATTATTAATATTTTTGGATGGTGGTGTACCTGCATTTTTAGTAAGATATAACAATATAAAAGGATATAATAAAATTCAACCATTTGGGTGTGTAGTTTGAGAAATTTGGGTAATTATATGCAATTGTATAACCACAACCATAATCAAGACTTAGATCATTTCCATGTATTTATTTTTATTTTTATTTTTATTTTTATTTTTTGAGACAGGGTCTCATTCTGTCACCCAGGCTGGAGTGCAGTGGCATGATCTCGGCTCACTGCAACAACCTCCATCTCCCGAGTTCAAGCAATTCTCTTGCCTCAGCCTCCCAAGTAGCTGGGATTACAGGTGCACACCACCATGCCCAGCTGATTTTTTTGTATTTTTAATAGAGATGGGGTTTCTCCATGTTGGCCAGGCTCGTCTTGAACTCCTGACCTCAAGTGATCCACCTGCCTCCACCTCCGAAGGTGCTGGGATTACAGGCGTGAGCCACCGTGCCCAGCTTCTCCATCTATTTAAAAGTTTCCTTGTTATGCTTGCAGGCAAGCTCCTCCCTCGACCTCCAGCCCCGCCTCCCAGGTTCAAGTGATTCTCCTGCCTCAGCCTCCCGAGTACCTGGGACTACAGGTGTGTGCCACCATGCCTAGCTAATTTTTGTATTTTTAGTAGAGACAGGGTTTCACCATGTTGGCCAGGCTGGTCTTGAACTCCTGACCTCAACTAATCCGCCCACCTCGGCCTTCCAAAGTGCTGGGATTACAGGCATGAGCTACCGCGCCTGGCCCAGACTATATTTTCATTTATTTTTGTGAATAGTTTGGAATAGAATTGCTGGGTATGCGGAAAGTGTATGCTTAGCTTTGTAAGATACCACACGGTTTTCCAAAGTGCTGTGTTGTTATACATTCCCATCAATAATGTGTGAGAGTTTCAGTTGCTCCCCATCTGTCAACACTTGGTATTGTCAGCCTTTTAAATTTTACCCATTCTAGTGGGTAAGTAATGGTGTTTCATTATGGTTTTAGTTTGCAACTGTCTGATAACTAGTGATACTGAACATCTTTTCATGTGGTTATTGGCCACTCACACATCTTCTTTTATAAAATACCTGTCCAGGCCGGGCACGGTGGCTCACACCTGTAATCCCAGCACTTTGGGAGACCAAGATGGACAGATCACTTGAGGTCAGGAGTTCAAGACTAGCCTGGCCAACATACTGAAACCCTGTCCCTACTAAAAAATATACAAAAATTTGCAGGGTGTGGTGCGGTGCGTCTGTAGTCTCAGGAGGCTGAGGCAGGAGAATCGCTTGAACCTGGGAGGTGAAGATTGCAGTGAGCCAAGATCATGCTACTGCACTCCAACCTAGAGGACAGAGTATGACTTTGTCTCAAAAGAACCCAAAAACCAAAAAAGTATCTGTCTAAATGTTTTACCCATTTTAAAAAAATTGAGTTGTTTGTTTTGTTTTTAGTGAATTGTGAGAGTTCTTTCTATATTCTGGTTGTAAGCTCTTTATCAGATGTATGTTTTGCAAGTACTTTCTCCCAGTCTGTGGCTTGCCTTTTCCTTTGGGTTGGAGATGGGCCACTTACTCTCTGGGCGACCTTGGACAAGTGACTGCGACTTAGCTTCTCTAAGCCTTGTTTTCCTCATGTGTAAAATAAGAATTTAAAATGTTGCTTAGGGGTCCCAGCAGCTCAGGCAGCCAGAGGAGCTGCAGCAGCCAGGCAGCACTGCTTCTCCAAGGCTCCCGGCACCGCTCGCTGCAGGCACCTGGCACGCACCCTCTCCGCCACCAAGACACCCAAAAGGAAGGTCAGCTCAGCTTAGCCAAAGGGTGGTGAAGGAAGAGCCCAAGAGAAGACCTGCAAGGTTGTCAGCTAACCCTAAAGTGGAAAGGAAGCCCACAAAGGCAGCAGGAAAGGATAAATCTTCAGACAAAAAAGAGCAGACAAAAGGGAAAACAGGATGAGGTGGCTAACCAGGAAGCCAAAGAAGCTTTACCTGCAGAAAATGAAGAACTAAAAAAATGAGGAGAGTCCAGGCTCTGATGAAGCCCAGAGAAGGAAGCTGACTCTGATTGATATTATCTTCCCTGTCCTAGCAGTGGTCTCTATCCCTCTTCTTGTACAATCCAGAGGAATATTTTTATCAACTATTGTTTACAAATGCAAGTTTTTTAGCAGCTCCAGAAACATTTTTAAGAAGGAGGGAATCCTTTCTCATTCAAATTCTAAGTGTAAATGCTTTTTTTTAAGGTAATTTGCTGATTGTTTATTTTTTGGTATGGCCAGATAATAGTGGCATATTGATTACAGAGGGCTTTGACTGTCTTGGTTGTCAGCTTAACATTCCATAGTTGGGGATGGGTCATTTATACCCTGTAATACAAAGCATCCAAAATGCAATTTGCAGAAACAGTCGTGCATTTAATACTTTTTAAACATTTTAAATTACTTCTATTCCCATGTTGTTTATAAGTAGAATTGTTAAAGAAAACCGCTCCTTGATGGTGGCGCTCCCTGTCAGAATAGTGTGCACTCGGTAACATCTTTGGTCATGGTAGTCCAGTTTTCCTGATAACTTTGGTAATGTGCTGTGAAAGGTTGACAATTTGAGTATGCGGTGTAATATTAAATTATAAATTGGCAGAAATTATGAGGTAACAGCTTATCAACATTTGAAAATATTGATAGTTGATATCCTCTTAAGGAATATTTGCCTCTAAATTGTAAGCTGGAAAGTCACTGGAATAACGAATAATTTTATTTCAGAAGTTTAAATCATTGCGAATGATATAATATTTAGTAAAATCATTTAAAAATAAGGCTGTTCAATTGCTCTTTTAAATGTATCATAGGGAATCTGAATATCATCCCAATTTAATACCCATCCATATGCTTTAGAAAAACAATACATGAAGGAGTTCTTATTAAATAAGAATCAGAAATTCTAGTTAGTTCTTTTTCTCCTTGAAGTTGTATTTCTATTCTCTTCCCCCACAACATTTTTTACTCTTTATATATATAAATATATATAATTTTTTACTCTTTATAATAAATGTATATAATTTTGTACTCTTTATATATAGTATTATGTATATAGAAATAAATGAAATATATATGTGTATGTATACATACATATAATTGCCAGCCTGCCCTACAGATTTCAGACCGGTCAATCCCGACGAGTACTTGAGCCAATTCCTTAAAATCTCTCTCTCTCCCCATTTTATTGGTTTTCTTTCTCCAGAGAGCCCTGATTAATACAGTAGCCAAGATTATATTAACTGTTTTTTCACATTACAGGCAACTCTCCCCTAGGATTTTGGTGAAAAAGGAATACATTTCTTGTCTTTAAGGCCCTGATATTTTGGGGTCTGTTTATTAGTGGTCTTACTACGTGCTAATACATATATTTACTCTGTGCTAGATATTGTCCTGGGCACTGGGGATGATAATGTTCACCTCCAAGTTTTGTTGTGAGAATTTAACAAAAACTTATATGTGAGAGCCCTTAGCTTAGAGCTGGCGCATAGTAGGCTCTGTGTGTTAATAAGCTAGTTTTAGAAGTGTCCTTATGTGTGTAAGCAGCCATAAGAAGCAGCCATATGGAGATGTGGCTGTGGGTGGAAAGAATGCGCCACTGGACTCATCAGGGACCACAGACAGAGCAGAGACCCCTGGGCATACAGCCTGTAAACGCGGTAAGGATACCCTTAGCAAATTGTTCTTGGTTTGGTTTCCTCTCTAACTTCTCTTCTATACTATCTCAACACTCACCTTCTTTCTATATTAGTTATCTACTGCTGTGTAACAAACTATCCCAAAACTTAGTGGCTAAAACAGCAATAAATAGTTATTATAGCTCACAGACTCTCTGGATCAGGAATTTGAGAGTGGCTTGGCTGGTGGGGGTTCTGACGTGGGGTCTTTCAGGGGGTTGCAGTTGAGGTGTGGGTTGGAGCTGCAGTTATCTGAAGTATTAACTGAGGTTAGAGGACCCTCTTCCTAGGTGGCTCACTCACATTGCCAGCAAGTTGGCGCTGCTGGCTGTTGACTTGAAGCCCCAGTCCTTTCTCCTCTTTGAACATGCATCTTTTGGGAATGCCCTGAGTCGCCCCTTTCTTTGCCTGGGAAGCTCAGTGTATCCTTAAAGTCTCAGCTTGGTGATCACTAAGAAGGAATTCTACTGAACTTTTGGAAAAGCCAGCTGCCTATTGGGAGTAATTCCATTTGCTGAGATCCTAAATAGCTTCAATGCCAGCTTTCAGGTTGACTTAGGAAATGTTGGAGCCCTTGGCACACACTAACTTTCATTCTGTAGGACCCCACTGGTCTCATGAGTACGATCCACCAGCATGGTCCTGAAGCTAGCCGCAAGAATGTCATCTGCATCTGCAGTAGTTGGAGGCTCAGAAGAGACTAAGCTCTCTCCACAATCTCCCTTCCCTCCTGAAATGGAGCTGATCCTTCCCGACTGGGTCCCCTGTGCCCTTGCAGACCTCTGTCTTCACACCCAGGACAGGACTTCAGTGATCTTGTTTCCCTGAACAACTTGTTACTAGATGCGTTGCAAAGACAGGGGATTGGGCCTTTCTCATCTCTTGGCACCCGGCACTTAGTAGCTGTCAGTAAATACTCATTTTTCTCCACCCCTACTGTCCCCACCCTGGTCCAAACTGCCACTTTCTCCCTCCTGGCCACTGCAATAGTGTCCTCACTCATTTCCCTGCTTCCACTATTGCCACTCTTCAGCCTGTTCTTTGCATTGTAGCTGGAGTGCTCTTTCAGAAACATGACTTAGATTATACTGCTCCTCTTCCTAAAAACTTCCCAGGGCTCTTGAAATCACATCCAGAATCCACCCTTTTCTGCACCTCTCCTACAGCTCTCTTGCCTGGTCACTGGGCTCCAGCCACACTGGCCTTTTAGACCCCAAACCTGCCAAGATCCTGCCCACTCCAGGGTTTTTGCACCTGCTGTTCCCACCCTTAGAACTCTGGCTCCACATCTTCTTGTGGCTGGTGCCTTCTTTTCCTTCATGTCTGATCTCACACATTGCCTCCTCAGAGAGGCCCCCATGACCACCCAGCTTAAAACACCCCCAGCCTCGGGCACTCTCTGGCATATCCTCTTCCTGTTCTCTGCATAGAAACAAGTCATTTCATCAGCAACTAATTATTTATGTGTGGGATTGTTTCTTTATGGTCAATCTACCCTCAACTGAATGTCAACTTGATCAGGAGGGATTTTGCTTTATTCCCTGTGCCAGGCACAGTGCCAGGCATGTAACATTGCCATAAATATTTATTGGATCAATGAATACAAAGAAGAAAGGGAGGCCAGAAGAGAAGAAAGGGAAGAAAGGAAGAAGATGGAGGGAAGAATAACAGATCAGGAAGGGGCAAATGGAGGGAGAGCCGAGAGAGAAAGACTCTGCCACAGTAGTTAAGAGCCAGGGTCATTGCCTCAGACAACCCTGGTGGTATGTCATCTCGAGCGTGTGATCACTCATTTCTCTGTGCCTCAGCCCCTCATTTATGAGATGGATTTTCCCTCACAGGGCTGTTATGAAAATGAAACAACATAACATATGTAAATACTATCCTGGTGCCAGGCACTAAAAAAGCACATGATTAATGGGGAAAGAGAAAGAGAGAGAGAACACAGTCTCTTCCCTGCACACTTACTGGGGAATTCGTTTGCTCTCCCTCCCTTCCCGCCATTCAGGGGATTGGAGCCCTGGGGAGCATCTGAAACCCAGGATCAGCCCTAGTCATATGTCTTCATGTCCTGACACGTGCTGGGGTCCAGTCTCCACCCCGTACTGGTGGCTGTCCTGTTTATAGCCAGCAGACTGGAGTGGCTGAGCAGTCAGACTCCAGCTGGAGTTCCCTGGGAGACCTAATGTCCCCAGCACATTCCAGACCTGCTCCCTTGGGAGGCGGTGCCAAGACAGCATCTTCCTTGCCGCCTGATTTCCATGAGGAACAATGGCTAAGGAAGGAAGGTCCTGGGATGGAGAGTGAGTTGGAGGGGTAGAATGGGATGCGGGAAGGGGAGAGAGCCCTTGGTGTCTGCAACTGCAAAGCCTTTAATGCTGGAGACTTGGCCGGCTCATTTTCCCCCACACTTGCAGCTGCCACCCACCCCTGGGCCCACACAGCCCCTCTCAATGGCATAGTCAGAAGAGGAGGAATGCTCAGCCCAGGGCTCCCAAGAGGAACCAACTCTTCTTAGGGTCCTTTCTTTTTACTTCTGAGCTGAAGGTACTCTCCTCTATTCCTACTATTGCCTGCGTGTTAGGCTGATAAGTGGTCACTTGGAGATGGTGGGATGGGGCTAGGGTGGGGGATTGCAAGGTGCTGAGAACAGCAACTCAGGAAAACTTCTCTCCTCTCTAACTGGTTTTGCCACCTAGAACAAAAAGATGAGCCTCACTCTCAGCTTGTGCAAAATAAGCATTGTAATAGAACTTAGCTCATAGATAAGGTTGTTGTATATCTAATGGTGTCCAGCACATGCTCAATAATTACCTTCTCATGGAGCAGTTCTTTAAATTCTCACCTCTCTCCACTGCAGTGGGACCTCCCATGTGCCAGGTTTCCCTCACTAAGACTCAAGGGCAGTTCTGAGCCAGCGGCACCCTCTGCCAAAGCTGTTCATGAGGATGAGTCATGTTATCTGGGATTCTCTCCTTTTGCTTTGGGGATGAGAAGATTGAAGCTTTCTGTCCCTGTCTTTGTCTATTATTCACTCCCTTGGGTCTTTTATCAACATCATCCTTTAGCACAACCTTCCCTGATCACCTTATTTAAATTATAACATACTCTAGTCCCTGTCCTTTTTTCCACATTTTTTTTTCCTCCACTGACTTACTTCCATTCTACATATTATTTATCTCACTTATTTATTGTTTTATTGTTTGTTTTCCCCACTGTAATGTAAACAGCACAAAGTCAGGTAGTTTTGCCTGTTTTGTTTGTGTCTGTGTCCTTGATGACTAGAACAATGTTTGACACATAGTAAGTGCTCTATAAAAATTTGCTGAAGGAGTGAAATTAACTCTTGGACGTTTTTGTCATGGGATGATCCATATAACTTTTTGATTTGTGGCTGCCTACAGGAAGCCACTTTTCCCCCCTAACTCATTTAAGGTGCTTATAAAGTACCCTAGCAATATCCCTCTGAGTCTGAGAAGTGGGCACTCACAGGATATGCGTGCGGCTGGTCCCAGTCTGCTAAACTCTTCTGTGTTCTGATTGGTCCAGTGGTCTCATCTCTTGCAGTGTGGTCACACTGTGATTACTATCAGTTGTAGGTGGAATGCAACCCAGTGGATTTAAATGGGGTAAAGTTAGTATCAAATAATCAGTGGGTTTTGCAGATGTAATGTCCTAAGCCTTGTATAGTAGGAATCATGTTTGGCCATGAGTATTGGATGCCACACTAAGAGTGGCTTAAACTTAAGTAAGGGATTCATTTTTCTTCCATAATGCATGAAGTCTGCAGGTGGGTACTGGGACTGGTGTGGCAGCTCCACGGCATCTTTAGTGTCCCAGCTCTTTTTGTCTTTCTGTTCCTCCTTTCTTTGCCCACCGCGTCTAGACTTAGCCTGATGGTTGTAAGATAACCACTGCACTTCCAGCTATCAAGTCAGCCTTCAAGCAGTAAGAGGGCTAAGGTTAAGTGGAGCAGACAAAAGGGTGTCCTGAGTTAGTTTCCTTTAAAAAGGATCCAGTCTGACAATCTTTGATTTTAATTGGGACATTTAGCCCATTTATATTTAGTGAATTATTAATATACTAGCGTTCAAATCCGCTATCTTACCGTTTGTCTTTTATTGATTTTACATATTTTGTTTTTCTTCTTTCTTGCTTTCTTGTGGATTAAGTATTTTTATTATTCCAACCCACTTAGATTATTAGTTATAGTTTTCCTATTTTTTTCCATGGTCACTCTAGAGATTACAACATGTAGCCTTGACTTATTAAAGTCTTAGCCTATAATCCCAGCACTTTGAGTGGCCACAGAGGGAGGATTGCTTGAGCCCAGGAGTTTGAGACCACCTTGGGCAATACAGGGAGACCTCGTCTCTACAAAAAATAAAAAAATGATCTGGGTGTGGTGGTGTATGCCTATAGTCCCAGTTACTCAGGAGGCTAATTGGGAGGATTGCCTGAGCTCTGGACGTGGAGGCTGCAGCGAGCCGTGATTGCACCACTTCACTCCAGCCAGGGCAACAGAGAGAGAGCCTGTCTCAACAACAACAAAAAGTCTAATGTAAATTAATACTTTTGGCAATTCCAGGGCAATGTAAAGACTTGAGAACACTGTAACTCACTCCCCTCCCATCTTTTCTGTTCTTGTCATGTATTTTAATTCCATATATATTTTATTTTATTTTATTTTGAGACTGAGTTTTGCTCTCTGTTACCCAGGCTGGAGTGCAGTGGTATGATCTTGGCTTACTGCAACCTCTGCCTCCCAGGTTCAAGTGATTCTTCTGCCTCAGCCTCCCAAGTAGCTGGGATTACAAGTGCGCCACCATGCCTGGCTAATTTTTGTATTTTTAGTGGAGATGCCGTTTCGCTATGTTGGCCAGGCTGGCCTTGAAATCCGGACCTCAAGTGATCTGCCAGCCTTGGCCTCCCAAAGTGCTGGGATAACAGGTGTGAGCCACAGCGCCCAGCCTAGTTCTATATATATTTTAAAGCTCACAAAATATTATTACTGTTTTTTACATATTGTAATGAGTAAATCATTTGGAATTTCTCATCTATTGACCCTTTTTATTGCTTTCTATTCCTTCCTACACCTCCGTGCTTCCATTTGGGGTCATTTTCCTTTTGCTCTGTGAGTGTTTCCTATATCTAGATGGTAACAAAAGCTTCCCATTTTTGTTGGCTGGGAAAGGTCTTTATTGCAAACTTCTCTGCTGTTTGCAAAGAGGCAGAGTACCCTGGGTTCCAAGGTAGGACACTGTGAAGAGCTGGAGGACTTGAGCTGGATGGAAAGTTCACATCCCTTTTTTCTTGGGTGTGAGAGGCATCAAGTCAAGCCAGTGTTTGGCAGAAGTCACAGGCAGCTATTTGATTCTGACTTAGGCCAAAGAGTCAAATCTGGCTCTGGTCCAATTTCTGAAGGGGAGCTGCTCTTGGCTGTTCCTCTCACAAATCAGATTTTCCCCTAGGCAGCTGTGGTGTCAGAATCTCAATGTCCAGCCTCACTCTGAGCACAGTGGTGTGGAGAAGGAGGATCAGTGGGCCAACCCAAACTCTCCCTTCTCACTTACACAATAGAATAACTTTCTTAGGTCTACGTTTTTCAAAGGGCAACTCATTTGGAAACTGCTCTCTCCTTGAATTCCTCAGATAAGCCTCAGGCCTGTGTGGATAGAAGTGAGTGGTCATCAGTGTCCCTGGCTCTGACCATCCCTGGGCAGCCAGAGTGGTCCTGGCTGGATTTCTTAGACCCCTGTTGGGGTCTGGCCCAATGTGAATGGGTGGACCCAAGGATCCCAGAGTGAGCTGGGCCATGCAAGTCTTCTCCAGCTGGTATTCCTGTAGCTTGTGGCCCCAGCTCCCCGATCCCTACATGCTCTACTCCAACTCAAGCAGGAAAACCGCACCAAGGTAAATGGTAGGACAAGAAGGCATTAGACTGCTTCTTTCACCACCTCAAAATCACAGAGGTCCCACCTGCCAAGGTGTGTAACTGCCTATATTGAGGATGTAGGAAAGAAAGAAAACGGAAACACAGCTTATCTCTGTCTGACTTCTGACTCTTTCTGTGGGCAGGAGGGAAGTTAAAATGCATTTTTGGTGAGCTGCTAGTGCTTAGTTATTTTTTTTCTACAGGCTAAACAGAGGAGCCAAGAGAGTTTCCTTCTCTGAATTTTGTTTTGCTAAGTAAAACAAAAACTCATTCTAGACTGTTTCTTCTGTCTGTAACATTCGTTCCCTAGATAGCTCATGGCTCACTCCTTCACTTGCAGGTCTCTGCTCAATGCTACCTTCTCAGAGAGGTCTTTCCTCTTCACCCTATTTAAAGCTACAACCACTATCACCCCCACCTCACCACTCACCCTTAAACCCTGGCAATTCCCCAATTCCCTTCACTGCTTTATTTTTCTCTGTCACTGTCTTACTCTATTTGTGCTGCTATGTCAGAATATCTTAGACTAGGTAATTTATAAAGAACAGAAATTTACTACTCACAGTTCTGGCGTCTGGGATGTCCAAGATCAAGGCTCTGGCTTCTGGTGTGGGCCTTCTTACTATGTCTTCATATGGTGGAAGGTAGAAGGGCAAGAGAGAGTGAATCCACATCTGCGAGCCTTTTTTTTTTTTTTTTTTTTTGAGACGAAGTCTCACTCTGTCACCCAGGCTGGAGTACAATGGCGTGATCTCGGCTCACTGCAACCTCCGCCTCCCAGGTTCAAGCAATTCTCCGGCCTCAGCCTCCCTAGTAGCTGGGACTACAGGCACGTGCCACCACGCCCAGCTAATTTTTTGTATTTTTAGTAGAGATGGGGTTTCACCATCTTAGCCAGGATGGTCTCTATCTCCTGACTTCGTGATCTGCCAGCCTCAGCCTCCCGAAGTGCTGGGATTACAGGCATGAGCCACTGCTCCCAGCCTACAAGCAATAATTCACTCATAGGGTGGAGCCCTCATGATCTACACACCTCCCATTAAACCCCACCTCCCTGTACTGTTGTATTGGAGACTAAGTTTCCAATACATGAATTCTGGGGGACACTAAAGTGGTCGACATGCTTTATTTATCATCTGCCTTCCCTCATTAGATGTCGGCTATGTCAGCACAAAGATGCTGTATGTTTTGTCCTCTGCTCTGTCCCCAGAGCCAAGAATAGTGCCTGGCACATAGTTGGCATATGAGTTATTTATTGCTTCATAACAAATTACCCCAAACCTTAGTGGCTTAAAACAACAAAGTTTACTAACTTACAGTTACCATGGATCTGAAATATGGATGCCACTTAGCTAGGTCCTGTGGCTCAGCATCTCTCACAAGTTACCAGCAAAGCACTGGCTGCAGCCACAGTCTCATCTGGAGACTCAAATGTGGGAGTATCTGCTTCCAAGCTCACATGGTTGTTGACAGGATTCAGTTTCTTGCAGGCTGTTGGACCGAGTGCCTCAGGACCTCACTGAATGGCCAGAAGCCACCCTCTGTTTCTTTTCTTCTTTTTTCTTTTTTCTTTTTTTTTTTTTTTTGAGATGGATTCTTGCTCTGTCACCCAGGCTGGAGTACAGTGTGATCTTGGCTCACTGCAACCTCCGTCTCCCAGGTTCAAGTGATTCTCGTGCCTCAGCCTCTCGAGTAGCTGGGATTACAGGCACTCACCACCATTCCCAGCTAATTTTTTTGTGTTTTTTTTGTTTGTCTTTTTTTGTTTTGTAGAGACAGGGTTTTATCATGTTGGCCAGGCTGGTTTTGGACTCCTGACCTCAAGTGATCAACCCACCACAGCCTCCCAAAGTGCTGGGATTATAGGTATGAGCCATCATGCCCAGCCCACCCTCAGTTTCTTGACACATGGGCTTCTCCACAGGGCAACTCACAACATGGCAGCTGCCTTCATCAGAAAGAAGAAACACTGGGATAGATGCAGAGGAAGAATAGAAACAGTCAGGGGTTACTGCTGTTGAGCAGTGGGTTCTTTTGTACACTGGAAAGCCAGGGGACTTGGGCATCAAAGAGCTTGCCTTTTCCACTTGTCACATGCTTCATTTTCAAGATTGGTTAACTTCCACTCTGACTCCATTCTCCTCTTTTGCCCACAAATGCATGCGTGCCCATGACATACAAATGGGAGGACAATTCATTCCTCAGAGAGGTGAAGAAACTGGCAAGCTTACATACTGGTCTCAGAGGTTTGTGAATTGCTTTCAGAGGAAAGGCTGGGGAAATTTTTTTAATTTTGGGAAAAGCACATTTTTTCCCACTTGCACAACTCAAATAAGGCTGAACACTCCCATGCTGGAATTTTCCAAACCTTTTTCATTTCTCAGATGGAGAGAAGAACATTTAGACAAAGCAAAGCCTTGTTTTTAAGGGAGAAATGAGCTATATCTGTGGTGTACCTTTTGTTTGCTCAGATGAACTTGCATTTCAGGGACACAGAAGAGATAAAAACACAGGAGGCACAACCAGGATGGCTGGAGGCACCAAATCAACAGTCAGGAGACCACTGCCTCAATCATGGGGCTCAGGTATACTGTGCTATCAGAGATCAGGAAGAGAGGTCCACAGGGCTGATGTGGGCAAGGAGGGATTCTGGAAATGGATGGGTTAGAGTTTCACCTTTGAGTGTGAAGTGTTTGAGTAGGAGGAGGGCATGATAGGTGAGGAACACAGGAGAAGAGGCAGGGCCATGGGAATTTTTGAAGCGTGATCATGTGTGGAGAAGCAGACCTGAATATACAGAAGGTAGAATAATGACAGACTTCTGGATAGGACCTTTCTAAGGTTAGGAGGTAGGATTAGCAGGACTGGCTTTTGGAAGGGAGGTGAGGAAAGTGCTCAGTTCGGGTGGTATTGGCTCATCTCTGGGCTCTTGGATACCGCAGGGGAGCAACAAAGTGCACCCTGATTCTTTGTTGTCGGCTACAAGATTAGGGGAAGACCATCATAGGAGACAAAAGAAGAGCAGGGTCACACTAGAACTTCTGTGCAACTTCCTTCCCAGTCCCTCCCAGCTCTGTCCGTACCCCTTCCTGTCTCTTTGTCTCCTGTCCCAACTCTATTTTTCTCCACCACACTTTACCGACACCTGAGACACTGTATGTTCACTTATTTGTCTTGCATATGGTCTGTTCTCCTCGCTGGAATGTTAGCTCCGGGGACCACGATTTCCAGACACTACAAGAGTGCTGGCACAATAAATATCCGTTGAATGGAAGAAGGAGTAGATAATATGGTCCAGGCCTGGTTACAAAGTGACAAGCTCTGCTGACAGAGTTTGAACTGGTTAGCAGAACCAGCAGTCAATTTGCTACCATGCCCACAGCCAGGGTAGCTGTGTGAGGTATGAGTGTGTCTTTACCTGCCAAGAATAGCTTGCTTTTGTGGGGAACACCCTCACCTCAGCTTGGGCACTAGGGAAAGCTGCAGGTGACACCGGCCTCCTTCAGGGGAACCTCTGTGCTCCTACTCTGACTCCGCCCAACAGCGTAACTTCCCACTCTCCGAGTTTGGGGCTTCTGCTGCCCCGCACCTCTGTGCAGCCTGAGTCTCACCTCCCTGGATGCCCATGGATGGCCCCTCTCCCCTGCTGCCCTCCTGCCAGCCTCAGTGGGCACCATGGACTGCTTCTGTGTGAGACCCTGGCTGGAAAGGGCAGGCAGAACTGGGGTTTGCTCTTCCCAACACCCACCCAGCCCCAACAAGCACCAAGAAGAAGGGCTGGCAGGGTTGTTTCCATGGTTCCGTGACCCCATAAAGTATCTTTCATTTTTCTCACAAAATGAGCCTCTTTTTCTCTCTTATATTTTCATATGGTACCCAGAAGCCCCTGGATTTCCTGGCATTTGTGTAAAGAATTCCAGCTATTCCATCCACAGTTTTCACACACAGCCCCTGCCAACAGACAGGCCATCTGAGAGGCAGCCCGCGACCGTGGCCAGAGCTTGTGCTCCTGAGCTCTGGAGATCTGGCAAGGACTCTGGCTTCCCCACTGACCCCTTGTGTGCTCTTGGGTATTTTTAAAATGCGGCCGGATCACGAGGTCAGGAGATCGAGACCATCCTGGCTAACACAGTGAAACCCCGTCTCTACTAAAAATACAAAAATCAGCTGGGCATGGTTGTGGGCGCCTGTAGTCCCAGCTACCCGGGAGGCTGAGGCAGGAGAATGGCGTGAACCCAGGAGGCGCAGCTTGCGGTGAGCCGAGATTGCGCCACTGCATTCCAGACTGGGCGACAGAGCGAGACTCCATCTCAAAACAAAACAAAACAAAACAAAACAAAACAGTCTTGGCCGGGCGTGGTGGCTCACGCCTGTAATCACAGCACTTTGGGAGGCCCAGGCGGGCAGATCACTTGAGGTCAGGAGTTTGAGATCAGCCTGGCCAACATGGCGAAACCCCGTCTGTAGAGATTAGCCGGGTGTGGTGCCACATGCCTGTAATCCCAGCTACTCGGGAGGCTGAGGCAGGAGAATCACTTGAACCCAGGAGGCGGAGGTTGCAGTGAGCTGAGATCATGCCATTGCACTCCAGCCTGGGCAACAAGAGTGAAACTCCGTCTCAAAACAAACAAACAAACAAACAACAACAACAAAAAAACCCAACAAGTCTTATTTACTGTTATGGACATATAATAAACTACATGTAACAATTTGTTAATTTCAGCATTTCAGTCCTTCCCTTCCACCCCTCTCCCCAACCCCATCTCCGGGAAATCGCTGATCTGCTTTCTGTTCTTATAGATTAGTTTACCTTGTTTAAACGTTTATATAAGTGGAATCATTCAGTAGGCTCTTTTTTGTTGTTTTTGTTTTTTTCCACTTAGCATGATTCCCTTGATGAGTCATCCATGTCGTGTGTATCAATAGTTCATCGCTTTCTATTGCTAGGTAGTACGGCATTGTATGGATGGAGCACAGTTTGTTTACTCATTTCTCTTTTGATGGACATTTGGCTTTTTTTCCAGAATCATTACTATTACGAATAAAGCTCCTAGGAACATTCAAGTTCAAATATTTGTATGGATATATAGTTCCTTTTTTCTTGAATAGTCACCCAGGAAAGAAATGGCTGGTTAATATGGTAAGCATATGTCAACGTTTAAAGAAACTGCCAAATGGCTTTCTGAACTCATTGTACTATTTTACATGGTCACCCACAACATATGAGAGTATCACTGCCTCTGCCTACTCACCAATGCGTGGTATAGTAAATCTTAATTTCAGCCATTCTAAATGATGTGTAGTAGTATTTCACTGTGGTTTTAATTTGAATTTCCCTAGTGGCTCATGCTGTTGGGCATCTTTTCATGTGCCTATTTGCCAACCTTACATCTTCTTGGCAAAGTATCTGTTCAAATATTTTGTCCCTGTCCCCCTTTAAAATTGGGTTCTTTATTTTCTTATTGTTGAGTTTAAGAATTCTTTCTGTATTCTGGACAGAAGTCCTTTATCAGACATATACTTTGCAAATGTATTCTTTCAGCTGTGGCTTGTCTTTTTTGTATTCTTAATAGTGTATTTTGAAGAGCAAAAGTTTTAAATTTTGATGAAGTCCAACCTATCCACTTATTCTTTTATGGACTATGCTTTTGGTGTTGTATCTAAGAAACCAATCACCGACACAAGGTTGTGAATATTTACTCCTATGTTTTCTTCTAAGAGTTGTATAGCTTTAGCTCTTACATTAATGTCTATGATCCATTTTGAGTTAATTTTTATTAATGGCAAAAAGAGTGACTCCAAGTCCTTCTTTCCTTCCTTTCTTTCCTTTCTCTTCTTTCTTTCTTTTCTTTCTTTCTTTTCTTCCCTCCTTCCTTCCTTTCTTTTTCTTTCTTTCTTTCTTTCTTTCTTTCTTTCTTTCTTTCTTTCTTTCTTTCTTTCTTTCTTTCTTTCCTTCTTTCCTTCTTTCTTTCCTTCTTTCTTCCTTCCTTTCTTTCTTTCTTTCTTTCTTTCTTTCTTTCTTTCTTTCTTTCTTTCTTTCTTTCTTTTTCTTTCCCTGTTTTTTTGACTGAATCTCACTCTGTCACCCAGGCTGGAGTGCAGTGCTGCTATCTTGGCTCACTGCAACCTTCACCTCCTGGGTTCAAGCGATTCTCCTGCCTCATTTTCTGGAGTAGCTGGGATTACAAGTGCCCGCCACCACACCATGCTAATTTTCGTATTTTTAGTAGAGATGGGGTTTCTCTGTGTTGGCCAGGCTGGTCTCAAACTCCAGACCTCAGGTGATCCGCCTACCTCGGCCTCCCAAAGTGCTGGGAGTACAGGTGTGAGCCACCGCACCCGGCCCAAGTTCTTTTTTCTTCCTCCTCCTGCTCCTCCTCTTCTTCTTTGTTGTAGTCTCTATTTTGCATATGCTTTTCCAATTATTCCAGCACTGTTTGTTGAAAAGGCTATTCTTTCTCTACGGCATTACTTTCGAGCCTTTGTCAAAAAAATCAGTTGTTCATGCCCGAACAATTAGGCAAGAGAAAGAAATAAAGGGCATCCAAATTGGAAAGGAAGAAGTCAAATTAGCCTTGTATGCAGACAACGTGATTTTATATATAAAAAAACACAGACTCCGCCAAAAAACTGATAAAAGAACTCAATACAATTGCATGATATAAAATCAGCATACAAAAATTAGTAGCATTTATATATGCTGACAATCTGAAAAAGAAATCAAGAAAGTAATCTTATTTACAATAGCTACAAAAAATAAAAAATACCTAGGAATCAACTTAACTGAAGATATGAAAGAACTAACTCTTTAGGGAAAACTATAAAACATTGATGAAAGAAATTAAAGAAGACATTAAAAAATGGAAAAATGGAAAAATATTCCATGCTTATGGATTGGAAGAACTAATATTGTTAAAATGACAATACTACACAAAGGGATTTGCAAATTCAATGCAATCCCTATCAAAATACCAACAACAATATTCACAAAAACAGAAATAACAACACTAAAATTTACATGGAACCACAAAAGACCTTGAATAGCCAAAGCAATCCCAAGCAAAAAGAACAAAGCTGAGAAATCAAACTACTTGACTTCAAAATATGCTATGAAGCTATAGCAGCTACATCAGTATGATACTGGAATAAAAGCAGACACATAGGTAAATGGAACAGAGTAGAGAACCCAGATATAAATCGATGCATTTACAGCCAACTCATTTTTCACAAAGGCACCAAGAACATAGAATGGAGAAAGGACAGTCTTTTCAAGAAACGGTGCTGGGTAAACTGGATAACTATATGCAGAAGAATGAAAGTAGACCCCTAACTCTCACCATATGCAAAAATCAAATCAAAATGGATTAAAGACTTAAATCTAAGACCTGAAAGTATGAAACTACTAGAAGAAAACGTTGGGGGAAAACCTCCATGATATTGGTCTGGGCAAACATTTTTTGTGCAAGACATCAAAAGCACAAGCAACAAAAGCAAAACTAGACAAATAATAGTACATCAAGCTAAAAAGCTTTTGCACAGCATGGGAAATAATTAATAAAGTGAAGAGATAACCCAAAGAATGGTAGAAGCTATTTGCAAACTATCCACCTGACAAGGGATTAATAACCAGAATATATAAGGAGCTCAAACATCCTAGTAAAAAACCACAAATAATCTGAATAAAAAATGGGTGATATCCAAATAGATATTTCCCAAAAGAAGACATACAAATGGCTAACAAGAATATTTAAAGATGCACAACATAACTAATTATCAGAGAAATGTAAATCAAAACCATAATAAGATACCATCTCACCCCATTTAGAATGGCTTTTATCAAAAAGACAAGGAATAAGAGATGCTGGCCAGGATGTAGAGAAAGGGGGAACCCTCATACACTATTGGTGGGAATGTAATACACTATTGGTGGGAATGTAAATTAGTATAGCCATTATGAAGAGCAGTAGGGAGGTTTCTAAAAAAACTGAAAATAGAGCTACCATGTGACCCAGCAATTCCACTATTGGGTATATATCCAAAAGAAAGAAAATCGCTATATATTGAATATATCTGTTCCACTGATTTATTTGTTTATCTTTGCACCAATGCCATGCTGTTTTGATTATGGTAGCCTTATAATAATTTTTGAAATCAGATGTTAGTCCTCTGACTTCTAACCTCTTCTTCAGGGTTGTTTTTGGGTATTCTAGGTCCTTCCTATTTCCATATGGATTTTAGGATCAACTTGTCAATTTATTTAAAAAAAAAATCCTGCTGGGCTTTTAGGTAGGATTGCTTTGATTCTGTAGCTCTTAGCTATTTTGCTTTACTGCTTTCCCAGGCCTCAGTTCACTCCTCTGCAAAGTGGAGATGTTAATTTCTGCATTGCAAGGCGATTGGGAAGTTCAAATGGGCTGATACGGTAAAAATTCTGACATAGTGCTTGAGCACAGTAAATGCTGAAAAATGTTGGTTCTTTTATACCTTGTCAGAATGCAAAACCCTGCATTTTAAACTGAACCTTTCCTATAGATTTCCCTCTGTCACTTTTGGAAATCCACCATAACATCCTGGTCAGCAGTGAATATGACCTTTATCCTCTTCTCTCTTTGAAGTAGTCTCAAAAGTAATGGCTTCAGCATCTGTCTTCAGTATCAATCACCATAACAAAATGTGGGCATAAATTCCAGTCATTATCCTGCTGGACTTCCACAAGTCACAATCTCCAGACAGAATTCTTCCTCTCTAGGTTTGATTCTTTCCAAAGTTATCTGAAACCCAATCTATTAGTTAGGAATGTTTTCATTGGCAAGTGACAGAAAATTTGGCTAATGGTAGCTTAGACAAATAGGGACTTATTTCATTCATGCAACAAAAAGATTGGAGGTGGTTTCTGGTGTTGGTTCAGCTGGTTAGCAATATGACCAGAATAAGAAAGAACTTCTCTTTTTCTGGTTTGCAATATTTAGTCTGATGACTTTCACCATGGAGCTTGTTTTCTCAAGGTTAGAAGATGGCTGCCAGGGCTCCAGACAACACAACACCTTAAGTTAGGAAGAAAGATGTGGGAGAAATGGAAGCTTTCTTAGAACACCTTGCCACTCAACAGACTCCACTTCTTTCACACTGTCCAGAATAGGCTCACATGGCCACTCCTAGCTGCAAGGGAGTCTGGGAATGCAGGGAACAGGATTATTGTAATCCATTACTCAGGGCTGGACACATTCTCACCCTACACAAAGCCAGGACTCTATTAACAAAGAAGATGTGAAGAATGGATAGGTAGTTAGTGGACAGTGTATTTTACATTTAGTTTTCATAGCTGAAAGTAGAGATAATAATGAGATTATTGTGGGGATTAAATGAGGTGATGTATAGAAGGTGCTTAGCACTATGCCTGGCCCATGTTAAGTACTGAATAAATGGAAAATATAATTTTTATTACAGATATCTTCCTTGAAAATACACAAGGAATTCCTTCACTGTCCAAAGAACCCATTTGATCCTCAGTGAAATTAGCTCCTCACTCTGTGCATGAAATCTTTCCAACACTCTCCTCCATCCCTGACCACAAGGTGTTGCTCCAGCAGATGTGGGAGATAATTCATTGTGTTCAAGGGGGTGGTGCTGTGGTAGAGAACAGGGCAGACAAGGCTCCTGCCCTTGTGGGCAACAGGTAATAAATACGCAAGCATGCAGATAAACAGGGGTGAATATAATTAGTGATGAGGCTATGCAGGAAATACACTGGGTGAGCAGCTGTAGCCACTGGAGGAAGACTCTGTGACCAGAAATCCTGGGAAGGCCTCTCTGAGGACACACTGATTGAACTGAATCTTGAGGGATAAGCGGGTGCCTCCAAGGGAAGCCAAGAAAACAGCAACAGCAAAGACCTAGAGCTGTTATGAGGGTGGGTGCTCATGAAGAGGCTAGAAGGGGGTCAGATGGCCAGGAGCCTAACAAGAGTGGAGGAAGAGGAGGTATGAAATGTTGCAGAAAAGGACTAAGAGATGCAGTTTTGGAGGCCATGTGATATGGTTTGGCTGTGTCCCCACCCAAATCTCATCTTGAATTGCAGCTCCCATAATTCCCACGTATTGTGGGAAGGACCCAGTGGGAGATAATTGAATCATGGGGGCGGGTCTTTCCTGTGCTATTGTCATGACAGTAAATAAACCTCATGAGATCTGATGGTTTTATAAAAGGGAGTTTCCCTGCACAAGCTCTCTTATCTTGTCTGCCACCATGTAAGATGTGTCTTTTACTTTCTGCCATGATTGTGAGGCCTCCTCAGCCACATGGAACTGTGAGTCCATTAAACCTTTTTCTTTTGTAAATTGCCCAGTCTTGGGTATGTCTTTATCAGCAGCATGAAAATGAACTAATACACCATGGTAAGGAGTTTAGATTGTGTTTCAAGTGCAACATGGAGCCATCAATTAATTTTTAGCATAGGACAGATACGAGCTGATTTAAATTTTCAGATGGTCATTTTTACTGCTAATTCATTCATTCAACCACTATTTAATGAGTGCCAGGCAAAGTGCTAAGCACCAGGAAGAGAAATAAGATAGTGAGCAAAACAGAAAAATCTCTGCCCTTGTGAGTGATCAACCATCCCAGTTTTCCAGGAATTTCCTGGGACATAGTAATTTCAGTGCTAAAATAGGGACAGCCGTGGGCAAACTAGGGTGGTCACCCAACATGGAGCGTACATTATCTCTACTAGACACAGAAAATAAGCAGAATAAACAAGTAAATTGTATCATACGTTTGACAGTGATAAGTATGGGGATCTGAAAGTTTGAGTCAGGGGTGATGTTTTAGATAAGGTGACTAGGGGAAGTTTTCCTCAGAAAGAGCACTAGCAGTACAAATATTTGGGGGAAGAGCACTTCTGGGAGAGGGAACAGTCAATGCAAAGTCTCTGGGGCCAGTGTGTGCCTGCTGATGTTTGCAGAGCCGTAAGGAGGGCAGTGTGGCTGGAGCAAACCATGTGGGGGCCAGAGTATTAGGGAGGAAGTCAGAGAGGTAGGGGACCAAAGACAGGTTATGTAGGGCCTTGCAGAGCACCATAAGGACTTCAAATTTTCTCCGAGATGGCAGCTGTCAGAGGTTTGGAGCAGAGAAGTGACATGGCTTGACCTTTCACTCACGAGTATTGCTCTGGCTGTGTTGAGAAAAGCATGAAGGAAGCAAGTGCAGAAGCAAAGGGAGCAGTCAAGAAACTACAGCAGCCACCTGTAGGTGGGAGAGGTGCTGGGGACTTGGCCAGGGAGAAGCACATTCTGAAGGCAACATCATCTGTGTGGGTTGAACGTGGTGTGGATGGTGAGGGAGACGGTGGGTGAAAGGGGATCCTTTGCCTCTGGTTTGAGCAAGTGGGTAGAAGGAAGGGCCACTGATGAGATCAGGCTTGGGTTAGGGGTAGGGAAACAAGACTTCTATTTGAAGAAGTGTGTGAGATGTGCAAGTGGAGATATTGGAGGAAGAGAGTGCTGTGGGAACTCGGGACTGCTTGGAACTTAAGGGACAGCTGTGGACTGGAATGTAAGTTAGGGAATCCTTAGCAAATGCATGGTATTTAAAGCCATGGGGATGGGGAATGTAGAGAAGACAGACTGAAATATTGCTCCCAATTCTTTGCTCCCTGATAATACATACCTTTGCCACTATTTCGTGATGGATGGAGTGAACATTACCCTCTTTGACTTTGGATTGGGCCAAGTGACTTATTCAGCCAATAGGATGTTAGCAGATGTGACACTTGTGTAGTTTGGCTTGGCAGTTCATGCCTCTGACAAATCTTTCCTTTTCTTATTCAAGGTCTTCAAATTCTGTCCTTCGGCCCTTGCTAGACAAGGCGAGGGGATGAGAATAGTGCTTTGTGTCAAATAGTGATAACAGGGGTGCACAGCATTTCAGCGGGCCTGGAACACTTTTCTCATTTAGTCCTAATGAGCTCATGCTGTAGGTAGTCTTACACTAGTTTTACTGAGAAGGCAACCAAGGTTCAAAGAGAAAAAGAGTCTTGCACCAGGTCCCACAGCTGGCAGGAGATGGAAACCTAGGCCTTCTTGGGGCCAAGCAGGAACAGAAAAGCAAACACTGCTATCTGGGAACAGGGTGGAAGGGAGACTTGTTTTTCACTGAATAGCCATTTGTTCCTTTTGAATTCTGTAACAGGTATATGTGTTACACACAAACACACACACACACACACACACACACACACAGAAAAAGAGGAGAGAGAGAGAGAGAAGGAATAATATGTGATATTTACAAATATAGAGAAAGAACCCATCTGCGAACTGAAGGGTATGGTGAAAGGGAAGCAGAGAAGCACATTTTCCCCCCGTTTTTCCAGTTCTGTCCAAGAGTGGAGATCTGAGGTACAATATACTACCCACTTTCCAGTTCTGATTTCCAGTTGTGATTTCATCCTCACCAGGCCTCCCTTTGGATAGAGAATTATGGGCTGGAAGCACCAAGAGTTCTAAGGAGGAGAGCCCCAGTCTGCACGGAACTCTGCCCAGCCTTGTTAGAGTGTGCTTCTTGGGATCTGGAGCCTCTGGGGTGCTGGCACTCCCGTTCTTGGCGGCAGGGTCAAGAAACTGAGCAGGAGTTGGGGCTACTGCCCCAGGTAACCCCACTGAGGTGTCCGTCTGGAGAAGCTTTACCTGAGATACCAGCCCCAAATCTCCCACGTTGAGCCCTGACAGTTCTCTTTGCATGGAAATGGCTGTTAGTAATAGCTCAAATTGAGTGTGGGTCTCTTTTGTTTTAAATCCACAGAGAGATAAAGTTCACAGCTGTCCATAGCTCCTCCCATCTTTTTGCCTTGGCTTTCCCATCTATAAAAAGATGTGATGTGCTTGTTGTTTGTGTGTATGGGCGGGGGGGTGGGGGGGCGGCGGGGAGGGGAGGGCACAGTGAGATGAAGGAAAGGTTCTCAAACAGGCTGGGGAGATAGATACCTAGGAAGGAGGGAGGATTCGAATCTGCGGATCAAGGTTGTAGTTTGAAAGGCAAGCTCCACAATGACCATAGCTTTGTTTTATTTTCTTTTCGGTCGGGATATATTAAAACATTTTTAACTTTCCACTGACATGAAAGGAGGGTGTGTGATATTCAACAAATATGGGTACAGACTTCTGGGGGCAGCAGGCTGGCTGGTAGGACTTGAAAGGGCTGCATTTGCCATTTCAGAAAAGAGAAACTCTTCTTTCAACCCAGCATCCCAAGAGGCCCGGACAATGGGTATAAATTCGGAGGATCAGACGTGCAGGCAGACAAAACCAACATCTGCATTTGAAACGGGCTCCCGGGGCTCTTCAAGGAGGCGAGCGGCCGCTGCAGGGCTCCTCTAGGCCAGATTACATCCCAGAACGCCCAGGCAGGACGCTCCGGCTCAGATTGTGAACCCTGGGACTCTGCGTCCAGGAGGGGCCCCTAAACCCTGCGCTAAAAGCCAGAGGTCCGGGGAGCAGGCGGATGCCCTCAGACTTGGCTATTTTGCTTAAGGTCACCTCCAAACGGGACTGGAATAAACCCTCCTTGTTTGCCTCTCGCCAGGCCTAAGCCCCGGGTCCCCTTGGGTGTCGTCCAGGACGCCAGGCGCGGCTGCTTACAATGGCTCTCAGACGACAGATGGCGGGCAGGAAGGGAGGGGGCGCCGGGCAGGTGCGCGGGGGAGACGCGCCGCGGCAGCGCCGGACGCCAGGCTGCAGGGTGAATAGATTTGCAGCCCGCCGGCTGCAGGCGGCGGCCGCCGAGCCCTGCAAACAATAAGTGAATTCTCCGAAGCGACTGAAACCCCCCGGGCTGGGCCACGCGCCAGCCGGGGAGGGCGGACCATTGTGCTGCGCAGGCTGAAGCTGGCCCATTCCGTTGCGCGCGGAGCCCCCAAGGGCCCTGGGCCCGTGTCGGGGGCCAAAACCGAGTGTGCGATCGGGTACACAGCAGACTTTAGAAAGAAGTGGCGTCTGGTGTTGACTGATGAGCTCAATATCATAAGCCACCCGGGTCTGGGAGACCCAAGCGGGGCAGGCACTTAGAGTCCTGAGTCGGAGTTGGGAGCGAGAGCTGCAGCCCTGCCCTGCCACTCGGCAGGAGGGGTGGGGTGGGGGGCAGTCGGTGGGCTCCCTGAGCTGCTATGGAGAGGGCTCACCTTCACCACGTCCCTCTGGTTGTCAGGCTTTTACAACTACTGTGATGGGCTGTATCCCCTCTTTGTGCTTGATGTTTTATTTTAAACGAAATGAGTCAGAACTGGTAAGGCCGGTGGCCTGAAAGCAAGCCCTTTCTGATCATCCCTCTGGCCTGAAGCTTTCCTGAGGCCAGGAAGGCATTCTTGGGAGTCCTCAGTTAAGTGTAGTGTTGGGCCCTTAGGGAAATCATCTGCATCTTCTGGAGACATTGAGCAACTGGGCGAGTCCACTGCAGATGGAGGCAAGACCTCCCGGCACAAAGTGCCAGACTGTGTGTTGCTGAAGAGCCAATGGCAGCCCGAGTGACCAGGGCTGTGAATGTTGAAGGTCTGTGTGTGTCTGTGGCTTTGAGAAGAATAGGTGTGCTAGATGGGCCTTTAAGAAGTGCCACAGTGACCTTCCTCCCCTCACCCACACATTGTTGTGTAAATACTACACAACAAAGGAAACAAACATGCGGGGCTCTTATTTGGGGAGTAATACCCTCTAGTAAAGGCAGATTGGGCTCCAGACCCTCGCTCACCCAGATGCCTTTATGGAGGGGTTGCCTCCTGCAAGGAATCCCTTATCGTGGCTGCAATTCCTGTCCTGCCTTTCTCTAATAGCCCCATGGCTTTGTGTCCTTGCAATTGCTCAGCCGGACTGTTTCTAAAACATTATATGGTAACTCCTGCCTCCTTGTTTTTTTTAAATTATCTGTCTCTCTTCTGAGGTCTCTCCATGCCTATGCTATACATATGATATAGAGGTATGGCTTGTATAACCATGAAGAAGTCATTAAAACCAGTCATTTAACTAGTTTAATCATGATTATCATTCCTCCTTTTTTTCTTTAAAGCGATGCGTCACACCCTGTTAGGAGAAGATTCTGGTAACTCTGCTGTGAAGAGTAATAGAACACCAGAGTTGGAAGGGAAATTTCACATTTTTCTGGTGCAGTGTTTTCAGACTTTGTCATTCAAACATCACCTTTGTGAGTTCTGTAACATCAGGTACCACCTGTAATATTATTAATACTTTTCCATAAATCCAATTTTATACGTAAATTTCATTTTTAAAAAGTCACTTTAGAGGTGATTCTGGGGACATGGTAACTGGAATATGGTTTCCTTTCTTTCCACTTCCAAATGAATTTCTGTTCCTCTCAAGATAAACGGTTGTCGGAAACAGTAGAAAGAACAGAACTGGTAGTTCTTCCCCATCAGATCTGCAAATACTGAGGAGTCTCAAAGTAAAGTCTGAGAAGTGAGTGCTGGAGAGAGCTTGGACCCCAGAGACCAATGGAAGGTTAACATTGCACTAGATGAAGATACCTGGTCCCCTGCGCCCCATCCCAGAACTAAGAAGTTGTTGAACCAGGGGGCTAAGTTCCCTAGTTCCTGAGGTTGGGAGACCCTACAGAGCCCAGGTCAGAGAAGCCTTTTCCAGGTGCCTGCACAGGAGATGGGCAGTATCCCCGCATCTCTACATAGGACGGAGCTTTTCCCCTCCTTTTCCTCAATAGAACATCTGTCCTTTAGGGTGTTCCCATCCTCAGACCTGAACCCAGTGAGCTGGCAAAGAGAGGGCAGTCAGAAGGGACAAGCAAAACACACACCCAGTGACACAGTGGCTGAAAGAGACAGATGACAACATGAATTTAAAAAACAATTTTAAAAAGCCCCTGTAGATATGTAAATAGAGAAAAAAAAAAGACTTTACGAAGCTGTAAAAAAAATGTGATTTCCCAACTAAACAACTCATCAGATGACTTGAAAGAGAAAACGGTCACTACAATTGAGAGAGATGATTGGGATGGGAAATCAAGGTCAGCACTCAAGGGCACCTTAAAGCACAGAACAAAGATACAGAGATGTAAATTAGGGAAAAGATCAGTCTAGCAGGGTAGATCTAATGACCCAACATGCATGAATGGTAAGACTTCCAAAGGAGAAAAAGGAAGACATGAAAGAAATAATAAGCATAACAATAATTTTTAAAACCACCATTGTCCTGAGGCAAAGAAAGATGTGAGACTAAAGATGGGAGATTGAAAGAACTTGTTGATTTTCAGGCTGAATGGATAAGAAATGACCTAGACCTATTTCTAAACTCTAAGGATAAAGAGAAAACTGTTACAACATCCAGATAATTACTTTAACTTACCTAAAAAGAGAAAAGAATCAGACTGGCGTTAGACTTCCCTTCCAGTACTAGAAACTAGAGACCAGTGAAATAGACTCTATAGGACCACACCTGATCAAGTGATTCACTTGTTACGGAAAAAGAAAAATATTGAGGCTAATGTTATTTCATGAAAATATTCAAGAAAAGGTGTTCCCCCAGAATAAATGAACCAACCGAGAATAAACTGGAAAAGTAGAATGGAATTTTCAAATTAACAAGGGGAAAAATAGAAGCCAGCAAAAATAAGAAAAAGCAAAAAGAGGGAAGAAAACAATTACTGCCCATCCTTATTATTCTAGGATTCTGCATTTGTGAATACACCTACTCACTAAATTTTATTTGTAACCCTAAAAATCAATACTTGGAGAGCACTCATGATCATTTGTGGACATACACAAGAGCAGCGAAAAATTTGAGTCACTCAACAGGCACTTTCCCAGCTGAGGTTGAACAAGGCAATGCTCCACCTTCTTGTTTCACTTCTCATGCTGTAAATGACAGTTCTTTTCTCAGACTGCTTAGTGTCATCTTTGTGTGTTTTTTGCTGGTGACTTCTGTGAAAATTGATTATATAAACTGAGTCACTCTTGTCATATGCAACTATTAGGTTGGTGCAAAAATAATTGCTGTTTTTGCCATCACTTTTAATGGCTAAAGCAGCAATTACTTTTGCACCAACTTAATACATCAGCGTTGAGGGGCTGGGGGGAAAAGCACTAATAATTGCACATAGCACCAGCTCTAATAGTTGAATTTGCTGCAAGTCCAGTTGCTGAAATAGCCTGTAGTAACTCTAAGACGAGTTTTACCTAGTAGCTGCTGAAACAACCTGTCTTGACTCAAAGATTTGTTTTATCTGCCTCCTTCACTCACCCATCAGAGCTTGCCAGTTCCCAAAAGCTTCTCTAGCAATGAGCTGTTTTCAAAACAGTAGGTATCATGGCTTTTTCTAGTAAGACCCCCAAACTTCCGTTTGTTTTTCAGACATACTGAAGGCCATCCCAGTCTGTGCGTATGCTCTGAATTGCAATTCTGTGCTTCCTAAATAAAACGCTGAATTTAAAGATTCATTGCTATGTTTTATTTTGACTTTCACATCTCCTTAAAAATGGCCCCCAAGTGTAGTGCTGAGGTGCTGTCTAGTGTTCCTGTGTGCAAGAGGCTGTGATGAGCCACGTGGAGAAAACACACATGTTAGACAAACTTTGTTCAGGCATATGTTGCAGTGCTGTTGGCTGTGAGTTCAATGTTAACAAGTCAATGATATATATTAAATAAGGTGTCTTTAAGCAGAAACACACCCACGACAAAGTTACGCATTAATTGGTTGATGAAATGTAACCCAGAGAGTCACAGAAACCTAACCCTCTATTTCTCCTAGGAGGAATGGTTCAACATTCACTATTTAGCATTTTCAGTGACTCTGTAAAACAAAACCGCTGTGAATAATGACAAGCGGCTGTCTTAATACACATAAAGTAGGATGGAAGGAAGATTATTCAGTAAATTAACTACGTCCTTAAATGTGGCTGAACTAAATACTTCAGTTTTTTTAAGGCCTTATAATGTTTACAAGAAATATCTAACACGATGTGATGATAAAATGGTTAAAAATAAGAGTGTCTATAAAGAGGTATCTTTTTGATAACTTTTTTTAGACAAAAGAATGTAATAGACAATTAATCGGCAATATTAATCAGACAAGTTGGAATTTAAGGCTAAAAGCATAAAAAGATTAAGGAGGGAAATTGTGACATGAATAGAGCATAATAAACATAAACTGGTGTGCAACAGACAGCATAGCAAGCAGCTAAATAGATAAAAAAAGATACGACTACTAAGTGTGATAAAAACACAGATATATAGAGAGAATTTTAATACAATTCTCATAACTAAAGGGATCAGATTGAAAAATTGATAAGGCATTGTCAAAAAATTATCCAAAACTTAAAAATAAGGCAGACATTTGGTTATCATGTCTTTCCAAAGTCATATGGGGCACTGAGCCATCCAAAGGATATTTAGTGATTTAGGGTGAATGTACTTTAGTCAACCCATTCCTTATTATTGATTAAAGATCTTACACATAGAATGGTTACATTTTAACCTGTATATTTTTGTCTAGTAAATATTCAAATAATTTCTGACTTGTAGAAAAGATAACCTTAAAGGTTAAGATTTATTGCCTTATAGAACATTAACCAGTTTTGTACCTAATCAGACAATCTTACTGCAACATTCCTTCATTAAATTTCCTTTAAATATCCAGTCCTCAAATTTCCTTTGAATCATCTTTCTTTCTTTCTTTTTTTTGGAGATCAAGTCTTGCTCTGTCACCCAGGCTGGAGTTCAGTGGTGCAATCACAGCTCACTGCAGCCTTGAATTCCTAGGCTTAAGTGATCCTCCTGCTTTGGCCTCCAAGTAGCTGGGACTATAGGTATGTGCCACTACACCTGGCTGTCATACTTTTAACTTTTTGAAAATTATACTTATTCATAAAGAGGAATCAACTAATATATTCAATTCCTCAATTCAATAGCCAAACAGAATCTTCATTTTTTTGAGTAAATTGTATATATTCATGGAACAATTGCAAAAACTTAGCTTGTACTTGATGAAAACTTTAACACATTTTATTAAGTACCTGTTTTATGAACTACATTCTCTGATCATAATTCAATAAAATCAGTCATAAGTAGTTAAGGGGTGACCAAAAAATCAAATCCATCAGAAAATTAGGAAACATGCTCTTTGAAAACGTTTGTATGTCATCAGGGAACTGCAAATTAAAACAGCTACAAGGTAACTGTTAGAAAGGCCAAAATCCAGAACACCGACAACACAAATACTGGTGAGGATGTGGACTAACAGGAACTCTCTTATTCATTGCTGGCAGGAATGGAAAATGGTACAGCTACTTTGGAAGAATTTGGCGGTTTCTCAAAAAACTAAACATACTCTTGCCATACAATTCAGTAACTTAGTATTTACCCAGATGAGTTAAAAACTTCTGTGCACTCAAGAACTGCCACATGGATGTTTATAGCAGCTTTATTCATGATTGATAAAATTCGAGAGCAAACAACTTGTCCTTCAGTAGGTGAATGCATAAATAAACTGTGATACATCCAGAAAGTGGAATACTATTCATGCTAAAAATAAATGACCCATTAAGCCAAGAAAACACATGAAAGAATCTTAAATGCATATTTCTAAGTGAAAGAAGGCCATCTGAAAAGACTAAGTACTGTATGATTCCAATTATTTGGCGTTCTAGAAAGGCAAAACTGGAGACAATGAAAAGACCAGTGGTTCCTAGGGGTTGAGGGGAGGGAGGGATGAATAGGCAGAGTACAGAGGATTTTTAGGGCAGTGAACTATTGTGTATGACACCATAATGGTGATGCATGTCATTACACATTTGTCCAAACTCATAGAATATACAACACCAAGAGTGAACCCTAATGTAAACTAGGGACTTTGGATGATAATGATGTGTCAATGTGGGTTCAGAGATTGTAACAAATGTAGCACTTTGGTGTGGGATGTTGACAGTGGTGGAGACAGCCTTGGCGGGGCAGGGATGGGATGGAGCAGAGGGTATATAGGGACTCTGTACTGTTCTCTCAATTTTTATCTGCAATTTATATATATATATATATATATATTTTTTTACCCAATATTTCCAATATTTGTTGTGTGTATATATATGTATGTATATATATATTATATATACCCAAAAAATGAAGACTCTATTTGGCTATTGAATTGAGGTAATTAAATATATTAGTTGATTCCTCTTCATGAATAAGTATAATTTTCAAAAAGTTAAAAGTATGACAACCAGGTGTAGTGGCTCATACCTACACACACACACACACACACACACACACACACACACACACAAATAATGGGTAAAAACAATTGAAAGTTATATTATAAACTATCTAGAGTGCAATGATCTATTTCAATCATACCAAAACCAGTAGAACACAATGAAAGCTTCACTTACAGGAAATTTTATAACTTAAAGTGCCTTCATTATTTAAGAAGAAAAATGAAAAATAAAGGAACTAAATATTAATGTTATTAATTAGAAAAGCAAAATAAACCAAGAGAAATAAAAAACTGGATCTTAGTTGTAAAGAGAAAAGAAACAAGAAAAAGGGAATTAAAAAAGATCAAAATTGAAATCAGTAAAGTAGAAACAAACAAAAAAATGATCAAAGGACAAAGAAACTTCAGAATGGGTTTTTTGAAAACGTGAATGAAATAAATCTTTTCACAAACTTGATCTTAATCCTTAGACCAAAGGAAGGAGAGTGCAAAACCATGACTAGAAAGGAGAAAGGAAACATAACTGCAGATGAGATTAAAATAATTATAAAGAATATTGGGGCTGGGCACTGTGGCTCACACCTGTAATCCCAGCACTTTGGGAGGCTGAGGTGGGCAGATCACCTGAGGTCGGGAGTTCGAGACCAGCCTGACCAACATGGTGAAACCCTGTCTCTGCTAAAAATACAAAAATTAGCCAGGCATGATGGTGCACACCTATAATCCCAGTACTCAGGAGGCTGAGGCAGAAGAATTGCTTGAACCTGAGAGGCAGAGGTTGGAGTGAGCCAACAGTATGCCACTTCACCCCAGCCTGGGCAATACAGTGAGACTCTATCTCAAAAAAAATTAAATAAAATAAAATAATTATAAAGAATATTACACATAAGTTTTCAATAACAAATTTAAAAACTTAGAGAAAATGGATAATTTTCTGGAAACAAATTTCCAAAATTGGTCCTAGAAAAAGTATAAAATTTGAAAAGACCAATTCCTACCAATTACCATGATAGGAAATGTGGTAAAATATCTACTACTGAAGAACATACTAGTATCAGATGGGTTAATGGCTGAGTTTTTGTGTTTTTCTTTTTGATCTTTAAAGAAAATCAGCCCATTGAAAAAGAGAGAATGTTTCCAATTCATTTAATAAAGCTGACTGTATTAGTGAGGTCCTGCTGCAAGAATGCTACATAACAATCTTAAACAAACAAACAAACATACAAAATCTCAGTGGCTTTTCACACAGGCTACGGGTCTGTCCATCATCCAAAGCTTGGCTGGGCTTGGTTAGACTTGGCTTCAGGCTACAGGTTGGGGTTACTTCTGGTCCACATGCTGTCTCCAGAGAAATGGTCTTCTCAAGGAGAAGGATAACACTGTAAGAAGTCAAGCCAAACCAAGGCTGAATGTGACATCTGTTGTGTTTGCTCACATTACACTGGCCAAAGCAACTCACAAACTATCAGTGGACTGGGGGTGTATACTCCATCCTTAATGAAGCCACAGCAAAGGTGGGAGTTGGAGGCCAGGGGAATGAAAGAACTGTAACTGTACAATAATCCTATTTAGTAGCCTGTCTAACCAGAAGACCAAACTTTACTTTTTAATGTAATTGCAAAAACTCTAAATAAATATGTTATCAAATAATAGAAATGTTCTCTATCTTGACCTGAGTAGTGGTTACATAATTGTTTCCTCACTTATGATTTGTGCTTTTTCTGTAAGTATGATATTCAACAAAAAGTCTAAAAAGTACACTAGAAAATTAAATCTAAGCCCAGACAACTGACAGGTGACCCACAGACCTGTGAGTAAGAACTAAATGGTTTGTTGTTGAAAGTCACTGAATTTTTTTAACAGCAGCTTGCTAAAAGGTAAGCTTCATGAGGTCAGAAATTTTATATTTTTTTCACTGTTGTGGATATAAACAATGCCTACAATATAGTAAGCAGTCCACAAATATTTGTCACTAGCAAAGAAAGTAACAAATAAATACCAGCAAAATATTTAAAAAAGTATTTTGACCAAACAGATTTTTTTCTAAGCAAAAATGTCAGGAACTCCATTCAACATAATTTATTACATTAGCAAGTTAAAGGCGAAAGATCATATGATCATATTAACGGATACTGCAAAGACTTGGTAAAATTCAATAGCCATCCTAAAAAAATCATACTAAAATAGAAGTAGAAAGAAAACTAAATATTTAAAAAGACTATTTGTCAAAATCCAATGGGAAATGTTATTAAATAGGGAAACACTGAAATAATTTCAATTAAAGTTAGGAACTTGACAGGGATGTCTGCTCTCACCACTACTGTCCAACATCAATTTGGAGGTTCTAACAGATGCAATAATAGGAAAATATTAAATGATTGTTATAAACAAAATTAAAACTATATATCTTTTTCTGGTTATGTTACAGTTCACGCGGAAAATCCAAAAGATTTTAAAGAAAAAAATCTGCTGGAATTAGTAAGATAATTTAGAAGATGGCTTGACAGATAATATATCTGTCAAAATCGTTTTCCCTTATTTCCACAAAAAGCATCTAGATATAGAAGCAGAAAATGTTTTTCATTACAAGGGTGGCAAATGTTACATGGTGCCTAGAATAAATTTAGCATAAAAAAAACCCAGTCGGCCAGGAGCAGTGGCTCACACCGGTAATCCCAGCACTTTGGGAGGCTGAGGCAGCCAGACCACCTGAGGTCGGGAGTTCGAGACCAGCCTGACCAACATAGAGAAACCCCATTTCTACTAAAAGTGCAAAATCAGCCGGGCATGGTGGCACATGCTTGTAATCCCAGCTACTTGGGAGGCTGAGGCAGGAGAATTGCTTGAACCTGGGAGGCGGAGGTTGCGGTGAGACGAGATCGCGCCATTGCACTCCAGCCTGGGCAACAAGAGCGAAACTCCATCTCAAAAAAAAAAAAAAAGCAAGCAAAAGAAAACAACACACACACAGTGTATTTGTAGAAAACTATAAAATCTTATTGAAAAATATAACATATTCTTGTTTGGGATGGCAATATCGTAAACTATTAATTCTCCATCATTAAAATATAAATTTAATGGTTAATTTTTCATAGGAATATTTGAATGGGATAAATGCTTTTAATGATTATAAAGATTAAACTGTATATAAATAGGTGAGGTATCTTTAGCAGGTAACAAAATGTAATACAAAGTCAGTGTAGTCAAATTACTATGGTATTGGCATAGGAATAGACACAGAAAAGTGGACCAGATTAGGCAGGCAGTCTATGAATAGATTCCAGATTATACGAGAATTTATTATGAATATATTTATTATTTATTCAGTGGGATATGAAATAGGTTATTGGCACTACAGGCTATCTATCTGGAAAAAATAAAAGTTGTACAGTACTTCTTCTATCGTATCAAAAAAATAAATTTAGATTGATCATACAAAGCAAAGAAATTCCTGCAAAAAAATCTAGATCACTCTTCATACAATTTAGGATAGTCCTTCTTAACCAGCACTAGCTAGAAAAGATAGACATATTTGACTGTACATAGAATGTAAAGCTTTTGCATGGCTAAAGTACTTCGAATAACAGATTATTCCAATATATTCTTAAAAAAATTTAACATAGCCAGGCACGGTGGCTCACACCTGTAATCCCAATAGTTTGGGAGGCTGAGGAAGGTGGATCACAAGGCCAGGAGTTCAAGACCAGCCTGGCCAACATGGTGAAACCCCGTCTCTAGTAAAATACAAAAATTAGCTGGGTGTGGTGGCAGGCACCTGTAATCCCAGCTACTCGGGAGGCTGAGGCAGAAGAATTGCTTGAACCTGGGAGGTGGAGGTTGCAGTGAGCCAAGATTGTGCCACTGCACTCCAGCCTGGGTGACAGAGTGAGACTCTGTCTCAAAAAAACAAAATAAAACAACAAAAATAAACGGCCAGGCGCGGTGGCTCATACCTGTAATCCCAACACTTTGGGAGGCCGAGGCAGGCGGATCACCTGAGGTCAGGAGTTTGAGAACAGCCTGACCAACATGGAGGAACCCCATCTCTACTAAAAATACAAAATTAGCTGGGTGTGGTGGTACATGCCTGTAGTCCCAGCTACTCGGGAGGCTGAGGCAGAATAGCTTGAACCCAGGAGGCAGAGGTTGTGGTGAGCCAAAATACAGTGCCATTGCACTCCAACCTGGGCAACAAGAGCTAAATTCCGTCTCAAAAAAAAAAAATTAATATAATTGCCAAAGAGTCATATCTACAATATACTAAGCGCTTTTACAAATTGATAAGTAAAAGATGACCCAAAAGAAAAAAAATGGGCAAAGGATATGAAGAGGAAGTTTAGAATGACCAAGAAACAAAAGAGAAAATGTTGAAAAACACCAACCATCAAGGTAACGCAAACTAAACTAAAAAATAAAATCTTACTTTTGCTCATTTGACGAGCAAAAATTAAGAAGGTATAGCATGGATTGCTGGAGGAGGTTGAGGAAAGAGGCACTATCCTACGGACCTGGTGGAAATGTGACTTGCTATAGGTTTTTGGGAATATAATCTATGAACATCTATTAAAATAAAAATACAGTTCCCCTTTGACCAGAAATCCCATTCCTGAGGATCTATCACTTAGAAATTGAACAATGAATGTGTCAAGGCATACATGTGAGAATGTTTCTAGCAGCATTGTTTATGAAGGGCAAGAATCAGAATCAGTGTGAATGCATGATACATAGGAAGGATGGTTGAAGTAATTGTGATACATCTACACCATAGTATATACACGGTACATATGGCTTCTAAAGATGAATAAGAGCCATAGCAGTGGACTTGGAAGATTTCTGAGAGTTTTTTTTGAATGAATAAAGCAAAATGCAGGATAGTGTGTACAACATGATTTCATTTTTTTGTGAGAGCAAAGAGTGCCGAAGTTTATATGTATAAATTTGTTTAAGCCAAAGAAAACCACCGTAATTTTTTATATAAAGAAAAGAAACCCCTCCAATTCTCTGCTAATAGTCAGAGGTGTTTATCTGTACTCAGTTTATTTCTGCTGTTTAAGTGAGAGTTCATTTGCAGAGCACATGCCCAATTTGATCACCTTTAATACAACATTTGCAGGTACCATATGTTTCTTTGGTTTGACTCTTCCAATATCTGGGAAGGTTAATCCAGAGATGTTTACTTAAAACACACTTTCCACCCCAATTTTTGCTCTTCTCTCCCAGTGAAAAAATGAACACACTTTTTAATGAAAAAATAAAAACTAAAAAGGAAACTATATTTTCACTGTAAGTAGAAAACCAGTAGTACCAAAAATAAATAAAAGGTAGAAGAAAAAAATTAAAATAATAAAATCAAAATGATGTTATTCAATCCCAACTCCTACTGCCAGCAGAGGCTAGGACCTAAGACCTGCTCTATCTGTCACAAAAGGAGATTAGAAAGCATTAGAAACATATGAGAGGCCCACCAGCACCAAATTGAGACTTTCTCCCCTATAGTATCAAAGGACGGAAAGAGAGTTGCAAAGGAAGTAATTCTTTCAGTGTCTACTTCACTGTCATTTGATGCCCTGCTCATATGCCACCTGAAATCCCTGGTGGCATAGCTTTAGCACCCAGGAAAATGCTGAGAAATCAAATGTTGATTTTGTCTAATTCTTATTTCTTCAATTAATAAACCAACCCCAGAAGGGTGTGGTTCTTCCTGCAAAGGCAAACATCTGGATGATGGTGTGTTCTTTCTGCCACATCAGGCTGGTTCTTCCTGAAAAGGCTGAATTCTTTGTAGACATTTTAAAGAAGAAGCAAAATCAGGAGATGACATAGATGAGAACAGAACATTTGGTTCTATTCTTGGCTGGTCATGAAAAATAACTCCTCATTCCTCTCCTTTCACTCACTTAGAAAAATACTCTTATTTATATGAAAGTTAAAATAGATGTTCAGGTGGTAGCATGGAATATATAAATGTCCTTCGAGGAGAAAAATGTCCATCAAGAAACCATTTAAAGTGCTTTGTCTTGTTTCTCAAGGCAGGGAAGGAATGTAAGAATAGAACTCACGGAAGCAAGTGTTCCAAATAGAAGAGTGATGGCAGGGTAATTATAATGGGGTGGGTAATTATGGTTTTCCAGGAAGTGCCAAAATTACAGGGCAAAGTGTCATTTTCATGTTAGATCCTCCTGAGAAAAATAATACAGGCATTTGTCATCTGGGCACACCTGGGTGCCTTGTCCAGGGTGAAGACAGATTTGTTTCAGGGTCTTGTGGCTGCCCTTCTCCCTCCTTCAGCACCCTGTCACCTGACCTAAGAAGTGGCCATCCATGACTTGCCCTGCCTCCCTGACTCTATAGTGAGGTGACACTATTCACCAGTCCCTTGTCTGCCTTCTCTCTGGCTCCAAGATGAAATGGTGGGAAAGTCAACACCGATGAGGTCATGGAGAGCAGGCAGCCTGAAAGAGCAGATTCTCCTTCCCCTCCCCTCTGCACAAAGGCAACCTTTCATTCCCTTGGAAAAACCCACCGTGGCCCTCTCGTGAAGAAACTGCCATCCCCAGGACTCCTGTTTACTTAGCTCTCACCTGGGAGGCCAGAGCTGGCTGACACAGATGCCACACTTTTAAAGCCATATTGACCTCAAGTTGGCAGAGTGGAAAAGTAAGAGTTTGTGTGAGGGGCCGCCACGGGGAAGGCCCATGGAATTTTCCTGCATCCATTTTGACTGCAACTGTAGCAGCTGCTTCACACGCAGTTGTTTTGATGTGAGGACCTTTCGACTCAGCCTAAAATCCAACCATTAAACTTTAGGCTTAAAAAAAAAGACCAAGTACGTAGACATTCTTTCCTGAGCCTCACCCCTAAGTAGGTTGAGAGTCAGGACTGGAGTAAAGGTTATGAGAGTCTGTTTTGTATGTTGACTGATTATTTTAAGAAACAGTGTTTTATGCTTTGACATAACCTGTCAAAATGTCAAGAAGGTAGCATCTGAGTGGGCACAGCCAAACATCCAGCTTCTCATCCAGCCTACACCTGCCCTCTCACACACCACCCCCTCTCTCATATTGCCTGCTGCATCGACACAGTGTAAACTCCTTAGAGGCATGCAATGCTTCCTCTGAATCTCCAGCAGGTATATAGCTGCTCAGTGAGTACTCATTTGACTGATAAAATAAAATATACTGATGTTGTTAGGACTTTCCCCATCTCTGAAAAGCAAAGCAAAGAAACAAAGAAAGATCCCTAGACCAGTGGTTTCTCCAAACTCTTTGACCACAACTTATAATTAAAAAAAACAAAACAACCATTTAATTTTGCAACCCAGGAAGTAGAGCCTCTCTCTCTCTCCCTCAATCTCTCTCTCTCTCTCTCTCTCAGACACACACACACACACACACACACACCATTGATATAAAAGTTTAATGGAGAACAAAGAGAAGGTATGGTTATCAGAACCTAGATGAAGCTGGTTCTAGGAATTTGTAAAGAAATTGGGGGCTGGAACCCAATGCTGCTGCACAGGGCAAGGCCCATTTCTAAGACAGAAAGCAAAAAGGAAGGAACAAGTTCTACCTTTATCTAGCACCTCCTGTTAGTGAAGCCCAACAGAGACCAAGTTAGCTAAAGGAAGATGCAGTGTGTGGAGTCCTACTCCCAGCATCAAAAAGAGCATAAGGAGATGAATGTGCAGCAGAGAGATAATGACATAATGACCAACAGAGTCTACCTCTTTAGCTACTGAACACCGATATACACACCCTTTTGTTAATACTTCAACTTCCATATAACAATTACAACTGTATGCTTCCATATAATAAGATCCAACTCTCTGTTCTTCATAAGAACAAAGATGCTCTCAACCTCTATCAAAATCAGGATACAAAACATCCCCCCGTTATTGTAACCATCTCTGGGTAGTAGTCATAGAACCTACCTCTGGGTGATGTTAATTATTTCTCTAATTCTGTCATAGTCCTACCCAATTACTTCATAACCTAAGACCAAATTTTACAGGTAACTACCAATGGCAATCCTCACATAAAATAAAAATGGGAGGAAGAATGGAGGAATACACACACGCACACACACACAAGCATAGCTGCTACAGTCTCAGATGGCTGGGGTTCTTGACCTGATGGGCTGACCCAAACCTTTGTGCCTAGGTGGTCTGAGTCCTCAGTGGCCCTGATGTGTTTTTGGTTGTTGAAATTTTTCATTAACTTTTACCGTCTTATGCTTCCATATAATAAGATGCAATTATCCTTCAGAAAAACAAAGATGCACTCAACCTCCATCAAAATCAGGATACAAAACATCCTACCTTTCTGGTATCCATCTCTGGGCAGTAGTCATAGGACATGGACATAGATATACCAAGAAGCACCCTAGGACATCCTCTGAGTTCCAGGCATAGTGCCCCTTACCATAGTGCTACCATGTGTAGCAATAACCCAGTTTCCCCTTGGTAATCAGGATCAGTCATCCTAGCCTGTAAAGTAACCCCTTTTTCTGCCTGCTGGCTCAGTAGCACAAGGATCCCCAAATGGCCACATGGCAGTCCCATCTTCCATTCTAATGGAATCAGTGTTTGTGTCTCCTGGTAGAGTGCCCTCCCTTTGGGGACTAAGACCTCCAAACCAGCAGGGCTCTAAGTTGGGATGGGAAGCAACATTGCTGATGGATTATTGGCTGTAATAGTGAGAGGAGTCACTCATACTTCTGCCCTTGATTCCCAGACTTCAGTATCTTGGCTATGGGGAAAGCAGCATCATATACTCGTTGTTGAGTCAAAGCCTATGCTGGGTGTTTTCTCCCAACTGGAGCTGTGACTGGGTTTTCAGCAGGCCCTTCCACTATCCTATCTGGCCTGCTGCTTCTGGGTGATGGGGCATGTGGTAAGACCAGTGAATCCCAAGGGCACAAAGCCTTTGCTATACTTCTTTTGTTGTCAAGTAAGTTCTTTCTATAGCTAGTGATACAGTTTGGATATTTGTCCCCACCAAATCTCATGTTGTAATGTAATACCCAGTGTTGGAGGAGGGACCTGGTGGGAGATGATTGGATCATGTGGGTGGATTTCTCATCAATGGGCTAGCACCATCCCCCTGGTGTTGTCCTCACAATAGAGAATGATTTCTAGCAAGATCAGGTTGTTTAAAAGTGTGTGGCACTCTCCCCCTCTCCTTCTCTTGCTCCTGCTCTCTCCATGTGAGACACCTGCTCCCCTTTCCCCTTCTGCCATTACTGGAAGCTTCCTGAGGTCCCCCTAGAAACTGAGCAGATGCCAGCACCATGCTTCCTGTAAAGCCTGCAGAACCATAGGCCAAGTAAACCTCTTTCTGTATAAATTACCTAGCCTGAGATGTTTATTTATAGCAACATAAGAATGGCCTAATACACCTGGGTTCTTAAGAAGATGAATAGAAAAGCTGGAGGGTGGGGTGGAAATCATGAGGTTGTGTCCCACTTCCTGCAAGAAAAAGCCTATGTCCCTTGATCCTACATTCAAGGCCCTTTCTCTCCCAGAAAAGCCATCCTTTCTAGCCCTGGCCACTTTCCCTGTACTAATTAATCTCACTTCTGCCTGTGGACACCTCTGCTCTCAGGACTACTGTCTCCTGGGCCTCACTGCCACTACCTCTGCCTCTGTGTGAAGCCCCTTCCCAGGTGTGTCTGGGCCCCTCTCCTCTCAGCCTGCACCCAGGAAGCTGTTTCCTCTCCCCAGACAGTGGACGTCTCCCTGGCAAGCCTCTGCAGCCCTGAACTGTCCTGACCTTCAGGGTCCAGTTCTTGGAAGGCTCAGGACTGCCATTTGAATTGGGATTATCCCTGGGAGCCCAAACATCTGGTCATCTCCAGAAGGCCACTCACTCTGGGGCAAGGATGGAGCTAGCAGTATGTCAACTGTGATGTGGGGTGTCACATCTGGCTCTGTCCCATCTGCCTGGCTGGGGTTTGCCCCTACGGAGGGTGTTTTGTGTTGCCTGATGGAAGAGGGATGTCCACCAACCAGGCTCAGAGCAGCATCAGGCCCCCCCTGATGTGGGTGTCAGATTACAGCCACAACAGATGGCATTGGCTCAGCTCCCAGGGATCCCCAGTCCACAATGCAAGTCACCTAATCCCTAGTCTGCCATGCAAAGCAAAGGTGGAGCAGAGGGCAAGGGTGGGCAGTGAAGGGCACTATTCAAGGGTGCACCCATCAGGTGTGGGCGAGAGGTGTGTTCCCCAAGGAAGCTGCCTCATGCTAAGCACTCTCATGGGGACAGCATCTTCACACTATGCAGGGAGCTGCTGACAGGGCCCTAGACACCAGAGACCCTGCTAAGGATACTGATCCAAGGGAAAAGGCGTCAGTCAGGTTCATTGGCAGAAACATAAGCCATATGGAAGAAAAATGGGCTTGAAAGAAAAATGTAGAGCCAGTTCACTTCTGAAATGGAGAGCAAGGACTATCCAGCATGGGGAAAAAAGCAAGGGAATACACTCAGTTCTGTCTTCTGTCCAGTGCAGTAGAGTGATAAAGAGAGAATGACAGGAAAGGGAAGAGGAGGCAAGAGCTACCTGCAGGGACATGGGGATGGCTTGAGGGAGGCCACCCAGAATGCTTCTGGCCTGGCCCCTGCTCCCCTCTCTGTTGCGTCTTCCTTCCCCATACAATCCCCCTTTGCCCTTGCCTCAATGTTCATCTTTGTCCCCACTGTGGTCAGGCCTCTCTGCCTCTGGTTTAGCCCACCCCAGTTCCACTATGCCCCTGTGTGACAAAGGTCCATATGAACTAGCTGGACTTTGGGCACTATATACAGACGTAGGGGAAAGATGGAATTCAGTGCACAAGTCCTCTGGCTCAGGTCCATGATCACAAAGAAGATCATGTTTTAGCATCTCAGAGTTGCAAGGGATTTCAGCCTTCATCTAGTTGAAGCCTTCATCTTACAGATGAGAAGGCTGGAGCTCAAGGGCTCAGGGACTGCCCCAGATCCTCAGGTCCTGCTGGCACACTCTTCCTCACCACTGCAGAGCATTGGGATCTGTCTAGGGGCAGCTGTAACAGTGGGTATCATCTGCCCTTGCTTCTCAGCATGTCCTTGAACTGCTCTCTCTCTTTGTGGGGAAAGATGGCAGAGAGTCCTGGGTTCAAATCTGATCTCTGACAGTTACTTGCTGAGTGACCTTGAGCAAGACACTTGCCCTCTCGGAGCCCAAACCTCCTCACTCTAAAAAAGAGAACTTACCTTTACAATAGTGTGGTAAAGACCAGATGAAATAATGTTCATGGATAAGGCAGATGACATGGAGGGAAGAAGTGGAAGAAGATCCCTCTCAAAAAAGTTATCATGATGATTTTATTTATCTATTCACTGAATGACTGTTGACTAAACTCTAAACTGCTATGTGCTAGGCTCAGCAGTACATTAGACCTACAGAAATATCATTGTGAATTTACATTCCATTGGAGCAGACAGTTAACAAGTAAATCAGTAGATGCATATATAATCTGACACTCAGAGGTGAAAAGCGTTATGGAAAATGGGACAGAGAGAGGGAGAGAGATTGTAGGAAAGTGCCTGGTAAATTACCGGGCCCCATGTAATTGATTCCTCTTGTTGTATGTTGCCTGGCACTTAGTAGGTGCTCAAAAAATGCTAATTTCTTTCTCTTCTTGCCTATATTTCTTATTTCCATCTTCCCTACGTAACTCAATGCCCATTGCTACTCCCAGGCTTCCCACATCCCCTCTGAGGGCCTCACGGTTCTACCCGGCAATCCACCCTTCTATGCTGCATGCCTTCTCACGCTGTCTCTTGAAGATCCTGGGCCTGGCACTGAGCACTCAGGGACAGTAGGCCCTCTGCCATAGTAAGAAGTGTAGTAATGGCAGGAGGGACGGCAAGGAAGCAAATGCACACCGGGCAGTGCTGAGACATTCCTTTCGGTGTGAGGGCAGGTGCTTCCTTCCTGGGGCCTTGCCCATTCCCTGCCCTCTGGGGAGAGACACAGCTTTCAGTTAAGAAAATGGAAAGATTTTCTGAAAACACCACACCAGCGATCAAGGATCAATCCTCTCTTCCAAAGTTATTTGCAATAATGAAATATAACATCATTAATTTGTTTTACCCACCAGAGAGTATAAAAAAATTTCCCAAATATAAAGAAACCTCTGTGTGTGTGTGTGTGTGTGTGTGTGTATTTTAAAGACAAGGAAAGAAAATTTAAGCTGTACATCATTATTTTTTTTTTTTGAGACAGAGTTTCACTCTTGTTGCCCAGTCTGGAGTGCAATGGTGCGATCTCGGCTCACTGCAACCTCCATCTCCCAGGTTCAAGAGATTCTCCTGCCTCAGCCTCCCGAGTAGCTGGGATTACAGGCGTACACCACCACACCCAGCTAATTTTTGTATTTTTAGTACAGACAGTGTTTCACCATATTGGTCAGGCTAGTCTCAAACTCCTGGCCTCAGGTGATCTGTCCACCTTGGCCTCCCAAAGTGCTGGGATTACAGACGTGAGCCGCCACGCCTGGCTCATCGTATTTGTATATATATGTGCTCTGTCCCATTTTACTCTCTTGCTTAAGTATGGATAGCTCTCGGTGTGAGTTGCTTGTCTAGTCTGTTAAGAGTTCAGGTTAAAGCCAGGTGCAGTGGCTCACACCTATAATCCCCGCACTTTGGGAGGACGAGGTGGAAGGATCTTTGAGCCCAGGAGTTTGAGACCAGCCTGGGCTACATAGTGAGGCCCCATCTCTACAAAAAATAATAAAAAATTTAGCCAGGCATGGTGGCACGTGCCTGTAGTCCCCGTTGCTCAGGAGGAGGTGGGAGGATCGTTTGAGCCTGGGAGGTCAAGGCTACAGTGAGCCATGATAGTGCCACTGCACTCCAGCCTGGGTGACAGAGTGAACCACTGTCCCAAAAACAAACAAACAATAGTTCAAGTTAAGGAATGTCCTTGATTAGCTCCTGCTTGGGGTTTCAGAGGAATAGCTTACTTTGTCTGAGAAGAGCCTAAAGCAGCCTTCCTTCTATGGCAAAGCCTCCCTTTTACCTTTTTCTTCTTTTGGGGGCCCCCTCTAAGCTCTCTCTGAGGCAGGCCCTTAAAACTCATCTCTCAGCAAGGCTGGGTGCTGGCACTGGAGACTACATAGAGGTGATAAGACAGAGACTCCTAACTCAGTAAGCTCACAGGGAGACCTCCCACCTTGGAAAGACAAGGCCTTCTTTCAGGTTCAGCTCACACTTTCACTGCCAGTGTGACCTAGGCCTCAGTTTACCCATTTGTTAAATGAGGAGGCTGGCCTACATTAGCCTTCCTCCGGGTGTCAGTCATGTACAGTAGTCCCATATGATGCTCCAGGGACCATACTTTGGCCAGTAGGTTCGCAAGTCACTGACGCCTGTGGGAGCATCCTGGGAAGCCCACAGGCTGCATTGCACCCAGGTCAAAGCTGGGGCTGCTCACTCTAGCTGGAACACAGAGCCCTTTACTGCTGAGTGCCTGCAGGCAGCCTTCTGGGAAAAGCCAGCTGTGGATTTCTAAAGGACTTTCCCAGGCAAAGATGCCTGGGATAAGAGAAAAACAGGATGGTGAAAGCACCATCCCAGGGATGTGAGGGATGGAGCAGCCTCTCTGACCCGAGACCTGTGGTTGCATCCCTGCCTACACTGAGCTGCTCCAGCTGCATCAGGCCTGACTTTGCAGGCTGGTGGTTAAGTGGGTAGACGGGTCTGGACGCACAGCCACTTCTGGTCATCCACAGCGATGAGCAAGCGGGAGTTTCACTGCGGCTGCCTCTGACACCGTGCTTCATCCCAACCTTTCTCACAGCCTCCCTCAGTGTTTCCAAGATTCCCTGGGGTGAGTGAGACTCATGGTGAAGCTCAGACTCTACCATGGAGGGCAGGCCTGCCTCACCTGGGGGCCTCCCTGAAGGGGTCACAAGGAGGTCTGAGGGCAAATACATCTCCTTGGCTGGCTCCTAGAAATGAAAGAGGGGCAGGATGATCAGAGGAGTAGAATTTGACTTCCTGGTCCCTCCCTGTCCTCCCTCAAGAAAGAGGTGACAAATGAAGCATTCTTGGGGAAGGAGAGAAAGTCCACAGTGACTGAGGTCTGAGGGCAGGGCTGAGACAGTGGTGGTGGAGATGGCGACCTCAGCCCTCCACACGTGCAGTGTCAGGGCCTCGGAGCCCAGCTGGCAGGCCACAGGAGACAGCGGGAGGTCTGGCTGGAGTGGAGACTGAGTCATCTGGGACTGCAGGGTCCAACGGAGTCACGCCTGTGAGTGATGAGCACCTTGACTGAGGCCAACGTCACAGACGTGTCTGGGAAGTGAGTCAGGGACCCGCAGAGTAGGAGTCTCAACATTCCTGGGAACAGCTTCCTCTGACTGTCCTGCCGTGATATGTTTTCTCCCCTAAGTGGCCTCAAAGGGTTGCTGGCTTTGCCATTGACATTTCTACAGCAAAATGAGCTAGTGAGCACTGGAGTTCAAAGGACATGGTGCAACTTTCAAACCAAATTCTCGTGGGATTTCAGAGGCTGATTACCCTCCCCTCCCTCCCTCCCTCCCTCCTTTCTAGCATGTCGATATTCATCTGTCAAATATTTATCGAGCAGCCACTCCGTGCCAGGTACTGTGGACTGGAGTCATGGTGATGGATAAGACACATGCCTGTGCCTTCCTTCCAGTCCCTGTCTTCACACACCCTGTAGTCTGGGGCAGGGGGACACTAAACAATCACACAAATAATTGCCTGCAATTTGCTGTGAATGATGAATGCATAGTTCAGGGGGCTCTGAATGTATCTAACGGGGGTCCTGGCAGGATCTGGAGGGCCAGGGAGGACTTCCCTGAGGAAAGTCCCCGTAAGAAGGGCTGGGCACAGTGGTTCACACCTGTAATCCCAGCACTTCGGGAGGCTGAGGTGGGTGGATCACCTGAGGTCAAGAGTTCAAGACCAGCCTGACTAACATGGTGAAATCCCATTTCTACTAAAAATACAAAAAATTAGCCAGGCATGGTGGTGCATGCCTGTAATCCCAGCTACTCAGCAGGCTGAGGCAGGAGAATCGCTTGAACCTGGGAAATGGAAGTTGCAGTGAGCCAAAATCGCAGCATTAGACTCCAGCCTGGGCAACAAGAGTGAAAATTCATCTCAAAATAAATAAATAAATAAAGTCCATGTAAGAGGAGATTGAGAGGGTAGAAAGTTCACCAGGGAGGAGTATTTCAAGTAGAAGAAACAGAAGAAGCTGAGAGCTTTGGGACATTGACAGACAGCGTGGTTGGTGTGGTCCAGGAGAGGTGAGTAAAGCAAGAGGCAGGATTCAGATCAGGCAGGGCCTGGGAAGCCACTGTGAGGATTCAGAGCTTTCCCCTGAGAACAATTCTTAGGAAAGGGAGGGTGGAGAACTGGGTCCCCCGAGCCCCAGCAGGGAAGTTATGAGTTTCTGCTTGTGGAGCATTTGGGCTCTGATCCCCCAACTATCAGCCACAGCCCACACGGTGAAAGCTGGTGAGGCAGGGGAGGCTCAGGACCAGGAAGTCCCACGGTGGACCTGGATGGGAAGACACCAGAAGCCAGCGGTGGTGACAGTGGGCAGGTGCTTCAGTTTCCCTTACTGTACAGTGGGTAGAATCAGCCTTGGATCAGTGTGTTGAGAGTTTGTGAGGATGGACAAAGTAGCAGCTGGAGGAAAGCCTTGTGCTCTTTTAATGGCTAGCATGGCTCAGAAGGAGACTGCTGACTGCCTCCCTCCAAGCCAGCAAACCCTGGGATTACAGAAACACAGCAGCCCCTCCAGCATGAGGTGGCAACTTACCGAAGGAAACAGAAATATCCCAAGGAATTCAGCAAATAGCCTGCAGATAATTTTATGCAGTAGAAGGAGCTTGGGCTTTGGAGCCAGAAAGACTTGAATTTGTTCCCTGGATCTGTCACTAGCTGTGTGACCTCGGAAAAATCACTCTCTGAGCCTCATTTCCTCATCAATAACAAGAGGACAATTGCAACAATCTGTGCTTATTCAGTTGTTTTAAGGGTTAGAGATGGCATTTGTAAAATGTTCAGCACAGCGTGAGGCAATAATAGCTCCTCAATATTTGGTAGAAGTAGGTAAACATTCAAACCATTAGAGAGGTGGGTTTTCACCTGTGCTCAGAACAAGGCGAAAGCTGTCTGCCACCATTGCCCTTTAATAGTCCTTTATCCATTAACCTTCACTGCTAGGAAGTCCTGCCTCATGTCTAATCTGCATGCGTCTCTTCACATGGCAGCTGGAACCTACCTGGTCTTGATCTGCCCTAACAAGTGGAGCCTGACAACACCTGTGCATCACCAAAGAAAGGTGCCAAGCCCTGGTCACCCAGAGGGCCTCTCCCACTAGGTTCTACAGAGAAGCTCACAGAAGACATGGGATGTTGGTCCTACTGAAAAAGCAGGCAAGCTGGGGGAATACAATCATGTCAGGAATGCAGGCACAGACATCATCTTCTCTCATCACTGTCCACGGTCCGCACACCAAGACCTATCACTTTAGACACAAACCTTCCCAGGACCAGGACAAGAGAGATGAACTCTAAGGTAAGCAAGGGTCCAGGATGAGACTATGGGGTTTCTGGGTCTGTGAACACGCACACATACATACACGAATGTGGACACACATAAGAGCACATAACTATGTAAAATACACAGAGAAAGATGTTTAAGGGGACCCCACACCCAGAGATCCCCAGTCACTTGAGGAGATGGTGAGGTTGTTTAACTTTTTTATACCTCAGGTCTCTTGTCTGTAAGACAGGAATGATAATAACACAGGAACGTCGTAACGATTACATGTTAGGTACTTGGACAGTACCTAGCCCAGTGTGGGCTCCCGTTTTTGCTACTATGATTATTATTACAGCTGGACACTCTCTCAGGACACAGAAATCTAGAGATACAGATGCAAACACAAATACACCCAGACCCAGCACAATCAAATTCACAGGCATACACATACCCTGAATCTGACCACAGATACAGGTGCTCATCAAAGAGAAGCTGCGTCCAGCACCCTGCTGGTGGACAGTGTGGCAGAGCTCACATAGTTTGGTCTTGGTCCAATTAGGCTTGGTTCATTTCAGCCAGACCGCAGCAAAGAAAGTGAAATTGCTCTGCAAATTCAAATGAGCAGATTTTTGAGATGCCACATGGAGAGATGCCACGGAGAGAGGTAGAGGACCGAACCTAAGTTCAAAGCCTGTTTTTTAAGGGGTCAGATAGTCACTTTTAGGCTGCTTAATGGCCGGACCTGCGATGTAGCCAGGCCCCACACCACCTAATACACCTTCAGTGAAAAGTGTACTGCCCTGAGTGCCTGCCATGCAAGAGTCTAGAGATGGTCAAAGAGAGGAGACTGTGTTCCACATATGAGCTAATGCACCATCAGTCATGCTCAGAGTCAAGAGGCAAGAGATGCAGAATTCAGTGGGATCAGGAAAGTGGAGCAAGCACCGGAAAGCAAAGGGCCTTGAAGTACTCCAGGATTGTCATGAGATGGGGATCAGAGCTATAAAAATGTCTGGAGGATGCAGAACTATCCTCTGACATCCAACTTTATAACCCAACTTCTGGGTTATAAAAAGAGCAGAAACACGAGCACATATGTTCAGCCCTCTCTAAAGCATTATACCCACTTGTTAAGGGAGGCTGGAGGGCGAGTCAAGGATGGTGTGGATTTGGCCAGAGAGGGCTTTGTGGAAAGTGGATGTGGGTTAGAAAAAAATGCAGTGTTTGCATCTGGTCAACCTGAAAGTGATGAGGGTTATACCTTGGGGGAGGCCCTCTAGGAGATTTCTCTGAAATTCATCAAGAGATTTTCTGTGATCCCACACCAATTCTATTTAAGAGGAGGCTGTGAGTGACACTCAGAGAATGAGTAGTTATCATCTTTCCTTCCAGGATGAAGCTGCCGCATAACTCTGTGATTAACACACACTGACTCTGGACGTCAGGGGAGATTAAAGGAGGGATCAGATGCTTTTGAAGAGAAGGTGGCCATCTGGAAGGTGCAGGTGCAAGGTGGTGGAGGCTGAAAGGTGGCAGATGGCTTGGTTCTGTGAAGGCAAATTAGGGAACACAGAAGACGACAGATGGGCAGGTGTTGGGTCATTGTGAAAGGGATTTGCCCAAGTGAAACAAAGATTTTTTTTTCTATTTAAATTTGGGTCAAGCACAAGGATTTCATCACTATTTATTAACTGGCTTTCAAACTTTGCCTACGAACAAAGTGGAAATCTCTTTATTGCAGATTAATTTGGGAAACAACTCAAGCAATAAAAAGGAGAGGAGAGGCAAGGTTGACCTACCATACCTTATTTGCAATTCTAAAAGGTAAAACAGTTCTGAAAATTAAATTAAAAAAAAACGGATTTGACAGCATAACCTGACTTCAACTGACCTCTTTGTCATCTTTATTCCATGTAGTGTGAACATTTGATGCAGAAATGTTGATGCGTTTGACTATTGAGTACTGCCCAGACCCCACTAGGGTTTTACGTAATATGGGTAATATGCTCTATATTATCTTTCTAAAGTCCAAAAAGTTCAAGATTTTGAAACACACCTGGTCCCCAGGGTTTGTTCACAGATCCCACTTACCTCCAAGACAAGTGAGAATGTATGCTCAGCAGGCTGCCCGGTGCTGGCCTCAGCATGGGATGCTCAGGTGTGAGCAAGTGGAAAGGGCTTTGAAGAAAGGATACAGCTCTTTGTATGGGTACATTTGCCAGGGAGGGGAGCAGTGTGTAAATGCTCCACTAGACTGGGGGATGTGAAATTGACAAAGAGGGAGAGAAGCCCTTAGGAAAGGCATCCTCCTGAGTGAAATGGTAATTCACTTTGAGATGGTGCTAATAATTAAAACATTTTTTATGGCATTTTAAGAAACATCTATTAGGCCCACATGTGAAGCTACTCACAACTCCTTGTAACATACATTTCAGAAATGTTGCTGTCCCTTGATCTGCCTTTCTTATCTTCATCAGGTGGGTCCCCCATCCCTAGCCCTGCTTATGGCCTCCTCAGGAGGGCCAGCGAGGACGATGGCTGAGGTGGGAGGGCAGGGAGCCAGGAGGATCACTATAAATAGAGTCCACCTTCTCCATTCTTCTCACTGAGCCACTTCTGAGCTTTCCAAAACAACTGCAGCAGCAGCAGCTGCCGCTTCAGCAGCCACAGAAGTGTTGGTGTCACCAGGACACAGCCTCAGGTAAGAGAAGGGGCATGGCTGCAGAGGGGCAAAGTCTGAGGGGCTGTGTTGGTGCTGAGCTTCAGGGCAGCCTTATGAGAAATACCTACAGAGGTCTCATAATAAAAGAGAAAATGTAACAATTTCTTGGAAATTTTTTTTTAAAAAACAGAGCTTCATTCTAAAAGGAAATGTCTCACATGGATCTTATGCAGAGAAGCCTGAGCGACTTGCACTTTCAACAATGGTTTTGTCATAGATGTAAAGGTAATTTTTTTGATGATTTTTTTGTTAATAGAAGAGCTTAATAGAAGACCTTAAATGAGGTTCTGGACCAGTGATGCTGAGAGGGCCACCATTTCTACACACTCTCTATGACAGAGGATGCAGGAGCAGAACATGCTAGGGTCTCCTCCTACACAGGGCTCATGGAGAGATGCTGATGAGGACAGACTTCTAGGTAGGAGAGGATAAGGTTCTGGGTGGGGAACCTGGAGCCCTCAGGGAACCGGGACAAATGGGAGGAGTCTCCATAGCCACCTTCTGTCTGATTGCATCAAAGGAAGACTGCTACCGAGTGATGGATGAGCTGGGGTAGGAAGTAGAGCTCTTCATCACTGGAGGTGTTTAAGCAGAGGCTGGTAACTCCTTGACAGATACACTGAAGAAAGGTTTCATGAATCAGCTGGGGGATTAAAATATTACATTGGTGCAAAGTTATTTTCATCAGGAAAGACAGGAGGGAGTGTTTCCAAATCTCAGGGTGGAGGTCGGCAACAAATTACTACTGTCTTTGCAGCCACTGATATGCCCCTCCCCAAATTTCAGACAGGAAGTCAGTGCAGCTGGTGGTCAAGCATCACATCCCTTAGGCTACTGGGAAGGAGGAGTTGAAGACCTCTGGGCTGATGCTCTCACCTGGGGTACTTGGAGCAACAAGTAATACTTGGATAACTGTAATGAACTAGAGAAATACTCATTGAGAGCTTCTTAAGAATATTTTAGCCCAGAAAGACAAGGTGAGCTCACGTTTGACAAAAGGCAAGCTTTCCAGGGGTTGGCTGTTTTTCCCCATGCAAGCAGGACCCCACACCCACTGCATCCCCCTTGCCTGGCTGCTTCTGGTTTGTAGGTAATGGAATGCAAAAGATGTGGTTTCAGCAAGTATTTCACACCAGGACAGATGTGGAACTACCTAGATAATGTATATCTCCCATTGCCTGCCTCCGTATCTCTGTCCAGTGGAATTTTCTGCCAAGAGATTGTTGTCCAGTTTCATCTCTGTCAGCCACATGTGGCTATTGGGCAATTGTAATGTAGCATGAACACATAAATACATTTTAAACTTAATTTAATTTTCATTTATTTAAATTTAAATAGCCACTTGTAGCTAATAGCTATTGTATTGGATAGCGCAGTGCTGGAACATTCATTCTTTGATAGCAGGAATTGCATTTTTAAAAAGTCTTTGTGTCTCTGGCTTCTTGTATAATGTCCATGAGTAAATATTTAATAAATAAACAATGAAAGAAGATGAGGATGTTCTAGGAGGCTTTTGGAGAGGGCATGGTTGAAATCTGAAGGCATAAGGGCTGTTTTTAGTAGATTAACGAAGACTTCAAATCACCAGAGTGTTGGCTGTTTTGTCTGCAGTTTTGTTCTCCTCAATAATCTAGGACTTTCTTGCCATTTTAACCATAGCTTTATGCATTTTGATAAATGTGCACAAATGTAGGTATAGAATATCACCATCAAGATATAGGACATTTTCATACCATGAAAAGTTCACTTGTGTCCACAGTTGGTTTCATGGGTATGCACAACCTGTGCAGTCACACAAGGACATGTGCTCAGAAAGGCCCCACGCTTGATTTACTGCTCTGCTGTTGCTGCCTTGAAATTCTTAATAATTTTTTTAATAAGGGGCCCTGCAAGTTCATTTTGCATTGTGCCCTGCAAATTCTGTGGCTGGTACTACCTGTATCCTTTTGCGGTCGATCCCCTCCCACCACCCCAGCCTCAGGCAAGAACTGATCTGCTTTTGTCACTATAGGTTAAATTTGTCTTTTTAAAATTTTAATTTATTTTTAAAGACAGGGTCTCGCTCTGTCATCCAGACTGGAGTGCAGTGGTGCAATCATGGCTCACTGCAGTCTTGAACTCGTGGGCTCACGTGATCCTCCTGCCTCAGCCTCTTGGGTAGCTGGGACTACAGCATGCGCCACCACGTCTGGCTAATTTAAGGGTTTTTTTTGGTTTTTTTGTTTTTGTAGAGATACGGTCTTGTTTTGTTGCTCAGGCTGGTCTTAAACTCCTTGTCTTGAACATTCCTCCTTCCTTGGCCTCCTGTTGCATTGGGATTATAGGTGTGAGCCACCACCGGCCCTTGTCTTTATCAGAGTTTCATGTAAATGGAGTCATAAAGTATGTAATTCTTTGTATCTGGTTTCTTTTACTCATAACATTGCTCTTGAGATTCGTCCTTTTTTGTGGTTAGCAATAGTTTGTTCCTTTTTTATTGTTGAATAGTATTCTATTAAGTGGATACACCATGATGAGTTTATTCATTCATTTGTGATGGACAGTTGGGTTGTTTACATTAGTTGTCTGTTATAAATTAAGCTGTTACAAGCTTTTGTTTATAAGTCTTTGTGTGGAAAATGTTTTCATTTCTCTTGGGCAAATACCTGGGGATGGAATTGCTGAGAGTAAGATAATATATTTTCAACTTTTCAGAAGCCGCCAAATTATTTTCCAAGGTTTTTGTACCACTTAATATTCCTATCAGCAATGTATGAGAGTTCTAGTTGCTTTACATTTTTGTCAGCACATTATATTGTCAGTCTTAAATTTTAGCCACGCTAGTGGCTAAGCTGTGTATTTTATTATGGTCTTACTTTGTGTTTTCCTGTGACTGAAGATTTTGAGCATCATTTTATGTATCTTCTTTTGTGAGGTCTGGCCTAATCTTTTGCCATTGTTTGTTTTCTTTTTATTGAGTTCTTTATATATTTTGGATACAAGTTCTCTGTTAGATTGTGTGTGTGTGTGTGTATGTGTGTGTATGTGTGTGTATTAATCTGATACATTTTCTTCCATTCTGTGGCTTGACTTGTCTTTATTTATTTATTTATTATTATTATTTTTTGAGACAGGGTCTCTCTCTGTCACCCAGCCTGGAGTGCAGTGGCACAATCACAGCTCACTGCAGCCTTGACCTCCTGATCTCAAGTGATCCTCCTGCCTTGGCCTCCCGAGTAGCTGGGACCACGGGTGTGTGCCACCACACCTGGCTAATTAATTCTTATTTTTTTGTAGAGATGGAGTGTCACTACGTTTCCCAGGCTGGTCTTGCACGCCTGGGCTTAAGTGTTCCCCTCTTCCCAGCCTGCTAACATGCTGGGATTGAATGCGTGAGTCACAGCTCCTGGTCAGTCCTGTCATTTTTTTAATAATATCTTTCAAAAATAGACGTATTTTTAACTTTTATGAAATTCAATTTAATGTTTTGTATTTTATGGTTTGTGCTTTTTGATGTCCTATCTAAGAAATTTTGCCTACCCTAAGGTCACAAAAATGTGCTCTTAAGTTTTTCTCTTAGAAGTTTTATAGTTTGTTTTTTATCTTTAGGTCTATGATCTATTTTTCATTAAAAAATAATTGATCACATATGTTTGGCTCCATTTCTGGACTCTGTTTCATTGATTTATATGTCTGTCTTTATGTTAATACCACCTTGTCTTAATAACTATAGAATTATAATAAGTCGTCCAGGCGCTGTGGCTCACGCCTGTAATCCCAGCACTTTGGGAGGCCGAGGCGGGTGGATCACGAGGTCAGGAGATCGAGACCACGGTGAAACCCCGTCTCTACTAAAAATACAAAAAAAATTAGCTGGGCGCGGTGGCGGGCGCCTGTAGTCCCAGCTACTCAGGAGGCTGAGGCAGGAGAATGGCGTGAACCCGGGAGGCGGAGCTTGGAGTGAGCCGAGATCGCGCCACTGCACTCCAGCCTGGGCGATAGAGCAAGACTCCGTCTCAAAAAAAAAAAAAAAAAAAAAAAAAAAGAATTATAGTAAGTCTTGAAATCAGACAGGGCAAGTATCCCAAAGTTGTTGTTTATAAAAATTGTTTTAACCATTCTAGGTGTTTTGCAGCTTTATATAAATTTTAGAATCAACTTGTCAAGATTGCATTACATCTACAGATCAATTTGGGGAGAACTGATTTTTGATAATATTGTCTTCCAATTCATGTCTATTTATTTAGATCTTTAATTTCTCTCAGCAATGTTTTGTAGTTTTCCGTGCACAAGTAGTATACCTTTTTGTTGTTAAGTTATCCCTAAATATAGAATTTTTTAATGGTATTGAGAATGGTATCATAAAATTTCTTTTCCATTGTTCTTGACATTATGTAGACATATATTTGATTTTTGTATGTTGAGCTAGTATTCTATGATCTAAAACTTCTTATTTCTAGTAGCATTTTTGTAGACTCAGGATTTTCTATGTACACAGTCATGTCACATGAGAATAAAGATAGTTTTACTTCTTATTTTCAAATCTACATGACACTTATTTCTTACTTTTCTCTTTCACTGGCTAGAATCTCCTGTATAATGTTGGTTAGAATTGGTAAGAACAGATATTATTGCTTTGTCCGTGATTTTAGATTAGAACTCATTCCATCTTTTACCATTGAGTATAAAGCTAGTTTAGGTTTGTCATAGATGCCATTCATCAGCTGAGAAAATTCTCTGCTCCTAGTTTGTTGAGAGTTTTTATGGTGAATAGATGTGGAATTTTGTCAAATGGTTTTGTTTGCATTTTTCATTTGTTTTTTATCTTGAGATGATCATGTAGTTGTTCCCTTTTATTCTGTTAACATGGTGAGTTGTGTTTATGAAGTTTTAAATGTTGAATAACCTTTGCATTCCTGGGATAAACTCTATTTGTTTACAACATGTTATTCCTTTTAAAAATCTTAAGGCATCTCTCGTGGAGGCAGCTAGCTTGAGGCTGGGGAGTGCTGAGCTGCGTGTCATGCCCTGTGCTTGCCCAGACTAGTGAACAATGCAGTCAGGATGGCTAAAGGTGACCCCAAGAAACCAAAGGGCAAGATGTCTGCTTATGCCTTCTTTGTGCAGATGTGCAGAGAAGAACATAAGAAGAAAACCCCAGAGGTCCCTGTCAATTTTGCAGAATTTTCCAGGAAGTGCCCTGAGAAGCGGAAGATAATGTCTGGGAAAGAGAAGTCTAAATTTGATGAAATGGCAAAGGTGGATAAAGTATGCTATGATTGGGAAATGAAGGATTACGGACCAGCTAAGGGAGGCATTAGGATCCTTATTCTTGCCTCCCTTAGTTGGTCCCTAATCCTTCGTTTGGATCCCACTGTCTGGATTCTTCCTGCTCTGTTCCAAATTCTGCCCTAATATCAAATCCACAAACCCTGGTATCTCTATTGGAAATGTCGCAAAAAGGCTGGGTGAGATGTAGATTAACATGTAACAGTGAAAAGCCACCTTACATCACCAAGGCGACAAAGCTGAAGAAGTATGAGAAAGATGTTGCTGACTAAAAGAAAGTTTGATGGTGCAAAGGGTCCTGCTAAGGTTGCCTGGAAAAAACGTGGAAGAGGAAGACAAAGATGACGAGTAGGAAAAAGAGGATGAGAAGGATGAATTTTAAAAACTGTTTATCTGTCTCCATGTGAATACGTTAGAGTAGGGGAGCACCTTAATTAACACATCAAGTGTCTGTTGCCCTCATTAGGTTTAATTACAAAATTTGATCACGATCAGATTGTAGTCTCTCAAAGTGCTCTAGAAATTGTCAGTGGTTTACATGAAATGGCCATCGGTGTCCAGAGCACCCTGAAGCTGTATCAAAATTGTATTTATTTCTAAACATTTTTAAAATGAAAAAATAATCTTGTGTTCTCCTCACTCTGCGCACTTTGCTGTTGGTGTGACAAGGCATTTAAAGATGTTTCTCCCCCGCCCCTTTTTTTTTTTAACTTGTAAAGTGGTGTTAACATATAGTTATTGGCTAGAAATCCTGAGTTATCACTGTATATATCTCTAGTTTGTAAAAAGAACAAAACAATTGAGACAAACTCTTGACACTCCTTGCTTGGCATTGAGGCTGCAGGGGAAGATGCCTTTTGGAGGGGTCGTAGCTCATGCACTGTGAGGTTGGACCTGGTGACTGCAGCAGGCATCCATTTAACTTCAGGTTGTCATGTTTTTGTATATAATGACGTAGCATTCTGCCTCCATTCTTAGCTATAGACAAAGGTGGGTCGGCTGGCATGAGAAGTGTTTTTTTGTTTGTTTGTTTTAGTTAAGTGTGATAGTTTTTAAACTGTTTCTTAAACAAACTGTAGAACTCTTCAGTGTCAGCAAAGGGAAGAGCCACTGCATCAATGAAAGTTCAAAAGCCTTCTGTACTTAAACACGCTTTGCAATGTTGTTTTTTTTTTTTGTATGTTTAGAATGCTGAAATGCTTTTGAAGTTAAATAAACAATATTACAATTTTAAAAATAAAAATAAAATTGGTAGACTCTGCTAATATTTTGTTAGAGATTTTTATGTTATGTTCATGAGGGACATTAGTCTTTAGTTTTCTTTTCTTACAATATCTTGGTCTGGTTTTGGTATCAGGATAATGTTATCTTCGCTAAACAAATTGGGAAATGTTACCTCCTCTATTTTATGAAAATATTTACCTGAAATTTGTATTATTTCTTTCTGAAATGTTGTAAGGAATTCATCAGTGATGCCATCTAGACCTGGAGTTTTCTTTGTAGGAAGGGATTTATTTACAAATTCAATTTCTTTAATAAGTGTATGGCACTCCAGATTTTTAACTTCTTTTCCAGTTTTGGCAAATCATATTTTTCAAATAATTTGTCTATTTTATCTAAGTTGTCAAATTTATTGGCATAAAGTTCTTCATAATATTCTGTCTTATTTATGCTGTCTTTCTTTCTTTTTTTTTTTTTTTTGAGACAGAGTCTCGCTCTGTCGCCCAGGCTGGAGTGTAGTGGCATGATCTCGGCTCACTGCAAGCTTTGCCCCCTGGGTTCACGCCATTTTCCTGCCTCAGCCTCCCGAGTAGCTGGGACTACAGGCACCCGCCACCTCGCCCGGCTAATTTTTTTTTGTATTTTTAGTAGAGACAGGGTTTCACCGTGTTAGCCAGGATGGTCTCGATCTCCTGAACTCGTGATCCACCCGCCTGGGCCTCCCAAAGTGCTGGGATTACAGGCGTGAGCCACCGCGCCCAGCCTGTCTTTCATTCTTGATATCAGTTATTTGTGTTTTCTCTCTTTTCTTCCTGATCGATCTAGCTAATGGTTTATCAATTTTATTATTATTTTTAAAAACCGTCGAATTAAAAAAATGGATATTCTTACTGTTTTTGTCCATTTTCACTGGTTTCCACTCTGATCTTTATTATTTCCTTCTTTCTATTTTGGACTTAATTTGATCTTTATTTTTTAGCTTCTTAAGTTGGAAGCTTAGATAATTGATTTTAGACATTTTTTCCTTTCTAATATAAGCATTTAAAGCTATTAATTTTTCCCTATGTACTGCTCTAGCTACCTTGCACAAATGGTATGTTGTGTGTTTATTTTCATCTACTTCAAAATATTTCCTTCATGATTTCTTCTTTGACCTGTATTGTACAGGGAAAAACTCTCTCTCCAACTGAGTTTCCCTCTGCTCTCACACCACACCACCACAACAATCAACACAGAGGAAGACTTCTTGACCAAATGTGTGGGGGAAAGCCCCACACACCAAGCCACAGACACCAGCTGGGTGTCCAATTCAGTTCCAACACAATCTACCTGGAGACAGTGTCAGAGCCCACAGGCTGGGGGCTCAGTTCCCAAGATTGCCCCCGACATCTCCCGTTGCAGTCACAAGTCTGGGCCTCCAGAACTTCTGACTGACTGGCTTCAAGTTGGGGTTCCCACTACCCCCTCTTTGGGTTTGATTCATTTCCTGGAGTGGCTCATAGAACTCAAGGAAACACATTTATTGGTTTATTTTAAAGAACATTACTAAGGATACAAACGAAAAGAAGTGTAGGGCAAGGTATGGGAGAAGGGGCGTGGAGCTTCCATGCCCTCCCTGGTCACACCACCCTCTAGCAACCTCCACATGATAAGCTATTTGGAACCTCTCTGAACCCTATCCTCTTGGGATTCTATGGAGGCTTTATTACATAGACATGATTGATTAAACCACTGGCCATTGGTAATCAGCTTGACCTGCAACTCCTTTCCCCTCCCTGTGGGTTGGGGGTGTGAGACTGAAAGTCCCAACTCTCTAATCCCGCCTTGGTCTTTCCAGTGACCAGCCCCACCGTTGAATCTATCAGACAAAACACATACACAAAAGACAGCACTTTGGAGATCCCAAGGATTTTAGGAGTCCTAAGCCAGGAATCAGGGACGAAAACCAAAACATATGTATGCCCTCCATGGAGCCTCCCTTTAATCAACTTGGCTTCCATTGCCACCACAGACCACCTGCTGGTTTTGACCACAGATCCCTTACATCAAAAGAATATACAGAATCATTAATAATTAGTCCAGTCCATCATATTGTACAAATGTCCTAGGGTGAGGCCACTCAGGTTTGCAGTCTTCCTTTCAATCTTTTCAGGTTCCCAAAACAGGAGTGGTCCCGACAAATATACAGCTCCACCCTTTCAGGCATACGGAATAATTGAGCTAAGAGACAGTATCATCTGTTGCTCTGAGACTTTTGAGTTGTTCATGTAATATTGAGCTTCCCTCAATTAATAACTCATTTATTTATTCATTTACACTCATCTACTATTTCTCCTGCTCTCCATTAATATCCAGATTTTTCACCTTTGGACAGGACATTAGAATTGCCACTGTGCTGGTCTAGATTGCAGGCAGCAGCACTAGTCTGGCAAGTGCCTCCCACTCAGCCTGTTCCCATTCACATAGGGTAGGGTTATATAGATTCCAAACTAGTGAGCCATTTTCACCACCAGGCATTATAACTGTATTTATCCTTGGTCCCAGTTTTGCCAGAGGGTGAACGCACAAGCCACCTGCATCAGGCCCTTAGGAATTCTGAGAGGAGAAAAAAAATTTTCTTGAGGTGATTTGGGGAAGAAAAAAAAATTATAGCCATTATACCAATATACTCCTCCCCTAGCAAGAGGTGCATACTCATATCAGTGTCCTCCCCACCTCCCCTTCCCCAGATCAACCAGAAAAACAGAGAAAAAAATCTAGTGGGGATACTATAGTCCCACTCATGTTGAGTGTGAGCACAAAATTGTGAAGGTGTGCAAGGCAGCCCTGCAAGCTTTTGTTTCTCCCTGCTTTAGGCAACCAATGTTTCAATTGCCTGTTCTCCTCTATCGAACTATTAGTTGAGGGAGGATATCTCTCTGCCCATTGTTGGACATTATGGGCTGTATGTGTTACTTGGTCTGAAGAAATGGCAGTCAGCCATCCAAATTTATGCAATATCTTCTGTTCTGTTCTGTTTTTTTTTTTTTTTTTAATTTTTATGGCACTCCGAGCATTTTCATTTCCCACCAGGCATGCAAAAGCCCAGTCCAGAGTCAGTGTCTATTCTTGTCAAGACCCATTTGCAGCCTCCAGGGCTCCCAGCACCAGCCTCCCTTGCCAGCTGTGTTCAGGGCCTTTTCACCAGGTTATCTGCCGCATAGCCATCAGCAGTCTCTGTCTCCTTTTATGACAAACAGAACAGTTCTTACTGGCATTATGTGCCTGAGAGGGTGCAAAAGAAACTATCTTGACTCAACCCATCTCTCCACTGCTGCAGTACCCACTATCCTATATCAATTAATTTCATGGACCCAGGTGGTCACCTCCAGGAAGGACACAGGGATATCTGCTTGGGCCCTGGCAATCGTACTTGTTTCCATTTAGCAGGTCCAAATAATATTGCTCGACGGACAGGTTTACGTGCTTTCTGTTTTACAGTATGAGGTAGAGGAAACCAGTGTGTGTGTGTGTGTGTGTGTGTGTGTGTGTGTGTGTGTGTCATAATGCCACACATGGGTTATTAAGAAAACTTTTAAAAATTTCCAAATATTTGGGGATTTTATTCCTAAATATCTTCTTGTTCTCGATTTCTAATGTAATTATGAGTGGGCAGAGAATATATAATTCAATCTTTATTTATTGAGACTTATTTTATGGCCCAGAATATGATCTAGCTTGGCAAATGTTTTATGTGCGCTTGAGAAAAATGTGTGTGCTGCTGTTTTGGGATGGGGTGTTCTATAAATGTCAGTGAGATCAAGTTGATTGATAATATTGTTCAAATCTTCTACGTACTAGCTGGTTTTCTCTCTACTCATTAATAAGAGAGAAATATTGAAATGTCTAAATACATAAATATTTAGATACATAAATTTATGTATCTAAATATGTATTTAGATAAAATTTAGATACATAAATATCTAAATACATATTTAGATAAAGTTTAGATACATAAATATCTAAATACATATTTAGATAAAATTTAGATACATAAATACATATTTAGATAAAAATTTAGATACATAAATATCTAAATTATAGATAAAGTATATTTCTCTTGTCAGTTATCTTTTGTTCAATGTATTTTGAAGTTTGTTTTTTAACCCTAGATGTTAAGCATCTAGGATTGTTATGTTCTCTTGGCATATTCACCCTTTTATTATTATGAAATGTTCCTTTATATCTTTGGTAATATTCTTTGATCTGAAGTCTACTTCATCTAATATTAATATAGCTATCTTAGCTTTCTTATAATTAGTGCTCGCATGGTATATCTTTTTTTTTTTTTTTTTTTTTGTGACAGAGTCTCGCTCTGTTGCCAGGCTGGAGTGCAGTGGCATGATCTCGGCTCACTGCAACCTGTGCCTCCTGGCTTCAAGCAATTCTCCTGCCTCAACCTCCCAAGTAGCTGGGACTACAGGCACGCCCCACCACCACGCCTTTTTGTAATTTTTTTTTTTTTTTTGCATTTTTAAGTAGAGACGGGGTTTCACCATGTTGGCCAGGGTGGTCTCGATCTCTTGACCTCGTGATCCACCCGCCTCGGCCTCCCAAAGTGCTGGGATTACAGGCATGAGCCACCGTGCCCGGCCATGGTATATCTTTTTCTATAAAATTTTTTTAACTTTAATTTTCCTGTGTCTACAATTAAAGTGGGGTTCCTGTAGACAGCATATGTTAATACTTCGGTCTTCTTTAAAATCTGGTTGACTTTTTTTTTTTTAGTGGTTACATAGGATTCACAATATATCTTTAACTTATCACACTCTACCCTTAAATAATATAATACCACTTCAGGATATAATACAGAAACTTACAACAATATTATTTAATTCTTCGATCTTTTGTACTGTTGTTATTATACATTTTATTTCTGTTATAAATCCCACAACATGTTATTATTTTTCTTTGAATAACCAGTTATGTTTTAAATAAATTTTAAAATAAAAACCTTTCATATTTGCCCACTTATTTATTATTTCTGGTGTTTTTCATTCCTTTGTATAGATCCAAGTTTCCATCAGTATGATTTTTCTTCCAGCTGAAAAACTTCTATTTATATTTATTAAAAATTTCTGTTTATAGTTAAAAAGTATAAATATAAAGTAAAAGCAATTCTTGTTGTAGAGCAGGTTTGTTGACAATGCATTCTCTCAGTTTGTGTTTGTCTGAAAAGATCTTTACTTCATCTTTGGTTTTGAAAGATATTTTTACTTCCTATTGATTTGTTTTCCTTTCAGAATTTTTTTTTTTCTCTTTTTGAGACAGAGTCTCACTCTGTCACCCAGGCTGGAATGCAGTGGCGTAATCTCGGCTTACTGCAACCTCCTCCTCCCGGGTTCAAGTGATTCTTCTGCCTCAGCCTCCTGAGTAGCTGGGACTACAGGCACGTGCCACCATGCCTGGCTAATTTTTGTATCTTTTAGTAGAGACGGGGTTTCACCATATTGACCAAGCTGGTCTCAAACTCCTGACCTCATTTCTTTCAGAATTTTTAAAGTGTCATTCCACTGTCTTCTGGCTTGCACTTTTTTCTAATGATAAATCATGGAAATTCTCATTTTGTTTTTTATGTGTTATTTGTCTTTTAAAAATCTGTCTGCTTTTACGATTTTCTCCTTATCCTTGGTTTTCAGCAATATGCTGTCATGTAGTTTTATTTGTGCATACCTTTCTTGGGATTAAGTGAGTTTACTAAATCTGTGGTTTTAGAAATGTTTTCAAATTTGGAAGAATTTCAGGTATTATTTCATCAAGTATTTTTCTGGCCTTTACTTCTTCACACATATGTTCAACTACTTGATATGTTTCCATAGTTAATAGGCTCTGTTAATTTATTTTAGTCTTTTTTTTCTTTTGCATGTATCATTTTGGAGGGTTTTTATTGTTATGTCTTCAAATTCACTTGCCTTTTCTTCTGCAGTGTTTAATTAGCTGGTAATTTCATCCAATAAAGTTTTAATTTAATACCTCTTTTTTTATCCGTATAGTTTTTATTTGTTCTTTTTTATAGCTCTCATTTCTTTTCGCATTATGTCTGTTTACATGAGCATATTTGTAATAGTTGTTTTAATATCCTTTTTTGTTAACTCCAAAGTCTCTGTCATTCTGGGTATGTTTTTATTGACTGATGTTTCCCCTAAGTATGGGTCACATTTTCCTGCATTTTTGTATGTCTAGTAATTTTTACTGGATGCTAGGCATTGTCACAGTTACCTTTTTGAGTGGATGACTTCTGTTTCTTGTAAAGAATATTAAATTTTTATTGTGGCATGCACTTAGGGAACTTAGAATCAGCTCATTTTTTTCAAAGTTTGTGTTAAATTTTTCTAAGGCAGGTCTAGAGTAGCCTTTATTTTAGGTCTCTTTTATTTAGTTTTACTACCAAGTTACAACTCTTCTAGGATCTGCACTGAGTTCACTGGGTGTTAAATGAGATCTCTTCCCTCTGGCTGGATCTCTACTATCTCATAGCCTGTGTAAGCTCTAGGAACTGTTCAGCATACAGATTCTCAGTACTTCTTTGCATAGCTTTGTGGAGTTTTAACCTAAGCATTCAGAGCTTAGTTTTCAGCAATAGATTCAAGGAGACCCCTATGCAGATTCTAGGCTCGTTCTCTGCATAGTTCTCTCTGTTCCAGTGCTCTGCCCCATAAATTCCAGCTGATTTAGCCTCCCTTAACCCTGATCTCTGCTTGCTTAACTTGGCAAGACTGCAGTGTTATGCTTGTGTTCCTTCCCCTGCACCACTGTCTGGAAAAGTGACTCTTGGCAGAAAGCCAGGGAAACTGTAGGGCTTGCTTGTTTGTTTCATGACTCTTGTTGATCATAGTTCTGCACTTCTTGTTGTCTAGGATTTGGAAATAGCTGTTTCATAAATTTGTCCAACTTTCTTATTGTTTTCAGTGGTAGGACAACTCTGGTAGCAGTTACTCTGTCATAACTATAAGATAGAGATGAGCTTTTAAAAAGACCACATTCACAGCAGTGGTGACTATAAGCTTTTTTTCATACAGCCTCACATGAAGGAGCTTTGGGAACTGAAAAGGACTATGGAGAATCAGAGATCTTGAGATTTGACAGTGGTAGCAGAAGTCCAAGATGCCAGGGAAGATAGCTTAGCAGAAAATCTGACAGCCAGGCTAGAACAATCAGGATTTCTGATGTGTAGGCTTGGAATAGAATAGATTTCAGTACTTTCTATCTAAAAATTATTTGCCTCTTATTGAAGCAGAGGACCCAATATGAGATAGACAAGGGACTCTTCTTCTGATAATTGGATTGCAACCTTGGCTACATACTTAAATCATTGAGGGAGCTTTTACAAATCCTGGTTCTTAAGTTGTACTGAAAAAAATAAATCAGTCTGTGGGATGAGTCTAGGCATGTGTATCTTTTAAAGCTCCTTGGGTAATTTCAGTGTGCTGCCAAAGCTGGGGACCACTGCTCTAAGGTGCTCCACTGCCAGCATGGAGGGTTAGGGTTAGAGTTAGTATTAGGGTTTCACTTTGGGGAGCTCTATTAGCTGTTCTGCATATCTTGTCTCTTTACTATCCCCTTCCTTTCCTTTCCTGAACACTTTCTCAGCTGCTCTTGTTCTACTCAGAGGAAGACCCAGGTGATGAGACAGTGGGGAAGGCCAGGCAGGAGGTGTTGCAGTTGGGAGGAGGGAAGGGTGGACCCAGAAGAGGGTACAGGAAAGAACCCAGGAAGGGACCCAGGAAGGAGGAGGCAGAGAGCAGATGCTGCAGAAGCCAGGGTGTGTGGGGGTCCCCATTTCCCCTTCCCTTCTTTCTGCTGTCACACTTCCTTCCCCTGCTCCAGGCCCAAACAAGTCTGGAGCTAGCCAGCTCAGTTGGTGACTGTCCAATATCTTCTGCCCACACTTCCTGACCACAATCCTCCTTCGGGGTGATGAAAAGGCCCTGGAAGTCCCTTGCCATTTACTGAGGAAGCGTGGGCTTGTCTCCTGGGAACAGAAGCCGTAGACTTTCTGTGATGGAAAGTGCCATGGGTCAGAGCTCATGCCCTGCCACTGACTTGCAGAATGACCCTGGATCAGTTGCTTCTCCTCTCTGCACCTCAGTTTCCCCACTTCTAAAGTTAGAAGATTCAACTGCATGGTTTCCTTGATCCTCCACCTCTGTTTGAATGTGTGCAGGCAGCCTGTATTCCTTTGGGAAGGCTCCAGAAGTTGACTTTAAGGACCCTTTTCTCCCCAGAGGTGTGTGAGGTATGGTGAGTGTTGGCTCTGGCCTCTGCTCCTGAAGTGTGCCCAACTCTGAGGGGCAGGCTGGAAATAAAGACGGTTTTAGTAGCTGAGAAGACAGCAGGTGGATTGTTGGATGTGTAATGGATCATTAAGTGAAACTGGACCTTAGCATGGCCTTTTCTTTTCCTTTAAAGCTGAGAAAAATGACATTTCAAAAGGGTCATGTTGGGGGCAGACAACATGTTTGTTTTGAAAGGGACCACTCAGCACTCCCACTGATGATGTGGGAAAGGAAATACCTGCTCTCTGGGCTGAGGGTGTGCCATGGAGATTCCTGGAGATTGGGTGGGGTGAGGGTAGACAGCCAGATGGAGGGTGTGGGGAGAGGGCCCTGTCCTTGGAGGATGTCTGGGAGCTGGGTGGAAGCCAGTGCAACAGGGACTCTCAAGACAAGGTTGGGCCTGGGGCTGTCTCAGGATGTGCTTGGAGCAGCAGTGTGGGAGGGATTTCTGAGCATGGAAGAAGGGCACAAAGCGGGAGCCAGGTCCCCAACCTAGGACATGCAGCAATGCTCTGGTGGGGCTCGGCCACAGCCGGCAGCAGAGATGCCCTCACAAGGACATTGGGCAGAAGGGGCAGCAGTGCTGGGGCCAGCGGTGAGCAGGGAGACTGGAAGCATGTCTGCGGCCTTGCTTCAGAGCCCATGTGGGATGGCACCTGGGAACCCCCAGAAACATCTGGAGAGCGGACCAACAGAGAGCCCAGAGTCTCTGCATTGGGAAGGCAGGGACTCACAGTGCTTGGCCCACAGCTCACTGAGGCACCACACAGAACAAGGCAAAGGCTGATTACGAGAGCAAAATATGTAGCACCCAGTGTCCACAGGTGTGTTTACAGAACTGCTGCTGTGATTATCGTCATTGTTAATGAGCTATCATAGGAATGTTTTCATGAACTGTGGCCCAATTTACGTCGAACTTTTTGTTGACTTCTGCTTGGTTACCAGAGTGCCACTGTCCAGGCCTTTCCCTAACATTTGTGGGGCCTACATCAAGAATGCAAATAGAGGCCCACATACTTTAACATCATAAATTCAGCCCACAACCAACTTCAGGAGCAATGCGAATTATTTAATTTGAAAATCTTCCTCACTCCATATACAACTATTATGAACACAGCACTATATAATGAAAGCCTCTGGAGGCACACACTGGAACATGAAGAGAAGTTAGGAAACGAGTGCTCAGCATGACTGGGAAAGTATATTCTGTTAATGTCATGCCAGGCCACCTATTGCATTCATGCTGACAGGAAGGACTGGGCAAGTTAATTTGTCTTTTCTTGATCTAAGCACTTCCAACTCCAACTACGCACGCTGTTCCTCTCCAATGTTACAACATCACAGCATTCAGACAGTTGGTTTTGTTTTGAGGACACAGAGCAAAAGCTCCAGAGATGAGTTTTCCTGGTCCGTAACTGGTGCTAATTGAGAAAATGAATGTAAGGTTTTGTGTTTATAATATGTGGAGTGCTTGAAAGCATGGGGCCCTTCTTGCTGGGTCAGCATTGTTTTATTTCATCTAATTTTAGCTTTGGACCTTAGAAATAGACATTTCAGTTGAGTGTACTCCTCAGTGCATGACACAATATAATCTTCGGTGTGTCCAAGGGCCTCTTAACATCAGACATAAACTTCAGGTTGAGTTTTTCAAGAGATGAAGGGAACTATCACGTTAAGCTAAATGAATTGCTAAGATGATGATTCTCCTCTATTTTGAGAAATACAACTTAAAATGAATTTAAGATAGTTCAGCTTAACTCTTGAATTTTCAATCAAAAACAATTTTGAGGTTTTTCCTCAATATCAGTTAATAACCTATCAAGGATCAGAAGGACCAACCCCATTGGACATCAATAAATATTTATAGAGGTGAGTGTTTGGATTTCATGGGAGGAGGATACAGGGAAGCAAAGAAGGGGTGCCAAGCTTGCAGGCTGGCTGCCTATATGTGAGAAACAGGGGGTACAGCTTGTCTTATGTCCCCATCACTGGCTTATCCACTGTGGCCTTCCCCAGCAGTCAGCCACTTCTCTTCCTCCTGGCCGGGATTCTCTGAGTTAGGCTTGCTGGCCTTCCAATCTCTGTGTTTCCTGCCCCCTGCTGTCCATTCAGCTGGCACTGCTGGAGCCTCAACAATGTTTCTGGTGTCTCTTCCAACCCCAGGGGCCTGCCTGTGCTCTGTTGTGCCTATGCCTTTATCTCACCCCTACTGTACCCCCTGGAGCCAAAGGCTGTGCTTATAGAGACACTCACCTTGGTTATCAATCATGGAATGGAACACTGGGAGTGAGCACACCCGCATAAGCCTGCCATGTTGGCAGCCAGTGGAAGGTGCCACTCAGTTCTCCCTCCGAGGGAACCTTGTGATGAGAGTGTAGTGAGCTGATGGCCACCAGCTGCGGCACCTTCAGGGTCTGTTGCTGTGTTTGAGCAGAGGCCACACTCTCCTGGGCAGCAATGGCCAATGACTGTGCACAGCAGAGGCACTAGGGCCTTGACAATTTCTGTGCAATGCAGGATTTCTCTAATGAGTGATCTTGGTTCTAGAGCTCCCTCTTGGGCTGGCTGAGATTTTCCGGGGGCTGTACTGCTCTGAGGCTCTCCGTACCCACACACACCTCCTTCCTTCCCCATCTCCTTTTGCAAGGATCAGGACTGCATTGCAGTTTGAAGGCTCTTTCTGCCTCCTCCTGCTCCTTCTTCCCTTTCAATCTTCACAGTCATTTCCCCTAATAAATCTCTTTGCATTTCTAACTCCATCCTGCCATCTGCTTCCCGGAGGACCTGAATTGACCCAACTTGTGAGGCAGTCTGTGTTAGAAGAGCCATGTGTGGCTTTTCAATTGCTGGCAGAGAGGGAAAGAGTGGTTTGAGGGTAGGGTGGATCAGCAGTGGCCCGTCCAGAGCCACTTCCCTGTAAGAGCACTGCTTGAGCAGGAAGTGAAATGGGGCAAAGTGTAATGGGGCCCCTTGCTTGCTATATTCCCCTAGGTCTGCCCCCTTTTCTGTAAAGAATATAGACAGCCTGGGATCAAGTCTGGTGCTCATCTGCTCCTTTGGCCGTTATTCACCCCCAAGCTCCACTGCTTTTACAGGATCTTGCAACAGGTGGAGTGCAACTGGGAAGACACTGGCAGTGAGGCCCTGTTTTCATTTGGCTGAATTTCCTACACTGAATTCATATCTGTTGCTACTTATTTGTGCAAATATCTTGTCAATGTCTATCTTCACCCTCAGAATATAAGCCCCATGATTAGGGGAACCCTGACTGTCCTATTCAGAGTTGATTCCCTAGAACCAAAATGTTGTCTAAAACATAACAGGTACTCAAAAATATTGCTTGATGAATAAATGAGTGGGTGAATGCAGGGTAGACCATATTCTTATTCTTCCAGCAGCTTTAAAAACAAACCAAGAATTATATTTTGGTTTGTTCCAACAGTTGGGATGCTGATTATCCCAACAGTTGAGTATTCTAGCCAAAAAATATATGTCCCACATATATTTTTGTAAATGTAATGGGCACATTCCCTGTGGTTCCTGTTTTAGAGCTGTCATCTTGTCTTCAAGATCATTTTCTTTTTTCCCCATGTGAAACCTGTTTCCACATCCCCTGCACCCAGACTTCCCCCAGGAGGCTAAAGCCAGCCCTATCTGTGTTGGGTAACTTATTTAGGGTGTCTGAGATTACTCCTAACTCCAGGAAAGCCTGTGAGATGACATTCCAAAGAGCACTCCCCCACTGTCTTCTTTCATATAAATAATTACAGGCTCTTCTTCCCAAGGTTCTGAAAAAACTTCCCCATGGGCCAGAGTCCCTTGGAAAGTGGTCCAAGCCCACTGTCAGCGAGGTACAGTCACACATAAAAACCGTCCTCTGTCACTTTTTACACGCATGGGGCAAGCCCACAAGTAACCATTTGTCAATACTGAGAAGAAAAACAATGGTCAAGCTCAAGAGTTAAGTCCATTCAAGACTTGCTGGGTGATATGGTTTAGGTTTATGTACCCACCCAAATCTCATGTTGAATTGTAATCCCCAGTGTTGGAGGAGGGACCTGGTAGGAGGTGTTTGGATCATGGGGCGGATTTCCCCCTTGCTGTTCTTATTACAGTGAGTGAGTTCTCACGAGATCTCATTGTTTGAAAGTGTGTAGCACTTCCCACTTCACTCTGTCTCTTTTGCCAGCCATGTGAAGATGTGCTGGCTTCCCTTTTGCCTTCGGCCATGATTGTAAGTTTCCTGAGGCCTCCCCAGAAGCAGAAGCCTGTACAGCCCACAGAACCTTAAGCCAATTAAACTTTTCTTTATAAATTACCTGGTCTCAGGTATGTCTTTATAGTAGTGCAAGAAGGCACCAACACACTGGGCTTTCACAGAGTGGGGGAGGGAGGACTTTTCTACTCTTATGTCTTCACCAAGGAACAAAACAGAAACTGTTTGCTGAAAAGGCAGTAAGCTGGGATGGTTATTGCTGAGCCATGGCTCCTTTGAAAAATAGGGTTAGTTGGCTCATGTGGAATGTATTATATGTGCTCACAGAGGGGGCTGGGCTCTGGATAAAGTCCTGTGTTTCCTTCCCACCTGGTTACCTCAGGACACTGAGACAACTAAAGGGCAAGTTACCAGACCAGGGATGAGTCCTTTCAGCAAAAGAGTCTCTCTATCTGAGTCTCACTCACTTGTGTACTCTGTCTGTCTTCCAGAAAACATTATATAGAAGGAAAGTTCTCCAAGATCAAGGCAGGAAATAGTATATTCATTCAACAAACACTCATGACATGTGTTCCATGTGCCAGGAATTGCTCTAAGAGCTGAGGATGCAGCAGTAAAAAAACACATGACCCCTGTTCTTGTAGAGCTTGTGCTTTAATGTAGAGGAAAGACAAGGAAATAAACTAGCAGCAAATAAAAGGAAAAAGCAATTTCTGATAGTAATGAGTTCCAGGAAGACAATAAGACAAGATAATGTGATGGAGAGGATGGGTTCTCTTTGACTTGAGACATGGGTTAGTGAGGGGTTTGCTAATTTGGATTGGTAGTCAGGAAGTAGTGCAAGAAGGCACTAACTTCTTGCACTTCTTCACCAAACAGGTGCCATTTGAGTTAATACCTGAACAACCCCAAAAAGCTAGCCACACAAAGACATAGGGGTAGCATTCTCCCTGCAGAAGGAAGAGCAAGAGCTGAGGTAGGAATGAGCTACACGTGTTTGAGGAATCAAAGGAAGGTCCAAGTGATTGAAGTACAATGGACTTGGGGAGAGGACAGGACAGAGAAGTAGAAGGGGCCAGATTACATGATGATAACCAAACTCATTAACTAATGAAAACATCATCAGTTCTATGCCTCTCTCAATCTCTAGGCACTTAACACCAGGGGCCTGTTTATGTAGAAATTGCTGATTGACTATAGGCTGTGGGATCTGAGACAGTGTTGGTCACTTCCACAATCACACATATATGCAGGTGTATCTAGAATTCTTCATTCCTGCCAAGCTTCTGGCTGGTCCCTTCCATAATATTTCATTATCATGGTGGCTGAGTGGTTTTGCACTCATCCAAACACCTCCCACCAGGTCTCTCCTCCAACACTGGTTTTGCACTTGGCATTCCACCACAGCTACAGAATCCCCATTTAAACAGTTCATGTTATATGAGAGAGAAGTGTTTAGGCCTTTTCTCTTCGCAGTGTTATCTCTGACTTCCACGTTAACTCTCTTGCTAAACAGCAGGGGGCTATAGATCAAGTCGGATTCAAAAAACTACACCAAAACTTCTCATTGGTTAAACCAGGGTTTTGCAGAGTTTTATAGCACCTCCACTTATTTTCCCTAGTGATGTTTTTCTTCTCTTACTTTTTGTTAACTGTTTGTGTCAAAAGAGTCATTTGAAATTCATGCTTCCCACCCAGTGAATGAATCTCAGTGCCAATGTCCTTGTCAGGTGGTTGTTCATCCTTGGCTGGGGAGTTCATCTCCTTCTGAAGAAGGCGGTTCCTTTGTTGAACAACTTTAGTTATTAGAAAACTCATCTACCTATTGAATTTATCTTCCAGTAACATTCATTAGCATGATATTTGAGGAGAGTTAGCTTGTAGTCTTAGAGTCTTCTCTTCCCCAGGATAACATCACCTCAGCTGTTCTCCCTGGTGAACTTTCCAGATCCTCAGAAGCCCTCAGATACACTTATATCCATTAGGATATTCTCATTAAGAAATGACTGAAAATCCAAATCAAATTGGTTTAAGTCAACAGGGGAACTTAAGGGCTCATCTAAATGAAAAGTCCATGCGCCAGGACAGTCAAAGTTCAGAGGCTGGTTCTCCCAGTCTTTGGCTCAGCCTTCCTTTGTGTTGGGTTCATTCTAGCCTCCCACTTGGTTGTCCCCAGAGCACGAGGCTCACATCAGAGTTTAAACGCGATGCTCTGATTGGCCAGTCCAGACTACATTCCCGTGGTAGAGCAGGGGGAAGGGAACAACTGCTTCAGGAACAGAGTGGTACTGAGCATGAAGGAGAGGGGGTCCTCTGGAGGAGAAATGGGGTATAGCTAGCTGGAGATAAAAGTGAATAGGGGATAAAACAACAGCACTTCAACTGAGCCACAGATTTAAAAGTAACCAATATTTCCCACTTCGGCAGCTTGGGTACAATTAAGATCATATTTCTTCATGCAGTATTCCAATGGAAGACTTCAAGTCTCCAATCCCAACTCATCTTTTCCTCCTTCCTGGGGTCTACCCTGCTGGGATAAACCAAGAAGTGTCCAGGCTGTTAACTTGTGTTTACTGTGTTTCATCTTTGGTAGAAACACTGCATGGTGTTTGGGGTGAAAGCAGAACTCAGACCTATTCCAGAAGCCAGAGATCAAGCATCACATCTGATGCTTCTGAGATGTATGAAGTTTCCATGCTGTTGCTGTTGCTGCTTCTGTTGCCACTCTCACCACAGAAGGGTGTCACACCACTGGTCACATTTAAAAACTTGACCAGCTGAGACTGAGCCTTCTGTTCAGGGGGCTGCCTATGGCAGCGGCAGGGGTTCCTCTGGTTAGGATGGAGGTGGATTTTCCACTCCTCTCCTTCCCCACGTCCTGGTGCAATTCAGCCAATGGTGTCCTTAACAAAGTACGGCCATATCTGGCTTCCAAGCATGTGCATAAACAAGTCTTTAATGTTTGAAGGCTTTTGAGGATGATGAAGAATTACTACTCTTGCACCCTGTTTAGTGATTCATTAATGTTCCAAATTTATCAAATAATTAGCATTCCATTAACTTTAAATATTTCTCAACATGTTCACACAATATTCACACAATTATAAATTGAAATGTCTTTATTTGATTAAAAGCTTCCAATTGATTGCAAATTATTAATCTTCTAGATATTTATCATATTCTAAAATCCATTATATCAGATTTTCTTAAAAGCTTCAAATACTTTTAAAAACAACCCAAATATCACAGTGATTATAACACTAATTATTAAACTTATGTTGAAACCATTTATTAAAGTGCTAGTACCTAGATTTATTTATTTTATCTGCTTGTATCTTTATTCTTTCTTTTATTCTAATTTCTCATTTAAGTTCTTTTCCTAGGATTTCCACCCCCAAAGGAAAAAAACAATCGCTCATTTAGAGTAGCCAAGATTGTGGGATGTGAGCTGTAAATTCTTGAGTAGGACCAGGAACTTGTACCTTAAATCCCAGTCTCCGGGGGTCAGGCTGAGGCTGAAGCCCTTTGATAATTTAGCTTAATTTTTAGTTCCCTGGAATTGGTGCAGATTTTAATTTTCGGAAGGGAGATGTCTTTCCAGAAATGATTGACCCCTAAGGTTTGCACACTGGCTTCCTGACCCTCTGCCCTGCCACTGTGGTTCTTGGGCTTGGTTAGGATCCCTGCAGGTGTAACTTTATGAGTAGCTTGAAGTCGAGTCGGGCCAGTCAGCATCATCTTCGGGACATTTGATTCCTTTGTTATCTTGGAACCCACACTTGACTTCTTTGTAACTGGCTACTGTGAGTGACCACCCTGGCTGGCCAATTTTGGGCCTCCTCCCACGAGGCTCTGTCTGTGGCCTCTGGTACCAGTCAGCGGGTCTTGTTCTTGGAACAGCAACTTACTTTTCTGGCTTTCCTTGGCTTAGTCACAATTTCTGTTTTTTTAAAAAATTTACACTTGAAGAACTTATTTTTACTTTATAAATATCTGTTTAACAGAAGAAATAAAATAACCCTATGTATGTGTACATAGGTGTGTGGATATGTGTATGTGTGTATATAGGTATGCACACAAAGTCTCTCTCTTTCATGTCTTCTAAAATTACTTTAAAAATAATCTATTGTATCATATTCATTGCATATTCATTGTTTTTTTTTTTATTTTAACCAGGTCATTTGTAGTCTCAATATTAACTTTTTCTTGAGTATTATTGTCCTCTGGCTTTTCATAAGCCCGAACTGTTTGAACCAGTTACATTTATGATTCCCCATTTGATGCTCAGTGTCCCAGCTCAGCCTGTGGGAGGCCCTACAAGCCAGCTCCTTGTTCTATCAGCACTGCCTCAAATATCCCAGAAAACATCCTTACCTTCTGGCAACAACTAGAGGATGTTCCAAACCCTCCCCGATTTTTCCTTATTTTTAGGGACCAAAACATAGGCACTCTGAATGCACAGGGGAGTCGGGGGAGAACAAAATCATGTCTGTTGTTTCATTTTTGGAAAAAGAAATTAATTTTTTTTTTAAGGAATGTGTTTGTCCTGGCTTTCTCAGTGTAACATGTCACGGTACCTGCTTTTCATGGTTGGTGTTCTCTTTCATAGTCTGGTCTCAGGAGCCACTCCAGCTTTTCCTACCTTCACAAGATATAGCTCCTTCGATTCACTCTGCCAGCCTCTCCACCACCTAGAAAGGCTGGGCCAGGACGTGCTCCAGCACCTCTTATACCATAAACCTCTAACCCTTTTCCTCTTTGGTCATTTAACTCAGCACAGCATCCCTGCCAGAGGTCCCATCCCTACCTACCTACACTTGTGGCAGTTTTGTTTTGGGAAGTTCACTATATCTCTCAGTTCTGCTTCATTAGAAACCCGCCTCATAGAAATATCATCCTTTATTTATTGTTAGAAAAACAATGTATTTATTGAAGGTAGTTTAGGAAAGTCATTAAGTTACAGTGAAAAAAATAAGAATTAGGCTGGGTGTGGTGGCTCACGTATGTAATCCTAACACTTTGGGAGGCTGAGGCAGGCAAATTGCTTTGGGCTCACAAGTTCGAGACCAGCATGGGCAACATGGCAAAACCCCATCTCTTCTAAAAATACAAAAAAATTAGCCAGCTGTGGTGGCGCACCCCGTGAGGTGGGAGGATGGTTTGAGCTTGGGAGGTGGAGGTGGCAGTGAGCCATGATCGCGACACTGCACTCTAGCCTAGGTGATGGAGCCAGACCCTGTCTCAAAAAAAAAAAAAAAAAAAATACTACTACTACTACTAAGAAGAATTAACTACGTCTCTAGCTTCTCTTTGCAGACTGCCTGAAACAAAGGAGGTTTTTAGGAAATTCAGCTTCATACCTGGTGAGATGTTATTTATTTCACAGTGTTAACAGAGGTTACAACTGGGGAATGGCCATGGAAGTGAGAGGAGAAACTTTAATTTTTACTTTTTATACTCATGCATGATTGGAATTTCTAATCCAACACTTACTGCCTTTGTAATCATACATACAATTTGAAGTGCTTCAAATAATAAAAAATAAGTCACCCATGGCTAACATTGCTAATACTTTTTGCACCTCCTTCTAGTCTTTTTCTCTCTCAGGCATATATTTTTATTAGCAACCTTTGAACCGTAATCCATATTTAATTTTCCCCCCTACTTTTTATTTTAATTTAACATGATGTAGCAAGCACTTTCTCAGGTTATCAATTATTCTTGGGAAACATAGGACTTACAATAGTTGCCTGATATTCTATCATGAGGATTTATTAGGTTATCCTCCTACTGTTGGCAAACAATTGTTTTTAATTTGGGAAGTACATGAAAAATCACCCATTTAAGATTCTCACTTTCCAGATGAGAAAACTGCAGTCCAGTGAAGCTAGTCATTTGTCCAAGCATGGCCAGTCGATCCGAGACTTGCTGGGATGGGATCTGGCACTCCTGAAGCCTTGGCCTCAGCCTCCTGAGCCTCCGCAGGGCGCTTCTGGAACCTAACTGTAGGGCACTGCCTACATTCTTTCTAAATTACATTTTGCAATTTGGGACACATTATTCCTGCCTGTCAAGATCATTTTTTATCTTCTGTCATAGAACCATTAGCTAATGAGGGACAGTATAGCCAACATCAGAAATTACAGCTTTTTTCTCTATCAAGATGTGCTTCCTAAATCATCTCTATGCCAAGGAAGGGGAAATACTGTCATAGCTCTGATCAGATAATTCCAATAGTCACCAGCAATTACAGGGAAGGGTGCTAATTAGCAGATCTCAGGCTGTGTTTCTCAGGGATCCCCTGGGTTCTGACATTCTGTAATCAGCATTCCGGCAGGATGCCTGGGCTCTGCCCGAGGGGCTAGTGCTCACAGGATGGAAGAGGAATAATAATTGGGTGGGGAAAAGAAGGAGAGGAGGGAACTAACATCTGAGGCTGACACGGTGCGCAGCACAGGGTGGCCTGGCAAAGATGACAGAAGCATTACGGGGAGGGGATCCTGCAGGATAGGACTGGTATGGTTTTGGGGAAAGCAAGTAGATCAGAAGAATCTCCCATTTCCTCAAATTAAGGAATACTGTCCCACCCCAAAGCTGTATTATTAAACTCTAATCAGACATGAAGGAATTAATGGTGATAGAGAAGATTATTCTTAGAGACCTGAGGCTTATTCTGATTTTTTTCCTTCAAATTTTATGAAACACATTCTATCCAAACTTTACAAATGAGTCTTTGACATCAGTGTCTGTCATTACTAGAACCATTTCTTGAGTCATCTAGCATAGTTTTTTCCAGACTCTAATGTTTGCTCCCACCTAAGTTATTTGACTTACAACCGCTTCAAAATCTCTGTTTAAAAATATTGTGGCTTGAGTTTATTCTGCACGGACATTTTTCATGTATTGCTTTTCAGAAAATGCTTAATTCATATGAAGCAGGGACCAGGGAATGTGATGGCTTCTATTTATGGTTAATGTTAATCCGTTGACCATATGGTAGTGTAAATTTCTTGCGCAAATTCCTTTTACGTGATGTTAAAGCACATTCCCGAACTGCTATAATTATGTAATTTATCAATGTGAAAAGTGGACTTTGAGATGTAGTAGTCCAGAGCTAATATGGTGAGCAGTAAGGGAATGCAGTGTGTTTAGCGAGGAGCTATTTCCGTGGGAAATAAATCTTTTGAGAAAGACTCGTGGATCCCTGGGCTTCACTGTGAGCTGTGCATCCAGGTGATAAGAACTGGATCCCAAGTTCAGCTCTGACATGAAACACTAGGTGCAACAGACAAGTCCCTTAACCTCTTTGAGACTTAGCATTCTTATCTGTGAATTGAAGTCAGACTAGTTGCATGGTTACCGGACTTTGGAGTATCAGTGACCAGTAAGATATTTAAAATTTTGGAATAATTTTAGGTTCACAGGAAAGTTACAAAGATAGATAACTTCCCCTAATGTTATCCTTCACCCAGATTTCCTCACTGTTAACATCTTAAGTGACAATAGTGCATTTGCTAAAAAAAAAAAAAAAAAAAAAAAAAAAAAACTAAAAAATTAACACAGGTGCAGTACTATTAACTAAATTACAGACTTTATTTGGATTTTCCAAGTTTTTTCATTGAAATCCTTTCTCTGTTTCAGGATCCAATCCAGGATTGCATTTAGTTATCATGGCTTCTGGGTCTCCTTCATTTTGTGGCCATTTCTCAGTCTTTCTTTAGTATGACCTCAATAGTTTTAAAGAGTACTGGTCAGATATATTACAGGATGTCCCAGACAGTAATTTTTAAAAAGAAAAAAAAAACATTGGAATCTAGGGTTGGCAATTTTTAATTTTGACATGTAAGGTGTATGAATAAATTCTCAGAGTTGCAAGTAACAGAAAGTCTGTTCAAAGAGAGAATTTCTTGGCCCATGTAACTAAAAAGTCCAGGGGCATATGTGGGTTCAATAGGACATTCATACCCAGTTCCATCTTGTTCCTTGGTTTGGTTCTTCTCTCCTTTGAACGGCTGGGTCATTCTCAAGTATGCACTTACCACATAGTTCCAAGATGGCTGCTGGCAGCCTTCATGGCTATATCCATCCAGGGGTGTGTGTGTGTGTGTGTGTGTTGTGCAAGGGAGCATGTGTGTGCATGTGGTGGGGGTGGGATGCTTGCCTCTGTTTCACTTTCCCCACTAAGCTATCTTTGGCTCGGATTTGGCTATCTGCTTATCCCTGAGCCAGAGGGAAAAGATAATCCCATTTCTGCTCTGATATGAGGATATATTGCCCAAAGATGTGGTCACCATCTCGTAATCATGAGGGGAGCAAGCTGAGAGCTGCGGAATACACAACAATCTTAAACAGGGACAAGAACCTGAGTTCTGGGTGATGTCGTTTAGCTGCTGAATTAACCAACCCTACAGCTGGGTTGCTCATATGAAATAAGAAACATCCCTATTGTTTGAGCTTCTTTTAGTTGGGTTTCAGATTACTTGCAACCAAAAGCATCTTAATGATACAATGATATTATATCATACCTATTTCCTTGATACAGGTTTCTTTATTGGGCATCTGTAGTTGATTGCACAATAAAAAGTGGAGCTTGATATATTCTGGTTCACAGTATTCATCAGAATTATTGTTGAAAACTCCAGCTGCACACAGGCATTTTGGCAAAACAGAAGTGATACTTTTTTTTTTTTTTTTTATTGAGACCGAGTGTTGCTCTGTCGCCCAGGCTGGAGTGCAATGGCGCAATCTCAGCTCACTGCAACCTCCGCCTCCCAGGTTCAAGTGATTCTCCTGCCTCAGCCTCTTGAGTAGCTGGGACTACAGACGCCCACCACCATGCCTGGCTAATTTTTGTGTTTTTAGTAGAGACGGGGTTTCGCCATGTTGGCCAGACTGGTCTTGAACCAGTCTGGTGATCCACCCAACTCGGCCTCCCAAAGTGCTAGGATTACAGGCGTGAGCCACCACGCCTGCCCAGAAGTGATACTCTTTAATTTCACACAAAATTGAACGTTAGAGCAATAGCTCCGATGTTTCTTCTCATGAAAGCCAGAAGAAAACCATGGGGCAGGCCGGTGAGGGGACAGGAGAGGTCTGCAGGGTGCTCCTCACCCAGAACACGTCTGGACTCAGGCTTCTGCTCATCCAATGGGTATGATCTGGAATTGGTCAGAAAGAAACACTTCTGCCTGGAGGACACTTCTCATGACAAACCTCTGGGCACCCTGGATTGAGATGCTCTCTTCCAAGGCCCTTTTCAACTCAGGCTGGTATTGCTGGATGTACAGGTGTGGAGAACAACAGCAATGGGGACCTTTCTCTCAGTATAATGATCAGCCCATGGCTTCTCCTGAAGGAGCAACTTTTCGAGGATTAAAGGGGTTATGATTTGGAAATGTATTGCTTCCTTTCCTCTTTCTGCCCTATAAACTCACTCCTTTAGTGATGTCTATGAATACTTTTCTATTTGCCCCTCTGGCTTTTTTAAATGAAAACAGTTTCTACTCCTTCCTTCCCTCCCACACACACTTTCTCACGAGCAGATACATACTTACATGAAACTCTCTGACCTCTTGTGGATCCACATATTTTGGGCATGTACATGAAGCCATTTATAGGGGTTAATCCATGAATCATAGACAGAAGATTCTCATTAGGAATGGGCAGTGGCCTCTTTAGGCTTGCATAGTGCTTAACAGTATTAGAAGGTAGAAAACTCAACATTTCATGGGAGGCTTATAGGGTCACAGCAGACGTTGCATTTTAAAATTAAAAACTCAGATATTGTATTAAGCCCAAGGGGCAATAATCAGAAATGATGGCAGCACTTTGTTCAGGGCCTGGCATCTAGTAAGTTGTCAAAAACATTTACTGAGAAAGTGAATTACACTCTCCTCCTTCCCTTACCCCTTAGGTTTTCAAGATAAAAAGTTACAAAACAGAGCTTTAGGGAAAATCAATTTTATTTCAGGATAAATAGCAAGTATTTCTGGAATGCTAAAAGGTGAAACAAATTTTATTTTTATTTCTCTTTTTAAAAAGTCAATTTTTGGCCAGGTGCAATGGCCCACGCCTATAATCCCAGCACTTTGGGAGGCCGAAGCGGGTGGATCACAAGGTCAAGAGTTTGAAACCAGCCTGGTCAACATGGTGAAACCCCATCTCTACTAAAAATACAAAAATTAGCCAGGCATAGTGGTGCGTAACTGTAATCCCAGCTATTCGGGAGGCTGAGGCAGGAGAATCGCTTGAACCCAGGAGGTGGAGCTTGCAGTGAGCCAAGATCACGCCACTGCACTCCAGCCTGGTGACAGAGCGAGACTCCGTCTCAAAAACAAACAAACAAATAAAAAGTCCATTTTTATTTCAGATTTGGGAGGTGCATGTGCAGGTTTGTTACAAGGGCATATTGCATGATGCTGAGGTTTCAGCTTCTGTTGATCCCATCACACCAGACAGTGAACATGGTACCCAATAGGAAGTTTTTCAGCCCTTGCCCCCATCTCTCCCTCCCTCCTTTTACAGTCCCTGGTGTCTTGTTCTCATCTTTATGTTCATGTGTACCCAATATTTAGCTTCTGCTTATAAGTGAGCACATGTGATATTTGGTTTTCTGTGAAACAATTTTTAAATTTCTCTGCAGTTAAACTCCAATAGGGCTATGGAAAATTTCATGCAGATTTGCTGTGTTTCAGTGAATGAAGTTTTGTCTTTGGTGTAAAATCGGCTCCCTTGATTGAGCCCGTGTTAGGGGGCTGCTGTTTGTTTTCAGCAGCACACACAAAGCCCTCAGGGCCTGGGCACTCACTTCATTGCTGAGAGTCTTAGACTTTCCCTCTTGGTCTCAAATTAGTTTTACTGAAACCCTATCTTTATGTGGGTCAGGGCTTCCGTCTTCCTTAAAAACTTTTTTTTTCCTTTAAAAACAAAAACACACCCTCCCATTTCCAGAAATTCCTGCACTTCTTATTTCCTGTTGGCTTATTTAGGGGCATTTTTTGCTAATGAAGTTTCGAGAGGATTTCTTGAAACAAAGTTATGTAACTTTGCTGATTTCAAACTGTCTTTTTTGCTAAATTCTTAACTGTTGAGTCTCTCTGTTTAGAACAGAGGCTTCTTCTTAACTACCGATGGTCATAACAGTGAAACTAGATCTCAGTTTTGAAGAATGTCAGTGCATTATGCATTTTTTTTCCTTGTCTGATCCCAGACAAAACGATCCTCTTCTTTAAAATGGCTGTTTCAGCCTCCTATTTTAACCCTGCCAATCAGACTCCAAGACATAGACCCATGGGCTTGTTTCTGGGCTCCCTCCTGGGATATCCTGTTAAGAAAAGTACCTCGTGCCTCTAGCCAGGACTGCAGGTTCCGGTCCCAAGATTTTTTCTTTTTTCTTTTCTTTCTTTCTTTCTTTTTTTCTTTTTGAGACAAGTTTGTTCTCTGTCACCCGGGCTGGAGTGCAGTGGCATGAACCTCGAACTCCTGGGCTCAAACAATCATTTTCCCTCAGCTTCTGGGTAGCTGGGACTACAGGCACACGCCACCACACCCTACTAATTTATTTTATTTTCTTCTTCTTTTTTTAAAGTAGAGGCAGGGTCTTGCTGTGTTGCTCAGGCTGGTCCCGAACCCTTGGCCTCAAGCAATCACCCTACCTTGGCCTCCCAAAGTGCTGGGATTGCAGGCGTGAGCCACTGTGCCCAGCCTCCAGTCCCAATTCTGTCTTGGTTTCCCCATCTGCAAAGGAAGGATTCTGTAGTGGATGTTTTTATGCTTCTTTCAATCTCAGGCTCTGATTTGTTCTGGCATCTAAATGGATGCCAGCTATTCCACTTTCAAAAACCTCAGAGAAGAAAATTCTAGAGTCCATGGTTTCTTTTCTTTAATTTTTATGCCTAATAACTCTGTAAAAATTTCTTTCTCCCATCGCATAAATCCTTTCCCATTCAATCAAATGTCCTTGAAGCAGAAACACATGCCTACTTCTGCAGCCACACAGATAGTTGGCCTTTGCACACTGGTTGATGTAGGGTTTTGCACCTCTTCTTCATAAATGTTGGCTACCATAATTATTCAAATGTTCCCAGAATAAAGATTATAGGTATAATGGCATGGTGCAAGGAGGCTGGGCTTCAGCTGGGGCAGCCGGCCCCTCACTTTCAGGGTGATCTTGGCTCTCTGAGTTTCCTTTTCCCCAGAGGTAAGGTTGGGGGGACCTGCCCTCCTGGGCCGCAGGGCTGTCGTGAGGATGAACTGAGATGCACCAGAAGAGTGGCTGTCTTTACAATATGTGATTATGTTGCATCCTGTCACCTGCTGGCCCAAGGACAGGGATTTAATTGTGTACTGAGACCCTTTGGGAAGTGCTTTTAGATCCCTATGGAATCCTTGGTGGAATGCGATGGGCTATAAATACAAGAAGAAAATAGGTAGAGTGAAAATAGAGACTTCTGGAGAATCTGGCTTCCTGTGACTCCACTGGGGTGCTGGGCGGGAGCGCTTTTTCAGAGCATGGAGACTTTCCTTGTACCTCCCCTCATTCCCTCATTCCCCTATTCCCCAGGGTTTAAAAAAAAAAAAAAAAAAAAAGAACTTTCCCCGAACTTTCCCATTCCTCTGCCCTGGCTGCTAATGCTGAAATTCCATCTTGTGTTTGTTGTCACCCGCAGGTCTGTTTCCATGGTTACCCAAATTCCAGGCACTGGCCCCAGGCCCACCACAACGCATCCCTCAAAGTCTCTTTGGCAGAGGAAAAGCATTTCTCCTTGCTGCGGCAAGTCAGAGCCAGAATCTCGGGTTCTCCTGCTCCAAAGCCCCCACTACACCCTCATTCGCGTGTGATTCATGCGTTTAGGTGGTTCTGCTCAGCGTCGTTTTTTGAGTTGGGGAGCGGTGAGTAAGCACAATATAAGTTTCCTTCATTTCTCTTCTCCTTGTTTGAGCTAAGGAATTACTTTCTTGTACCAAACATTACACCCTTGGAAAACACTCCAGATGGTTCTCATTAAAATTCCAATTCCTTTTTTTGCAATTCATTTTTCCCCATTCTCCTCAAACTACTATCTCAAAAATAAACACCAGGCTGAGGAGCAAGTGAGGGGTCTGTGAATAGCAGCTCCAGTGAATGGAATCTTTCAGAGACCCCTGGTGTGGCCCTGAAGGCGCCTGCAGCTTCTCTTCTTGCCAAGGGTCACCTGGCCCTTCATAGGGAGGCCAGGGGTAGCAGCCCTGTGGCATCCTCACCAGGGAGAGTCCAAACACACATGGGGGGCATGTGCATAGGGATGCACATGAACACATAGGGATGCCGAGTGCAGCAGCCCCATGCACTGTCACCAGGGAGCGTCCAAACACACGTGGGGGGCATGTTCGATGGCAAAGGTGCCCTAAGGGGGCCATGGGCTCTGCTGCCTCTGCAGGAAGAGGGGCAGAAGGCCAGCTAGGCCTCTGTTCCCCAACAGGCTGGGCCCAGACCATGCTTTGCAGAGGGGCTGTCCACCTTCTTTAGTATACAGCGAGGCCTCTGCAGATTTCTAAAGACACTGGCCACAGGAGCGAGGTGATGCTTACTCTAAGAAGCGGACAAGGAGAGACTGCCAATGCCTTTTGGCCATAATTGCAGCTGAGCAAGTCACAGGCTTTGCTCCCACATCTGGAAAAATCTGCATGCACAGGAAAAGTATGTGTGTGTCCAGTGATGTGTATTTGATATGTTTTTATTTTCAACTTTATGTTATGAAAAAATTTAAAAATACAGAAAAGTTGTAAGAATGGTACAATGAACAGCCATATCACTCCACCTAGATCCAACGAATGTTACATTTTGTCATATTTCCTTTCCCTCTCTCTCTTTCCAGATACACAGAGAGATAAATACATATCCTTTGCTTAGACATTTGAAAGTTAGGATCTTGTCCCTATAGCATTTTATAACCTAGTAATCTATGCATTAATGCAATCATATACTGCAGTCATGCACTGCATGACAATGTTTTGGTAAATGATAGACTGCATATACAATGGTGATCCCATAAGATTATAATACCAGGCCAGGTGTGGTGGCTCAAGCCTGTAATCCCAGCACTTTGGGAGGCCAAGGTGGGCTGATCACCTGAGGTCAGGAGTTTGAGACCAGCCTGGCCAACATGGTGAAACGCTGTGTCAACTAAAAAAAAATACAAAAATCTATTTTGCGCCTGTAATCCCAGCTGGTTGGGAGGTCGAGGCACAAGAATCGCTTGAACCCGGGAGGTGGAGATTGTAATGAGCTGAGATAGCACTGAGCTGAGATTGTACCACTGCACTCCAGCCTGGGTGACAGAGTGAGACTAAGTCTCCAAAAAAAAAAAATTATAATACCATATTTTTACTGTACCTTTTTATGTTTAGATATATTTAGGTACACAAGTAATTACCATTGTGCTACAATTGCCTACAGTATTCAGTACAGTAACATGCCATGCAGGTTTGTAGCCTGGGAGTAAGAGGCTATCCCATAGAGCCTAGGTGTGTAGTAGGCTCTAGCACCTGGGTTTATATAACTGTGCTGTGTGATGTTTGCACAACAACAAAATCACCTAATAATGCAAATACATTTCTCAGAGCATATCCCTGTGATTAAGTGACACATGACTGTATATGAATATATTCTTATTGTAAAATATTCAAACATCCGAATAGTACAGACACATAGAGTATAAGCAAAACCCAGGCATGAGCCCCTCCTCATCTCACCTTCCCCACTCCCCAGGGTTGCTTGGCTTGTGTCTCTCCTGAACTGTGAGTTTATTTAGACATACATGTGTTTACACAGAAATATATATTTTTGTGACATGTGTTTTTAAACATAAATGATATAATACTATGCGTGCTGTTTTGCAGCTTATTTTTCACTTGGAAATGTGTCTGGGATCTTTCCATATTAGTATTTGGAGCTCTGCCTCATTCTTTGACTACTGCAGAACATGCCAAAGCATGGTTGTATAATAATTTCTTAAATATTCCCTCTTGATGGGCATTTCAGCTACTTAGTATTATTTTTCCATTACTCACAATGATGCATTTAACATCCTTGAGAAATGTTGCCTTAAGGACATGTACCAATATGTCTCTTTGACAGATACCTAGAGGTGGGATTGCTGGGTTGGATGAGATGCACATTTTATACTTGGATAGATACTGCCAAATTGCCTTCAAAATGGTTCTCCAGGCTGAGCACGGTGGCTCATGCCTGTAATCCCAGCACTTTGGGAGATCGAGGCAGGTGGGTCACTTGAGCCCAGGAGTTTGAGACCAGCCTGGGCAACATAGGGAAACTCTTCCTTTACTAAAAATACAAAAAAAGGTTAGTCCGGCTTGGTGGCTTTTGCCTGTAGTCCCAGCTACTTGGAAGGCTGAGGTGGGAGGATCGCTTGAACCCGGGTAGTCAAGGGTGCAGTGAGCTGTGATTGCACCACTGCACTCCAGCCTGGGTGACAGAGCAAGACCCTGTCTCAAAAAAAAAAAAAAAAAAAAGGCTTTCTGAGACAGCCCATTTCCCATTTCCCCACATCCTCACCAATGTTGAATTTTGTCAGTCTTTTTAAGTGTTGACTTTGTAATGAATGAGAAATAATATAGCATTGCTGGTTTAGTTTGAATTTCTTTGATTATTAGTGAGGTGTCAGAGTTCAGCTAGAAATGACAGAAGCCACTCCCTTAGTTTATGTAGAAAGTGATTTAATATAGGGAATTGAGTGTTTAACATTTTGTCAGATAAGGTAGAATAGCAAGTTCAGGATGAGCTTCGAGGACTGATTCCCAGAACTCCAGCTCAGAACGGACCCACCAAGGGAGCTTTCCCTTCCCTCATGACCTGGAAGCTGGGGATTTGGGAAGCTGGGCCCCCAACTGCTGGCTCGGCAATCAGAAACCAGGAAGCCTCAGCCATATCTGGTCTCCAGAACCATACTGCCTCAGCTGTGTGGTAGATGCTCTACGTCCTGGCCACAACGCCCACGAAGCTGGAGACTGGATCTAGACACTGAGGTCTTTGCTGTTGTTAATGCAGGGAAGAAACCAAAAACAAACAAAAAAAAAACCAAAATAACCCCAATCAAAACACAAAAAACAAGGACCTTCTCAACTCTGTCTGCCAGTGGAGTTAGTAGGTCTCTTGAGGGTACAACCAATCAAGAGAAACCAGGTCACAGAGAAACCAGCTCAGCTCTTAGGGAGCCAGGAAGCTGCAGGCTGTGGCTTTCCAGGCTCCAGCATGCAGTGAGGCAAGCTGCAAGGCGGCAGCATGGGAAGTAGGGAAAGTCAGTCTGAAATATCCGCCATCATCATGTTTTCAGGTCTTCCATCTTTTTTCTATGACTCGCCTGATGGTACTCACTGCCTATTTTTCTATTGGGGTTATATTTTCTTACTAATTTATAGAAGTTTTATGGGTTATCTGGAACCTTTTTTTTGTCTTTTATACGTTTTATGAATACCTTCTATTCTTTTAAATTTATATTTTTTGTCATGTAGAAATTTTGTTAATCTATTTTTGTACTTTCTGCTTCCTGGCTTTTGTAAATTACTTAAGAAGGCTTTTCCTACATCAAATATCCTAAAGTATTCAACTACATTTCCTTCTAACACCTTTAACAATTTTTTCATGTTTAATTCTTGAAACCCTAACATGGGTTGTTGTTTTTTCCTAAATGGAAAACCATTGTCTCAGCATAATTTGTTGAATAATTTGTCTTTCAAATTATTAAATATTTTATAAATTAAATTTAAAAAATTTAAAGGAGAATTTTAAAAAATATAGAATGAACTCTTTCTGCTTTCTGAAGCAAAGCCAGGATGAAGCTCTAAAAAATAAACTTGTTATCACTTCATATTTTGGCTTCATAACAGGCTCAAAAATTAGAGGTTTAATATTCCCTAAAGTATAGATATGACAAGATTATTCCCCTAATTACAAGCCTTGATTGGGCCCCCTTTTCCTGAAGACCAAAGTTCAATCTCCGTAGACTAGTCCTCTGTCTGCTCAGCACTGCTCCCCGCCCCATCATGGGCCTTTGCAATCTTACTTCCCTGCTCCTTTGCCTAGAAGGGAGATCACATCAACTGAACCGGCCGACAAAGCAGAAAACTTGTAAAGATATCTATGTCAGCAATTTTTTAAAATGACATTGTAATAATCTATTTATGATGCTTCTCTCACTTACTGGTATTTCTCAATGTGGTCACTATCAGAGTTTTGGATAGAACAATTCTTCTTTGCAGTATATTTACTAACCCCAACATCTCACTAAATGTAGCAGTATTCTCTGGTACCTCCCCCACCATCCCAGACATTGTGACAACCAAAAAAAAAAAAAAAAAGTTCCCATATGTTTCCAAACACACCAGCCCTACCCTTAGTTGAAAAGAAGAGAGAGAGGGAGAAAGAAAGTCAGAAATGACAGAATGTCATCACCATAAGGTGCTGTCCTAATTCATCTTCTAATCTCCAGATGTTCAAATCTGGCCTTTGTTTCAAAAGGCTACCTTCTCCACAAAGCTTTCCTAAATTCCCTCAACTGCAGGAGATCTATTTCTTCTCTGACTCCCCTCTTCCATGGTACTACCACCATCCATTCATCCATCCATTAATTCATCCATCTCTTTGCCTACTTGCACCACTGCACTATCTATCTAGTAAGTATTTCTTTAGCATTTATTGTGTACTAGGCACACTGACCACTTTCTTCTTATATTTTGGCTTTTTATATGATAAGTGTCTTATCTGGTCTAACACAGTGTAACCTCAGGCACAATTCACGTCTGACTTACGTATGCTTCTCTCAGGGTGCCTTGCACAGAGCTGATGCTCACTGCTGAGTATTAGAGGAATGAAAAGTTATTGATTGCAGACATAAGTTTTAACATACATTTCAAATATTTATTCAAAGGCAGTGAGAGTAGTTTTATTTATTTTTATTTTTATTTATTTATTTTTTTAAATAATGCTTTTCTGGCTGGGCGTGGTGGCTCACTCCCATAATCTCAGCACTTTGGGAGGCCAAGGCAGGCAGATCACCTGAGGTCAGCAGTTTGAGACCAGCCTGGCCAACATGGCAAAACCCCGTCTCTACTAAAAATACAAAAATTATCCGTGAGTGGTGGCATGTGCCTGTAATCCTAGCTACTCGGGAGGCTGAGACAGGAGAATTGCTTGAACCTGGGAGTCGGAGGTTGCAGTAAGCTGAGATCATGCCACTGCACCAGCCTGGGTGACAGAGCAAGACTCTGTCTCAAAAAAAAAAAAAATGCTTTTCTGACTCAAAATATCAGCATTATTACTTGAAAAAATTATCCACAATCTCATTGCCTTTTCAGGAGGATATAAAGTAAGGTGGGACAATTTCCTTCCTCACCAGTTTAATCTTGTCCCTAGAAGTAACGACTGCCAATGGTTTCTTTTCTTCCAGACTTTATAAAATATGTTTATGCATATTCACATACAGATATGCCCATATGTACATTTATTAGGTTTAAATTAGCACATATATTAAAGCGCTACATGAAACATGAATTTAAGAATGAAATTACACAATTATGAAGTAAACAAATCATGTTTAACTTAAATGTGTATAGTTCTTTATAACTGCAAAACAGTTTTAAGTATGTTTTGACTCTCCAGCCCTAGGAAGTAGGCTCAGTGAAGTTAACAATCAGGCTCCTGGTCACAGAGTCAGCAACTGTGGAGCCAGAACCTGAACCCGGGTCTTCTGTCTCCTAATTCATGGCTGTTTCCACTGTGTAAAATGATCCCTAAGAATTATCTGCAAGTTATTATTTATATAATAAAATTATTCTTTGCTTGACTTCAGAGTAGCAATGTAAACTTTTTTGAAATACTTATTGTATTACATTGAAAACAATGGCTAATATTTACCAAGTGCTACCATGTGCCAGAAACTTTTCTAAGCACTTTACTTGCATTGTCTCATTTACTCCTTCAAGAAGCCTTTCATGTAAGCAGTATTATCAACCGCATTTTCAATGAGGAAACTGGGGTTCAGAAAGGCAGATAACCTGCTTGGAGATGGACTGGTGTGTTGCTTGGCTGGGTTTTGAACCTAGGTCTTTCTTGCCTCAAAGGTGTGTCCTCTTAGCCATTGTACTTTGAGGCAGCCTACATACATTTTACTCACATATAATTTTAAGTAAATAACTATTATGTAAAACAGAATGAGATATGAATTTGATGTAAGTTCTACTTTAGAGATAATTGCAATTTGAATGACATAAGAAAACAAGTCCAATGTATAGACTAGGATGTTTAGATAAATGCTTGAATAAGAGCAAGGGAGAGGGCCGGGTGCAGTGGCTCATGCCTGTAATCCCAGCAGTTTGGGAGGCCGAGGCGGGCGGATCATGAGGTCAGGAGACCATCATGGCTAACACAGTGAAACCCCATCTCTACTAAAAACAGAAAAAAAAAAAATTAGCCAGGCATGGTGGCGAGCGCCTGTAGTCCCAGCTACTCCGGAGGCTGAGGCAGGAGAATGGCATGAACTTGGGAGGTGGAGCTTGCAGTGAGCTGAGATTGTGCCACTGCACACTCCAGCCTGGGGACAGAGCGAGACTCCATCTCAAAAAAAATAAAATAAAATAAATAAATAAATAAATAAAAGAGCAAGGGAGAAAACACAGTAAGCAAGAGAGAAATAGGAACAAACATGGAGATTGATTGATTGAAAGAGAGAGCCTGGATGAAAGAGGCAGGCAGCAGAGTCAATGCAAGGGAGAGGGACTAGAGCTCCAGCCCTCTCCACTTCTGCCTCCAGCCCTCTCCACTTCTGCCTCGAGTCCATCTGAGACTCTACAAGCCAGCCTGGGACTCATTTTTCTTACACTCCTGGAGCCCTTGCTGTATGATGCGTGTATGTCTGGACTAAGATCTCAGACTGAAAAATAGGCACCTAATCTCCAGGCCCAGAGGGGAGCAGTAGGGTAAGTGGGGAGAATATCCTTAACATCTGCCCATCCCTGAGAGTAGGGGCTGGGAGGCGAGAGTGGTGACAATGAGGCCAGGAAGAAGAGCCTCATCAGGCAGACCCATGCCTCCTGTCTGTCTGGGCTGAGTAAAGGGAGGCTGCATCAGGTCTTAGTCATTGACAGGTGTCAGGCATCCTCACTGGCCAAGAGGCAGGGATGCATCCACCTCACTCTCACCAGAAGCCCTGCGCCATTAGACTGTGTGCCACTTCAAGTGAGTACCACTCTGTGGGCATGGTGGAGGGGAAGAGGGGAACTGCTGGAGACTAAGATGACAGGTGGGGAGGAAGCACGGGCAGAGATGCCAAGAAGGTAGAAGAGATCATGCATGGGCAGAGGAAAACCCCTTTTGCCTTTGGGTGGTGGCAGCACGATAAAGGGGATCTGAGTCACAGGGAAGGCGTGGAATAACTGGGATGGGTCTGTACGTCAACCTCTCCCCTACTTCCTTTGGAGTCATTTGGTTGTTTTCAAATTCTCCACCCTTTGCCTGTTCCCCCCACCCACCCCCATCAAATCCGGTTTGTGTGTGGTGTGCGTGTGTTTGTATACACACACAGTTGGCTCTTGGTAAGAATAATATTAGCTGAAAACAGGAAATTGCAATTATCTGACTATTTTTGATGTATAAAAACAGCTTTTTCATATGGTTCAACCCAGTTGGTAAACTAAAATAAAAATCTAGGTGGAAATCCTTATAGTAATGAGCAGAACTAATGAAGGAATGGGGTAACCACTGGTCCCAGCTCTGTAGTTGTGTTTCTCACACCTGCAGCACTCAAGAGGCTCGATTCTGCAACAGCTGCATTGCTGTGACCAGGGTGACAGAGTGCAAGTTCATATAGTAGTTGGCTAAGAGCCAGATGAAATTTAGGCAGGGACATGCCCTGAGATTGGGTGATAACCTCACCTCAAGTTCTGTACCTCTCCTTCCTCCCATGGTCAGTGAGGCTAGTTTTCAGGAGGCAAAAAAGACAGAGGGTTCAGTTGAGCTGAGGAACCGATTTCAGCAACTGCCTAGGAGATCATTCGAGGACCTGAACCCCTGTCAGGACTCTGGCAAGCCCGGGGGTCTGACCCAGCATTCTCCCTGTCGCTCCTCCTGGCCCTGGTTGCTTTTCTGTCACCCCAAAGGCCAACACCCACAGTCCCTTGAATTCTCACTTCTAAGGTGAGGGCATTTGCTGGGTTTAGTCACTGTCCAGCATGGAACCCTGATGGATACCATAGATTCAAGGATCAGCTACCCAATTTATGGGGCCAAGTACCAAATGAAAATGTGGGTTCCTTGTTAAAAAATTATTAACACTTTCAAGACAGCAAAAGCGGAGCATTATACCAAATGCAGGCCCTTTTGAGTGCAGGCCCAGGGCAACTGCCTTGCTTGCACGCCTGAGCAGCTAGCTGGTCCAGGCTGGTTCCGGTGCAGAGGCCAGCACCATCCATCATCTGGGCCAGGAAGGCCACAAGGTATGAAGTCCCTTTAGGAGACCACCCAGCTGCCTTTTCAGGCCTGCCACTACCCAGTCTTTCCTCGAGAGCTCACTGATGGCGTATGGCACAGTGAGAGTGAGAAACTGGTGAACAAATATAACTGTGGGTAAAGCGGGGCCAAATCAAGAAAGGAAGCTTTGAAAAACAGTCTTTTCATGGAATTAACCTAAATGCCCACCAATGGCAGACTGAATAAAGAAAATGTGGTACATATACACCATGGAATGCTATGTAGCCATTAAAAAGGAGATCAGGTCCTTTGCAGGAATGTGGATGGAGCTGAAGGCCATTATCCTTAGCAAACTAACGAAGAAACAGAAAGCCAACACTGCATGTTTTCATAAGTGGGGGCTAAATAATGAGAACCAATAGGCACAAACTGGGGAAAAGCAGACACTGCGGCCTACTTGAGGGAGGAGGGTGAAGGAGGGAGGGGATCAGGAGAAATAACTACTGGGTACTAGGCTTAGTACCTGAGTGATGAAATGATCTGTATACCAAACTCCTGTGACAACAGTGTCCCTGTATTAACAAATCTGTACATGAATAAGAGTTTTTGTTTTGTTTTTTTTTTTTTTAAAAAGAAAAACAGTCTTTCTAGAGCCTAATGGATTATTCCTGGATGATGCCTAAATTATCCAAACGATTTCATGCAAAGATCTGGGAAACAGCTTAATGAAAGAGCCCCAGGCCTGACTATAAGTTGGGGACACAGGTGGGCAAAATTCCTGGTTCCAGACCTCTTTTTCTTTAACCAAAAGTTCTGAACTGCCCTCAACTTTTGGGTGCCCTCACTTTGCCCCCGACAAAGCATGAGTGGGGAGCCCACTAGGTGAGCTGCTCAGTCCAAGCCTGGCTGGCCAGAATCCCAGGAAGGCTGTGCTTTCCTCACATAACCGCTAGCTAGCACTTTGGGCAGCCCAGGTATGCAGAATCACTTTCAAGCGAAAGATCACACGTATTGAGAATCTTCAGCGTTCAGAGCTAACAATCAGCCAGTGATTCAAACTTTCTAAAAGGAATTGAGCGCCCCCTGCTGGGTATTGTAGCATTGACATTAAACTATCCTCTCAAATGCATCAAAATCTGAAACTACAGAGATTTAATCTCGTATAAAATCCAGTGACAACAGGACTCATGGTGACAACATTATATATGAGTTTGATAAAAGGTTGAATCTTTAAATGTTTCATGACTCCCATGCTCCTATTAAAAATGCTTCTAGTTCTTTATCTCAATTTTAGAAACAAGGTACACACTTTAAAGTTCTAAGTATTCTGGTAGGATTTTCTTCCCATGTCACAGAAAGTTTTACAGGAAAGGTAACATGGTCCTGGGAGAGGACATGGGTTTTGGGATCAGACAACCTAGGCTGGAATCCATTTACTATTTGAATGACTTGGAATAAGTCTTTTTTTTTTTTTTTTGACGGAGTCTCACTCTGTCGTCCAGGCTGGAGTGCAGTGGCACCGTGTCAGCTCACTACAACCTCTGTTTCCTGGGTTCACATAATTCTCCTGCCTCAGCCTCCCAAATAGCTGGGATTACAGGCGCCCACCACCATGCCCGGCTAGTTTTTTGTTTGTTTGTTTTTGTTTTTAATATATTCTTAGTAGAGACGGGGTTTCATCATGTTGGCAAGGCTGGTCTCAAACTCCTGACCTCAGGTGATCTGCCCGCCTCAGCCGCCCAAAATGCTGGGATTACAGGCGTGAGCCACCGTGTCCAGCCTGGAATAAGTCTTTCAATGTTAACTTGGAACAAATCATTTAAGTCACCATCTCCTGATCAATAAGGACAATGCTATCCACCTAAAAGGTGAATGTCAGGGCTGGAACTCATGTGTTTAAAGTGCATAGAAGTGCTTGATTAACCATCGTGTCATCGTTACGATACTATTACGATGTGAGTCTAAGTTGGGTTTCAAAGGATGAGCAGCCCCTGGACTCAGACCTTGTTTCCAGAGACTAGGGGCTGTAACTTTAGTCCTGTGTCTAGCTCAGAGATCTAACCCCTGGGTCATGAGGGCAGTGCTCACACTGGGCAAGTCTGGACAATTCCACCTCGAACAAATATTTCAAGTCCTTCTACTTTTACCTCTATCTTGCCAATCCAAACTACCATCATTTCTCACTTGAGCCAAAGCAAAGCTCTTCTAATTTTTCTTTCCACTTCTATTCTTATCTCCAAAGTGATATATACATATATATATATATTTAAATCCAATCTGATCAGGCCACTCTCTCTAGTTAGAACCTTTCAATGACTTAGAAAAACTTTTTTTAGCCAGACACCTGCCTACCCACCTTGCTTATAATGCCAGTCCTACCTCCTGGCTTTATGCAGTTAGCTCTCTCTGTAAGCAATCCTCATCTCCCAATTCTTTCCCTTATTACTACTACTCATCCTTTGGGTGTTGGGTCACAAGCTCAAGGAGGGTACAAGAGATAGCACATTTCTTTTTTTCAAAGCAAATTAAGTCCATTTGGCCTCACTCTGCTGCACTGCAAGCAGAAATTAATTCTGTGGTCCCTGGGGTGTCCTTTCCCCTTCTTAGGGTCTTGCAAGCATTTAGGACACTCATGAATGACCTGGAAAAATGGGTAAAGACCTCTACTCTTCAGTCTATCTGGGTCGTTGCTATTATCTTCACTGCCAAGTCTGAGGGGGCCCTTGTAGGAGGGGGTTCCAAGCTTGGAGGTCTTTGCCTTTTCTGGAAGACTCAGTGTTGAGGTGCAGGTTTCCTCTGGAGCACCCAACAAACCATGAAACTCTGAAGTTCACCATCTCACTGTGGTACTGAGTGGAACACAGCTTTCCACTACTCCTAAGAGGTTCCTGTCTGCAGACCCTCTTCTCTCCCACCCTCCCCTGCTTCCCAAACAAGGACTAGGGTTATTATTAAGCATGTCCGCTTCCTGATGTGCACGGGAAGCACACAGGACCTGGTTACTTCCTTGGAGATTGGAAAAAAATTCAGAGAAAAAATTAGTATTTCAAATTATGTGCTATAAAAGCTGCTAATCACAAGGTCTCCCTTGGATTATTCAATATAAATCAGATCCCCTCCAGTCACATTCTCCTATACTGCAGCAGTACTGTTGGTACCCATTCCCCCAGCTACTGTGTATTGGCTGTCAAAGGCTCACAGCTGTGAGAAGAGATTTTAGTTATTCAGTGTTTCCAGAGTTTCAACAAGGGATACGGACACAAGCAGCCGAGGCTGCTTCTTACAGAGTGTCCTCTGGAGAGGCGTGTCACCTGGCAATGCCTGGGAGGTTATGCTGTCACTGGGGGATTGTGGGAGGGGCCAAGCCAATGACTGACCAATTCATACTCAGTACAAAGGCCTAACCCCTTGCCTCAAGGTGAGAAAACTCTTGGCATCGTCATGGGCCAGAAATCCCACTGGATCAGACTGAAGCTAGACTTCAGCTCAAACCACATCTTGGCTCAGCTTCTTTCCCTGCCCTATCCTGTTTACCTTACAGGACTCTTCTGAAAGCACCTCAATAAATCACTTGCACAAGAAATCTCTGCCTCAGGCTTGGCTTCTGGGAACCCAACCTAAGTCACATCTTTTATTTTTCCTTCCTAGCATACGCCCCAAATTGAAATCATGTATTTGTATGGCTAATGGTTTAATGCCTGTCTCCCCAACTAAAGGCTCCATGAAGGGAGAGGCCACACTTACTTTGTTCATTGCTATACTCCCAGTGCCAGGCATGGTGCCTCCCACAGAGAAAAGCAATATGCAGGCTCTAAACTGGAAAGCTGTCAGGAACCAATAGGCCACATAGCCTCTTGGCCTCCCTCTCCAGATACTTTCCTTTTTGGGTGTTTTGGTACAGACAATTGAAGAAAGCTACCCTGTAACAGCAACTTAGCATTTCTTGTGCCCATCATCCTCAAGCCAGTCCTAGACGGAGATTTCGAAGCCCTGGTTGACAAAATCTGACTAGCCCAAATTAGGTCACCTAATTCCTGATACAATGAGCTACAGTTCTGGCACCATAACACAAGTTACGAACTTGCCCAGAGGCTATTCCTGGGGGTGGCGGCAGTTCTCGGATGAGTGTCATAGACACAAACCAACAGCTGTCTTACAGATATCATATTCTGGTTCAGCAGAAATCAAGAATAGCTTTCATATTTTACTGGTCTACTAATATTCCAGGGAAAGGCTAGGCAGGATTCACATGAACATTTGTCAAGTTCTTAGATGTTAGTGTCTCAGAGATTACATACCACAAGTAAGCTGTAAAATCCTCATTTAACAAGAATGTGAAAGAACTGTGGCGTTCTAGGTATTTTAATTTTTTGAAAAGCTTTTTCTCTTGTATAAGTTTTTTTAATATTGTAAGTCTCTTTTCTATTAGGTTGTCTTTCTTTGCTTACTGAAGGGACTGGTGCCTTGGGGTCTTTATTCTGAAGATAAAAGATTTCTAGGCAGAACTACTGATGCAAAGAGAAGAAATCAGCCTGGATGTATCTGGATTATAGGATAGCTGCTAAAATCATGTTTGTGATTGAAAACCTAAAATAAGCTAATTTGTTTTTTCATGTACCTCTTCCTCCTAAAAGCTAAGTAAACAAAAAGACCCAGCATAAAAAGGATGAGAAGAGATTTTAGTTATTCAGTGTTTTCAGAGTTTCAACAAGGGATACAGATACAAGCAGCTTCTTACAGAGTTTACAATCTGGGGAGAGAACATGAAAGACACTGTTTAACAGGCAAATAATTCCAGGAATAAATATACATGAATGTGTTTTTCAAAATACAGGTTCTTATACAAATGTATAACTAAATACTGATTCCATAGTGGGGTGGTTGTAACTGAAAGGGCTTTGAGAAAAGGCTTTGAATAAAACTAGTCATCCACCTAGCCAAAGATCCTTTCCAGCAGCACAAAAGGAATTTGTAAGGAGAACAGAGATTAACTGTCAGATATCTTTCTAATCTGTAAATTTATCCAAAGTTTGAAAATACCATGAAGAATCTTAGGAATGCCAGTAACCAGGGAATGGGATATTTGCATATCACAACATCTACAGGCTAAATACACTCCGAATGCTTCTCAATGTGGGGAAGTATGAGAAGTTAATAATTCTCCTAGTGTCTGGCTTCCTTTTTCTTTGCCTTTCCCTCTCATACGTTCAATCACCTGTGTTACAGGACACACATAAGTAGTTGGAAGGTGTTAAACTTTGACAGCAAAGCAAAATCAGAGGTAGAGGCAAATGTTTAACCAATCATGTTCAAATATAAGCTACTCAATGAAGAGTTTTAGGTTTAAAGAGCGAAATATTCACCATTACTGAGAAATCTCAGTTTCTCATTCAATTTCGCATTGCACTTTGCTACCACAAACTAAATGGGTGTACATTTTTGAGTGCTGATTTATTACTCAAAGGTTTGAATTTGGAGACTGAAACAAACCATGCTTTATCTGTGTACTTTGAGAAAATCCATCCACAAGAAAGGAGCCAAGCGTCAGTTTCCAATGGGGGGAACATTCTCATGGAGGTACTGTAAGGCTAAGTCTGTCCACTTCATTTCTTGTTCTTTGACAGATTCTGTGGTGCCACCATTGTCTTGTTCAGGTTCAGGAAGCTCATTCTGAAAAGGTACAATAGAAATTCAGAACAGTAATATATTCTGCATCTTCTTGGAACTCAAGAACACTTAGAATTAAAGCTTGTGAGTTCCTAGGAACAGGCAACATAATTGATATGTGTATTCTAAAAAAGCTAAAATCATACACGTGAGGAAACTATCAGAAGTATCATTCAAACATGGCCCGGGCCTTCTTCAGTAGGGAATGATGGGCATTTTGACTCTGACATTTGTGAAGGAGGCACTGTGGCAGAAAGGTTAAGGGCAGAGGCTTTTGGAAGCCAACTAGGATCCAAGACCACAACTCTCCCATTTGCTGGGTTACTTGGGCAAGGTATGCAAACCCTTGGGGCCTTTGTTTCTTCCTTGGCAAATGGGAGAACAAAAGAGCCATCACCTCACAGGACTACTGTAAGGATTAGGTGAGGTAATTCAGATCAAGTGCTGAGCACTCTGTGGGGTATCCAGTGCTCAAGGAATATTTGCTATTATTATTAGCGGCTAGGAACACTGAGATGAGTGAATCCTAAATCTTCTTTAGCGGGAGCGTGCTTTAAAAGAATACTAGTTTGCTGGCATATTCCTTAGACACAAGAAATGTATCCAAAAAATTATCTTGGACCCAACATGTCTTTTTTTTTTGAGATGGAGTTTTGCTTTTGTTGCCCAGGTTAGAGAGCAATGGCGTGATCTCGGCTCACCACAACCTCTGCCTCCCGGGTTCAAGCGATTCTCCCGCCTCAGCCTCCCGAGTAGCTGGGATTACAGGCATGCACCACCATGCCCGGCTAATTTTGTATTTTTTTATTTTTTTTTAGTAGAGATGGGGTTTCTCTATGTTGGTCAGGCTGGTCTCGAACTCCCAACCTCAGGTGATCCACCCGCCTCAGCCTCCCAAAGTGCTGGGATTACAGGCGCGAGCCACCGCGCCTGGCCCAACATGTCTATATTATAATAAAAATGGAGGTAGGGCAGGAAACACTGAAAATGTAATTAATAGATAAGACCTCCCTCTAGTGGTGGAGCAGAGCAACAAAAAACACAACAAATGACCAATTCACACCCTACCAGCAATTTTCTTAAAATGGTAAGTCATGGGCCACACTTACTGTAGGATCTGGGATCATTTACTTGTATTTTAAGTTTAAATGTATTACTACTGAAACTCTGCTTTGTACCAGAGTTCACAGATACCAATATATTTCTTTTCAATTATCTGTGTTTTGTTTTATGGTTAGCAAACTGTTATGCGATATCCAGACTTAAAATTTTCCACTGGATTCTAATTTGTAGTATGTGAATATGTTTTCCCCTCTAAAATTATGCTCAATATATATTAAATGATATTTACTTATCTATATTTGAATCACATACATCTTGTTCTACAAGACAGATTCAAACATACTTGAACAGATTGAGAAGAGCTATCATTTATTGTAACGCAATAATATATTATCTTAAACTTAAAAAGAAAGTTCAGTCCTAATAATTACTTATAGATGACAAAGAATAAATAGGTCCTTGGTTAATGAATTCTTTAATTCAGAAGCAGACAACGTTGCTTAATTTCATCCTATCTGTGGTATGCTTTCTAAAATAATGTGTCTTTCATTTGGTATCTACTGTCCCTTGCAATACATGCCAACACATAAAATGGCATATATGCCTGGAAAACAAAAACAAAAGTATCATAAACCCAGCCACCCATTATGGTGTACTGTAAAATGCCCTTAGTTCTTTGCAGCTACTCTTATCAAAAGGTGAAACTGATTTCCCCAATCTTGGATTTGGACTGGCCCTGTGAGTTGTTTTGGCCAACAGAATGAAGCTGTCATGCCAGTGGGCCAGTTCTTGGCCTAAGCTCCAAGAAGCTCTGCCGTTTCCTCTCAGGTTGCTCTTGGAACCCTGAGATTGAGAAGTCTGGGCTAGCCTGCTGGATACCAGAGACCATGGCATAGTCACCCCATCACCCAGCAGACAGCTTGTTAACTGCCAGACATGTGAGACAGTCCTAGATTACCCAGCCTCCAGAGTCTGTTGGCTGACTGCACAACACAGGCAAGCCTGGCAGGGATCAGCTGAGCTGGTGCAGACTAGAAGTCCCTCCCAGCTGAGCTACAAAATCATGAAATAAACAGTTGCTCTTTTAAGTCACTAAGCTTTGGGGTGACTTGTTATGCAGCAAAACCTAACTGGCATACACATTGCCTTAGAATCGCAAGACAAGCGAAAGGTGTGGATTAGCAGCAGGGCCAAGCCAACTTCGCCTGGAAGTCAGCAGGGAAACCTCCTTCCACCCCTGCCACCCAAATGTTCTCCAATCTGAGCCATAAACTTCTCCAGAAATGGACGTCTCCTTTATTTTCTTGACTTTGTTTAGGCCCTCCTCCCTTGCCTAGACCACAACAGCTTGCCAATTGGTCTCACTTGCCCCTATCTCCATGTCACACCATCTCTAACAATGCTGGCTAAACTGATTTTCCAAAAGCCAAATCTGAGCATAGCAGTCTTGCTTTTAAGACCATTCATTCCTGGATCTCCTGAGGATGAGGTCTAAGTGTGATATCAAATACCACTCTCAATCTGATCCAAGCCCAACTTTTCAGCCTACTTATGTGACAAATGTATTCTTCATCCACAGTGAATGACTCACCATGTCCCAAAGCCTTTCAAAACTCTGGGCCTTTACACATCTGTCCCCTCTGCTGCAATACCCTTGTCTACCTCCACTAAACTTCTGGTCCTTCCTTATGACCCAGCTTAAACATGACATTCTCTCAGAAGCCTTTCTGATGCCCACCAGGCAATCAGCCACTTCGTATATGATGTGGCTGTTTATGCCCCCACCTAGAATATTTATTATCACAATTACTTATCTATAAGTGTTGCCTTTCTAGACCCCTCAGGAGGAGGAACTGTATCTTATGTTCACATAGTCTTATGGCACACAGTAGGCTTCAAAAAATGCTTGTCAAATGAATGAATGAACAGAAGTTCACAAGACAGGATTTGGAACTTCACAGACCTAGGTATATGTTATATGAAGCCCTACTTACCTGCTACCAGACTTTGGGCAAGTTGCCCTTTCTGATCCTATTCTTTTCCTATAAAATGGGAATAACAGCACCTCCCTCACAGGGTTGTTTAAGAATTAGAGATAATGTATATTTCCAACCTCAGTCCATGGCATAAAACTGGTATTCAATAAATGACATCTATAATTCTTATTATGCTCTCTCTTTTGACTATTTTCCTAAGCTTGAACTAAGCTATGACTTATTTGATATGTATATTATTCATTGAACATATTACTATCTCTTATTCGTAAATGAAAATACAGATGAACTATTTTATTTCTTTGCAAACAGCAACAGCAGATATTCTAACTATAAATTATATTTTATTCAATACTAACTACTCTTCTCAGGGCAGCTGGCATGCTTTAAAGAAAAACAGTCCTGTTTTCCCTTTTTTAGGCCTCTATGACATAAATAGGATTTTAAACAAACATTTATATAAGCAAAACTTTTGGATCACTTATTACATGAGGTTTAACAAACTCCCTGCAGCAGAGTTTTCCAAAGATGGGGAAGAAAAGAGTATTCCAGAAGGCCACTGGCCTAAACGCAAAAGAATACCCAGGTATCTTCTGAATATTTTCCAGGGAACCTAAGATAGGTGTATGCTCCAAGAATGTAAGTTTCTAAAAATGCTGAAAGACTGATGAGCCACAGGCAGGGAAGTAAGAAACAGAGCTCATATGCTGCTGCTTCTTGTTCTTCCCCATCTTGCGCATTAAACTCTCATTATTTGGTTTCTCTGGTTTTCGTGTGGTGGACAGAACATGGCTCAGAAAATCGGGGCTCTAGTCCTGGCATGACTCCTAACTGACCTGGCCATGTTAGCTCCCTGAACCACATTTTTCTTCAAATAAAACATACAACTGGATGCTCTCCAGAAGCTTCTAGAGTTAGAGAATTCCACAGCTTTGATTTCTTTGCCACACTAGTTTATCTTCCATTGATATCCCTCCTCCACTAGTTACTGCCAGATCAATACCTTTAACCCATCCTCAGCTCAAATCATAACCTACCAGTGGTATTGCGACATCCTCATAAGGCAGCTTGTCTTCTCGCCAAGCATCATCAATCAAATCCAAGATCCTTCCATCTCTCTGAACCTCACTGTCCATTTTCCTGCAGCTTTGATCTTGTCAAATCTGTAAGCCAAAGAGGTTATTTCTTAAACACGAAGACTGAAGAGATGGTATAATCCACTATTAGGATTCTCCAGGCTTTTTAGTCTGGGGCCACCTTTTGGGAAAAGGTTCATTTTCTCATATGGGCCGGGTGACTACTTTGATCACAGTTCCTCTCTCCAACCCCAACTGATACATATTTTATAGTGTATACTGGACAGGCATAGCCCAGCTGACAGACCAGTGTCATAGAGTGTGACAGGAGAGCAACACGTTAAACGAGGCCCTCAAATATTAATATGTTGCATCTCAATGTAGCTCTTCTCTTCTAACTTGAACATTCACCTTTTCCTGTTTGTGATGCCTTTGATGAGTCCCTGATTCATAATGGCCAGCTAAGTTTCCTTTCTAGCCCCTGGCTCAAACCTCAGCATTCTTAGGCACAGGAGTCACACGAACATACTGTAAAGGAAACGGCTTCCTTCCCTAAAATAGTACCCAGGCTGAGATCTGAATAAAGCACTTCTAGGTGAACACCAGTGGTAGAACCTCATACTGCTAAAGTTTCTCCAGTTTCTGCTTCCCTTTGGGGTAGCTCCTTCCTCGGAGGTTCCTTCCTCTAATTCTTAACGCTACACTCCCTTCAATTTCTGGCCCAAATGGTCACGATGCTTATTTAGCTCCTTGACCATGGCTGATTCCCCATTTTTCTCTGAAACTGCTATAATCTAATCCAAAAGGCTGGCTAGCTTGTAGGATACTTCTGGATTTCCCTGTTTCCAAGGTTGGGCCCTGACTCATCATAGGCATCATCCTATGGGTGCTCCCTGCTACCAAGTGACAATCCAAAAAGCCCGGAAGCCACTGGCATCAAAGGTACTCTCAGTTTCTGAGACTATGGAGACTCACACAATAAGCAATTTTGGGGTGGTGGAGCGGGGTGGAACCCACCATCTGGAGGTGCTTTTTTCAGAGCTCAGCCTGGGTGATATTTTAAGGAAGGAAGCCATTTCCTTTACAAGCTCAACTTCAGACATCGTCTTGCCTTGAGGATTTGTGTCAGGTCTGTAGTTGGTCCCTTCGCATAGTCCAGTTTAGTGTTATCTCAGTATGTTCATGAGCTCCTGTGCCTAAGAACGCTGAGGTTTGGGCCAAGGCAGGTGGAAGTTTTTGTAAAAATGGCTCACAGGGCCGGGCGCGGTGGCTCGCGCCTGTAATCCAGCACTTTGGGAGACCGAGGTGGGCGGATCACGAGGTCAGGAGATCAACACCATCCTGGCTAACAGGGTGAAACCTCGTCTCTACTAAAAATACAAAAAATTAGCCGAGCATGGTGGCAGGCGCCTGTAGTCCCAGCTACTCGGGAGGCTGAGGCAGGAGAATGGCGTGAACCTGGGAGGCGGAGCTTGCAGTGAGCCGAGATAGCGCCACGCGCCACTGCACTCCAGCCTGGGCGACAGAGCAAGATTCCGTCTCGGAAAAAAAAAAACAAAAAAAACCAAAAAGGCTCACAGCTGTCCCCCATAGGATAACTGCAAGATATCCCTAACACCTTGGCAAAAATTATACACAGATTGGTGTGGGAAAGGGTTTACACCCCCATGACAAGGATCTCGGCAAAAGTTAAGCAAAATGCGCCCTGCTACTTCTGTCACCGGTGAGCCAGGTGAGGGCTTAATTAATCCAGTACTCAATAATTAACCGAGTACTACCCAGTGGATAACTCAAAGCAAGACGAAGTTTTGGTTATACTTTTGAAGTCCCTGTCTTACAAGTGCTCCCCACTTTCCTGCTGCTACTCCTTTGTCCTTGCTGCTCTGTCTCCTGGGATACCCTTCTCACTTTCCTCAGCTGATCCAAACCTGACTTTCGGAGGCCCACGTAGATTTTCCACCTTTGTAAAGTTTTCTCAAATCACTCGAGCTTCAGTAGGCCTTCTATCCTTGAACTCTTGCTTCTTGTCCTAACTTAATCTACTAAACAAGCTAGGTCAGCTTTGTGGTCAATTGCTCAGGTATTATTGCCTCCAACTGTTACGTGTACATTTTGTACCCATGATTCCTTAGTAGATCTTTCCACATTTGGTCTCAATCTTTTTCACCTGTCCCTTCTCCAAACACCTCCAACCCTGTCACATTTTCCAGCCTTGACAGTTAAAACCCCCTTTTCCACATCACTAATGCCACTCTTCCTTTCAAGATAAACGCAGGCGTCAGCTCTTGAAGGTCAACATCCCATTTCCGGGATTAGGCGCGAAGGTGCCTTCCCTCATAAGGGGCTGGAAGGATGGGAAGCATCAAGATAATCAATGCCCAGGGCACACTGATTATCTTGTGTATTAAAGCCACCGTCCCAAGTACTCGTCACCCAGTACGACCACTGTTTCCTGAACAAACTTTTCTTACTCACGTGACAGTCCCGATGCCTGCAATGCTCTTTGTTTCTTCCTTTTTATTCCAGTGAACCCACAGTCAGTCTAAAAATCTTAGGTCCCAGGTCGCTTCCTATAGGAGGCCGCCTCCAAACCCCAGGCTGAGTGCGGTCCCGGTACCCACCCCTCCAGGGGTCTCACAGTTCCCTAAGCACAGAGCATGGCACCAACTGGGGAGTCTGTCAAACAGCCCAGATGAATGTCTTTCCAAACACGCGGTGCCTGCGTTTCCAGGGACAGGGACACGTCTTATCAATTTCTATATATTACAGCTTTGTAAACATAATATTTATAAAATCAAAGCGGGAAAGCCTTGTTCCTTGCTAGAAATGAGCCTCGCAGGCCACCACCATCCGCACCGTACGACAGGCCGTCCCTCAGCTGCGGCTTCCTGCCTCAGGCAGGATGTACCAAACGTGGAAGCGGAGACGGGGAGGTCTGGGGGTGCCACGCAAGTCCCTTTCCTCCCGACACGAGTGCAGTAAAGAAAAACGGTTATGAGCGTAAAGTGACAGCCTCGGCCGATGGGAATAGGGGGAAGTCCGACACTGAGCAACGAACGCATTCCCGCGCCTCCAAAACCTAGGCCGGGGGCGCTGGAAACCCTTACCGGCACCCGGCCACCGCGGCAGACGCTTGCTCCTGCCACGCCCCCCCCCCCTCCCCCGCATCACGTGTCTGCACTCGCTTTCCTCGGATTCCCGGATGTGGGTGAGTTCATTTGCTCGCGTGCAGGGGAAGTCTGGAGAAGGCATTGTTTCAATTATTAAAAGTGTGGGGGCAGTGGGCGGAACAAACGCGCCGACTACAGAGGCTGGACGTAAGCTTAGCGGTGGCGCGCGTGCGCAGCGCCGGCCCGAGGTAACGGCGGGAAGGCTCAGGGGCGTGCTTGCGGCAACCCTGTAACCGCCGGTGCGCAAGTTGGAGGGGCAAGGGGCTGCCGTGTCCTGGTCTGGAGGCGGCCCAGGCTGCCTTGGTGATTCTGGCTTCGCGGCCTCATGGCTTGCGGCCGGTTTGCGCAACGGCCTGCGAACCACCAGGCGCGTCCCCGCCGGCTTGGGTCCGCCCCGAAGCCCAGTCCCTCGGCCTGGCCCGCTATGCCCTGCACACTGGCGGAGTCTGGCGTGGCGCAGCCCGGCGTGGGGTTCGGCCCCGCCAGGTGGTCAGCCCTTCCTCGGAGTCCAGGTGGCTGGGGGCGCTTCGGAGAGTGGCCAGGTGGGCGAGCGAGCTGCGCCCAGTACTCACCTTCCCCGGCGGACCCACCTTCCTTTTCAGCGGAGAGACCCCAGTGCGGCCTCCCTGCCAGGGCTGCTGTCTAGCTAGCGCTGTTGGGACTACTTCATTCACGGCACAAGGGGACCCGCTCATTTAGTGTGGCATGTTAAGGTTGGCAGCTTTTAAAATAGTGAGTTGGTTTAAACGGTTATGTTAGTACAAGAGGTACGGAAATGTGGCATAAATCGTGGACTGAAATTGGAGAACCCTGAACTAACGGCTCCATGCACACAAATGAGGGATAGAAAGAAATAAGGACGGTTTCTTAGGAACACTTTAATCATGGAGATACTTGAAGACAGTACATTTAGGCTTATAATGTGGTTTTTCTTACGTCCCTTACGACATCAGGAGAGTAAAGATGAGTATGATGTCAGAGACAGGTCGTCTTTTACAGTTTCAGCACCGTACGCTGATATGCACAGAGTAGTTTTCCCTGAGCCTTATGTCTGGTTAAACTTATTAAAAGAATTTATTATTTTAATAAAGCAGTATTGTAGGGTAGATGCCCTGTATTTATACAGTTCCTCAAGTGCTTGCATTTATTTTTTAGATACGAGGAAATCATAAGGATCGTTGATTAGATTTCTGTTAGCTGTAGCTTAATGATAAAGTGTATATATTTTCTTATTTGGCATGCAGTACCATTTTTAGATTGATTTTTATTTTGAGTTTGCTTTTTGACTGTGGCATTATCAGTGATCAGGGTAGTAAAAAGCTCTGAAACTAAATTAGAGTAGAGATTTATAAACAGGCACACTGCCTTTTAAAATGTATGTAGATGCAAATCTAAAAGTTGTTTGTAAAAATTGTGTATGTTGATTGTACTGATGCCATTTCCTCTCGTTAAAATGGTGGAAGACCTTTGCTTAGTCCTTTCTGTTCTAATTTATGTTGTGCTGGCAGATGGTGACAGCATCAGTAGTCCACTCTGTCATTGCTTCCTGCTTTCAAAAAATGTCAACTTGACTTGAAATTCAGCTAAAGCCAACATTGACAGAAGGTTTCAGGAACTGAATCTCCGATCTTTATGTTATTTTAGTCCGCCTCCCCGCCCCCATCAGGAGCTAGGTTTTTCAGTTTTACAGAGCCACAGTACTGTCATTACACATACACAAATTAATAAAAATTCTCTAATGTCAATATCCAGTCAGATAACGATTTCTTCAACTGTCTCTTAAATGTCTTTTTACAATTAGCTTGTTTGAACCAAAATCCCACAGGGATCTGCCTATTGTGTTTGGGTGATGCACATTTGACATCTTTTAATCTATATTTGTTCCCTCATAGTTATAGCTATGGGATTAGCCCCTATTTTTCCTTACAGTTCTAAATTTAGCAGATTGCATCGCACAGTATCCTTTAACATGTATCTCTGTTGCCTTTGTGTCCTCTAAACCAGGGGCCCCCAAACCCGGGGCCGCAGAGCAGTACCAGTCCGTGGCCTGTTAGGAACCAGGCTACAGAGCAGGAGGTGAGTGACAGGCTAGTGAGCATTACCTACCACCTGAGCTCTGCCTCCTGTCAGATCAGCCGTGAGGTTAGATTCTCCTAGGGGCACGAACCCTATTGTAAACTGCGCATGCAAGGAATCTAGGTTGCACACTTATAAGAATCTGACTAATGCCTGATGATCTGAGGTGGAATAGTTTCATCCTGAAACCATGCCCCTAACCCTGTCCATGTGTATTATTCATATTACTGAAGAAGTGGTTGGCCGGGCGCGGTGACTCACGCCTGTAATCCCAGCACTTTGGGAGGCCGAGGTGGGCATGAGGTCAGGAGTTTGAGACCAGTGTGGCCAACATAGTGAAACCCCGTCTCTACTGAAAATGCAATAAAATTAGCCGAGTGTGGTGGTGTGCGCCTGTAATCCCAGCTACTCGGGAGGCTGAGGCAGGAGAATCACGTGAATCCGGGAGGCGGAGGTTGCAGTGAGCCGAGATCACACCATTGCTCTCCAGACCAGGCAAGAGTGCAAGACTCGGTCTCAAAAAACAAAAAAAAGTGGTTTGGCCATTCCTCCCCCAAAACATTTCATATGAATTTTAACAAAAAGATATTTACAAAATGTGTTATTTCCGCCCTGTCGGTGTTGAGAAATTGTCTTCCATGAAACAGGTCCCTGGTGCCAAAAAGGTTGGGGACCACTGCTCTAAACCAGTAGTTAGATGTAGAATTGCACTGTCCGGTATTGTAGCCACCAGCCAGCAGTGGCTAGTTAATTAAAGTGAAATAAAATTAAAAATTCAGTTCCTAGGCTGGGCGCGGTGGCTCACGCCTGTAATCCCAGCACTTTGGGAGGCTGAGGTGGGTGGATCACGAGGTCAGGAGTTCGAGACCAGCCTGACCAACATGGTGAAACCCCGTCTCTACTAAAAATGAAAAATTAGCCGGGCGTGGTGGCATGCGCCTGTAATCTCAGCTACTAAGGAAGCTGAGGCAGGAGAAGGAGAATCGCTTGAACCCGGGAGGTGGAGGTTGCAGTGAGCCGAGATCACGCCACTGCACTCCAGCCTGGGTGACGGAGCGAGACTGTCTCAAAAAAAAAAAAAAAAAAAAAATTCAGTTCCTAACTTGCATTAGCCACATTTCAAGTGCTCGGTAGCTACAGATTGCCTGGTGGCTGCTTTTTGAACAGTGCAGTTATAAAATATTTTCATAATTGCAGAAAGTTGTATTGAACAGCACTGCTCTAGAAGCCTGATGAGATTTCACCCTTATATTTGTTTTTGTTTTGTTTTTTGGTGGGATAGTTGGGGGGGTTGGACAGATAATTTCATAGGTAATGCAGTATACTTCCTATTTCATTAATTATCAGGGAAGCAGTGTCTGAGTTGTTTTCTTTTTTTATGATGTTAACATTAAACATTATATTGGGTTTAGGTGTAGTTAGCTCCATCCACCCATAGTGAAATTCCCCAAGACTCTTTCACTTAGTGGTGAAGTCCTTTTGTGGGGTTATATTGCCTGTATCCGTTATTGCATTAGAGGTTGCAACGTGGTGATTATCTAATTCTATTATTTCTTCAATATTTATCAACTGAGAGTCTTTTATGAAGAACTTTCCCTTTCCAGCTGTTTGACTACCCTGAAATACAATTTGTACAGGAAAGGCAAGAAAAATGCTTAATTCTTTGCCTCTATTTTCAGACCACAGTAATGAGTTGGTGGCCTAGCAGCCTCCAAAGGTAACCATGAGGGTTTTTGCCTTTTTGTAAACCTATAATCATGAACTTATAGACTTTATATTTAAACTGTTTCAACATATGGCAGTTGTGTTTTTAATACTCAAATTGTTTCATCTTTGGCCAGTGGGAGCTCCTTAAAGTTGGCTCCTATTCCATTTGATATGACCAATAGCTTTGGTAATTTCCTTGCTTTCTGGTAAATAATTTTCCTGGCTCATTTATAGATTTCTGGTCTTCAAGGAGCCGTGGTTCTTTTGAGTCTGAGATAGTATTTGGAGACCACAGTCTTACCTAGGTGGGAGAGGTGTTCTTGCTACTAGGTTAGTCGTTAGTTCTAGGATTTATGGTGGCCAGAGTTAGGAAATATTATATATTAAAAAAAACACAAATATGCAAAATTCGCATTGTTTCCAACATTTAACATTTAAATTTCCAAAATTTAAACTTAATTTTACAGTTTTTTCACACGTTGGATTTATGTTTGTATCTTTTTTGCTGAGTCTTGGTGCCTAGTGCCATTAATAGAATTAGTTTTTTTTCCTCATCCTATGTTATATATAATGGTTTCAAGTTAACAGGCTATTTTATTATCAATATGATTCCTGAATAGTGCTTAGGATTTCTTTGCAACTGTCTTTTATCCTTATTTTATATGTCTCTAGGAAAGTGTATAGTAAAATTATTGTATTTAAAGGCATATGAAGTAATTTATTGTATAGTTAGCCTATCAAGTTGATATCTAGTTGGTAGTTGATTTATTTTATTTTGTTTCCAATTTTTCAGTACTGCTTTTTTCCCCATTTTGATTTGTTTTATTATATGCAAAACCTTAGCATAATTCCCATAAAACAAGTACCCATAAAACAATTTAGCTTTCATCTCTGTTTCTTCCACTCTGCTTATTTTCCTTCCTTACTGATACTGTTTTTACTAGTTTTGAGTCTATCCTTCCATTAAAAAAACACATACCTAAAAGCAAATCTACATGGACAAACATACCTTTCTTTCTTAGGTAAAATGTGCTATTATGTATACTGTTTTCCATCTTGGGTTTTTCACCTAGTGATATATGTCCTGTAGATCCCCTCCTTAGGAGTATGTAGAGATTGTTATTCCTTTTTACAGTTTCGTAGTACTCCATTGGTGGATGAATATTTAATTCGTCCCCTCTTGATAGACACTTGTGTTATTTTCTGCTATTACAAATAGTCATGCAGTGAATATCCCTGTGGATATGTTGTTTTGCATTTTTGCCAATGAGCCTGTGGGATAGATTCTTAAAAGTAGCGTTGTTGGATAAAAGGGTAAATGCATATATCAGTTGTTAGGTATTACCAAAGTCTCCTCTATAGCAGTTGTGTTCATTTTGCATTCCTACCTATTATGTATATGAGTGCCTGTTGTCCCACAGCCTTGTCATCAGAGTGTATTATCAAACATTTAATTTTTGGTTAATCTGGTACAGAAGAAAGGGTAACTTACTGTAGTTTTAATTTGTATTTCTCTTATGAGCAAGGTTGAACATCTTTTCATATTTTTACTGTCATTTGTATTTTTCTGTGCATTGCTTGTTTATACCTCTCGCCCATGTTTCTATAGATTTTTTGCCTAATCTTTTATAAGCTCCTTATATATTTGGGTAATTAACCGTTTGTGGTAAAACTTTCAGGTACTGTTGTCATTTGTCAGTTAACTTTGCTTATGGCACTTTTTCATATAAAAGTTTGTTTTTATGTACTCCTATTTCTCAGACTTTCTCATTGTTCTTCCTGGATTTTGAACTATAGTTTGGACAATTTTTTAAAAACTTTAATATTTTGAAAAGTTTCTCTAATACCTTATTTACTGGTATCAGTTTAATTAGGAGCCTTTCTGGAAAATGCTTAGTAATACTGATTGTTCATCGGAACAGCCATAGTTTACTGGCCATGGTATATCTGACACAATCATAGAGCTTTGTAATGAAAACGACACCAAGGCAGGTACAGGGACAGAGAGCATTGTTATCCTCCTTTAGACTTGAAGGTTAGGCATATCCCTTCTCTTAGTATGTACACATTTATTCATAATTCTGTCTGGAGTTTTTATTTTCTTCCTGTGTCCCATTTTGTGAATAATTTGGTCTTGGGCATATACTATGATATTTTTCCTGATCTGTAAAATGATAAAGTTAAATTAGAGGCCTGAAGTGCTTTCTAGCTCATAAAGTCTATGTTAATGAATTTCAAAGATTTGCCTATTATAAGACATTCTATTTGTATTCTTTTTTTTTTTTTTTTTTTTTGAGACGGAGTTTTGCTCTGTCGCCCAGGCTGGAGTGCAGTGGCGCGATCTTGACTCACTGCAAGCTCCGCCTCCCGGGTTCACGCCATTCTCCTGCCTCAGCCTCCCGTGTAGCTGGGACTACAGGCGCGCGCCACCATGCCCGGCTAATTTTTGTATTTTTAGTAGAGACGGGGTTTCACCGTGTTAGCCAGGATGGTCTAATTTTATGTAATTATATGGCACATGCAAAGAAGAAATCAAAGTGACATAGTGCATAGAGTTGAATGATGGTCAGGTTGGTTAGGAAAAGAATCAGTGATATAACTATGAGCAACTCAGATGACAAACATCCACAGAAAATCAGCCCTTACTATTTGCCTGATCCTGAGAATTGATGGTGTTTGGCACCAGGCAGATGGTGAAGGTATTACAGAAACACTTTGCACATTAGTAAGTTTACTTTATTTCTCACATAGGATATTACTGGTCCACTTCCCTCCTTTTTTTTTTTTTTTTTAAACAGGAATCTCTATCTTAGACCATTTTGATTTCTAAAATAGCAATATTTCTTATGTGACTATTTCATTATTGTGCTGCTGCCACCTGGTGGCCACAGTAGTGATGTCATACTTCAGTTTAATTTCTTTTTTTATTGCAAAGACACTATTAAGCCAAAAGATAGGCTGATATATTTTAAGATATAGAATACTGTAAAATATATAAAGGTTGCACATCGATTGTGACTCAATTGATTGCCACAATGTCTAGGTTGAATCCAGGACTATAATTTTTAGTTTATCATAGTCAAGTTATTTAACTCTCTAAGCCTGTTTTCTCAAAGTAATAGTATCTGTCTTTTATGAGTATAGTGAAGATTGATTTAGACAATGTGTACAAGGCAGCTGTTGAACATTCAGTAACTTAACTTCTAAGTATATTATTAAATAGTCATAGAAAATATATTAATGTATATTACTAAATATATTAATGTTTAAGAATAACATGACCTAAATAAGTATAATTTTACTAATGATAATTTTGAATAACTGTGATAGCACTGTCAATAAGAATAGCACTTTCCTACATGTTAGTTAAGTATCCGTGTATGGTTGTCAGGAGCATGCTACTTACAGTGGACATTTAATTGGCTGTTAGAACCCATGAAAAAGCTGGAAGAAACCTTAGAGAATATTGTTCATGCCCCTCATTTTGCAGATGTTAAAACAAGTCCGAGAATATAAAGCTAGTTAGTTGCAGAGTAGGACTGTATCCTGGGTCTCCATCTAGTGTGGTGTGGACCGTGTACTGCCTCCCAGTTCTCCTAGAGTGGACCAAAACATGGAATCTTGGTTGCATTGTAGTTGGACTGTATTGTGATTTGAAAGTGGAGTAAAACATGGGAACCTTTTTCTTTAGGTTTTTATTTTTGCAATTTTGGTGTAATATGTAGGATAAACCAACTAGAAAAAAAATCCTCCCTGTCACGTTTGTGCACAAATAATTTAATACTCAGTTTGTTAGTATCTTTAAAAATAGATGCAAATAAGGTGCAGTGGTTCTATTTTCCAGTCTTCTCATTCTCCTCTGTGTCTCTGGAACACCCTGGGCATGTCTCTCACTATATTTATCACACTGGGAAAGCCTTTTTGGCTCATTTTTTTCTGTCCCATACTAGACTATTAATACCTTGAAAGGGGCCATATCTTTCATCACTATATATCTAGTTGTTAGTACAACATTGAATTACGTGTTGAGTAAAATAATCTACTTCTTACAGCAGTATAATTTTTAGATGAGGATTAGCCCAGGGGCAGAACCTCTACACCACAGTCTGGTTATTGTCTTAAGGGTTTAAGGAAAAAGCATTTTGGAATGAAAAGTGGTTTGACATTGAACATTTTGAAGATTTATTATAAAAGGCGAGAAGCATACACATATTAATCAACACTACTGAGTTTAAGGGTCCTCTTTCCTTTCTCACTGTCACCTTTCTTCATGGTGTATCTTACCCTTTATTTTATATTTATTTATTTATTTATTTATTTATTTATTTATTTATTTGAGATGGAATCTCTGTCTGCCACCCAGGCTGTAGTGCAATGGTGTGATCTCGGATCACTGCAACCTCCGCCTCCCGACTTCAAGCGATTTTCCTACCTCAGCCTCCCCATGGCTGGAACTACAGGTGCATGCCACCATGCCCAGCTAATTTTTTTTTTTTTTGGTAGAGGCGGAGTTTTACCATGTTGGCCAGGCTGGTCTCAAACTCCTGACCTCAGGTGATCCGCCTCCCTCGGCCTCCCAAGTTCTAGGATTACAGGCGTGAGCCACCGCACCCAACTGTATCTTGCTGTTTATATGGCAGTCTTCTATCTCCCGTTCCCTCTTTCTCTGCTAGACCCTTCATGTAGTTCCCCAGCTGTGACCAGTTTGCATGGGGGAGAGGGTAGGTAAAAGAGGGAGGGGAGTTAAGTTCAGCCAAAATAATCTGCCACGTGCCATGTTGAAATGCTGCGTTGAGCTCTGCAGCTGCAGAGATGAATAAAATTGGGTTTCTGCCCTGGAGGGATGAATAGTCTAGTAAGGAAAAATAGTATGTAAAAAACTCACTTCCAGTGTGGTGCAACTCCTATGAAAGAACGTATTAAGCACTGGGAGCAAATGAAGTGCAGAGGTGGGAGGGCCCTGTGGCTGCCTTTCGGTGGAGAGAGGATGTTGCATGCAGGAAGCTCTATGAGCCTGTCTTCAGGAGTGAGTAGGCTTTCCCATGATAGACCAAAGAGTTTAATCTCAGTACACTTCGCATTTTTTATACTATCTCTTTAATTTTTAAAAAGCTATACTTTCCCTCTGACATGTGTGAACCCATTTCTTTCTCATTTTGTTAAGGGAGTTTGTGTATCCGTCTGCTAGAGAGATCCCACCTCCACCCCTGCTCACCCGACATTAGGAATTAGGCAAAGAACAATGAGATATTTGATATTTACACGGAGAGAGTGTCAACCGCAATTCAGATATTTTTAAGTTATTCTGTTTTAGTCCGAAATAGTTTGTTCCTAGTATTCCTGAAGTGATGTTCTTTGACTGCTTCTACAGTCATCTTAAGAAGTGCTGCATTTTTTCATTATTATGTATGCTTTCATTCACATTCTTAAGTTGTAAGTTAGAATGTTAGAACTGAAGAAATGAATTGTCTCATGACTGATATTTTTTTCTTTGTCAGTTGCCAAAACAAAGGGGATTTGGTGATGGAGGCTTTGTTAGAAGGAATACAAAATCGAGGGCATGGTGGGTAAGTTTGCTTTTTTTAAAATTAATTTTTTTGGTTAATACATGATTACATATTTATAGGGTTCACATGATACTTTGATACATACATATAATGTGTAATGATCAAATAAGGGTATTTAGTATACCTATCAGCTCAAGCATTTATCATTTTTTGTGTTGGGAACATTTCAATTCTTCTAGCTACTTTGAAATATATAGTAAATTTTTAAAGTTTAAGGAACCTTACTGTGCTAGTCACCCGACTGTGCTAATTACTTAACTAGTTACATACTAGTTACTTAGTAGTCACCTTACTGTGCTATTTAACACTAGAGCTTACTCTTCTACCTAACTGTATGGTTTGTACCCATTAACCAAACATTCTTCACCCCCAACCCCTTCCCAGCCTCTGGTAACCATCGTTCTACTCTCTACCTCCATGAGGTGAACTTTTTTAGACCCCACATATGAATGAGAACATGAGATATTTGTCTTTCTGTGCCTATTATTTCACTTAACGACCACCAGTTTTATCCATGTTGCTGCAAATAACAGGGCTTCATTCTTTTTTATGGCTGAATAGTATTCCATGATGGATATATTTCTGACATTTTCTTTATCCATTAATCTGCTGTTGGACACTCAAGTCAATTCCATATCTTGGTTATTGTGAATAATGCTGCAATAAACATGGGGGTACAAGTATCCCTTTCACATACTGATTTCCTTTCCTTTGGATAGATTACCCAATAGTGTGCTTTCTGAATCATATGTGTTGTGAGTGGTGCAAAGTCAGACATAACCAGGTCCATACATGTTTGTGTCTTTTCTACAAGAGCAAACTTTTATTGATGCTATTTCAGTCATAAAAGCCACAAGCTACATGGAGTTCCCAAGGAGGCATTTCCCCCTAGTACTACCAGTTCACTCAATAGTCAGAGCCATGGGCATACAGGCTCAAGCCTCTCCACAAGTCAGTCAGTATTGCAAACCATACATAATAGTGTATTAATATATGTAAATGTTGCAGTGTAAACATTCCACATCAAACAAAGTAACATTTAACAGGAGAAAAGGATAGAAAAAAAAGGGGGGGGGGGCTAAAGAACTAGTCCAAAGAGAACAACTGGACAAAGAGAATATTCTGGCCTGATCTGGACGGTTGTCAACATTCTTGCAAGGAGGAGCCTTTGGTGACAGATGCCAGGTGCTGATCACAAGTGACAGCCAGACAGGCTGTTATCAAGACAGCTGTTTTGAGCTGGTAAAGTCTTGCTCTTTTTGTGGCCACAGAATCTTCTGGTGATAACTGATAGTGAAATATTGTGCCTGTTTATGTCATTATCTGATTGAGTGCAGTCTTTATTGATAAGGTGAACATCGGGTCCCTGTGGGCATGATGTCTTTTGAAATGTGAGATGCAATCTCTTTCTAAAATGGAGTTACTTATGTTAAGGGTGCTATATACAATATGGTAGTTCTATTTTTAGTTTTTTAGAAAACTCCATTTAGTTTTCCATAATGGCTGTACTAATTTTACATTCTCACCAACAGCATATGAGAGTTCCCTTTTGTCCACATCCCCCCCAGCATTTGTTATATTTTGTCTTTTTGATAATCATTCTAACTGGGGTGAGATGAATCATTGTGGTTTTCACTTGCATTTTCCTGGTGATTTAGTGGTGTCGACCATTTTTTCATACACCTTTTGGCCATTTGTATGTCTTCTTTAGAGAAATGTCTATTCAAATCCTTTGCCCACATTTTAATAGGGTTTTTTGTTTTTTTGCTGTTGAGTTGTTTTTCTTGTATATTCTGGATGTTTAGTCCCTTGTTGAATGAATAGTTTGCAAATATTTTCTCCCATTCTACAAGTTGTCTTTGACTCTATTGTTTCCTTTGCCGTGCAAAAACTTTTTAGTTTAACTAGGTCCCAATTGTCGGTTTTTGTTTTGGTTGCCTGTGCTTTTGAAGTCTTAACCATAAAATCTTTGCCTTGACCAGTGTACTGAAGCATTTCCTCTATATTTTCTTTTTGTTTTTTTAGAGACGGGTGTCTCATTCTGTTGTGCAGGCTGGAGTACAGCAGCACAGTCGTAGCTCACTGTAGCCTCAAACTCCTGGGTTCAAGTGATCCGCCTGCTTCAGTGTCCCAAGTATCTGGGACCATAGGCATGTCATCTGGCTAATTTAAGAAGGTTTTTTTTTTAAGAGATGAGATCTCATTGTGTTGCTCAAGCAGTTCTTGAACTCCTGGCCTCAAGTGATCCTCCTGCCTCAGCCTCCTGAGTAGTTGGGATCACAGGCATCAGCCACTGTACCCAATCCCTATGTTTTCTTCTAGTAGTTTTATAGTTTTGGGTCTTACATTTAAGTCTTTAGTCCATTTTGAGTTGATTTTTTTTTTAATATGGTGAGAGATAGGGGTCTAGTTTCATTTTTCTGCATGTGAATATCAATTTTTTCCAGCACCATTTATTGAATAGGGCGTCCTTTTCCCATTGTATGTTATTGGCACCTTTGTTGAAAATCAGTGGGCTGTAAATACAATTTCTGGGTTGTCTATTCTGTTCCGTTGGTGTATGTTTCTGCTTTTATACTAATACCATGCTATTTTGGTTATTATAGCTTGGTAGTATATTTTGAAGTCAGGTAGTGTGATACCTCCAGTTTTGTTCCTTTTGATCAAGATTCCTTTGGCTATTCAGGGCCTTTTATGGTTCGGTGTGAATTTTAGTATTATTTTTTCTATTTCTGTGAAGCATGTCATAGGTATTTTGATAGAGATTGCATTGAATCTGTGGATAGATTTGGATATAATCATTTGAATATATTAATTCTTCTGACCCATGGGCATGAATGTCTTTTCATTTGTATCTTCAATTTCCTTCATTAGTGTTTCATAGTTTTCTTTGTAGAGGTCTTTTATGTCCTTGGTTAAATTTAATCCTAGGTATTTTTTTTTTCTGGTAGCTATTGTAAATGGGATTGCTTTTTTGATTTCTCTTTCAGCTAGTTCATTATTGGTGTATAGAAACATTACTGATTTTTGTATGTTGATTTTGTATTCTGCAACTTTACTGAATTTCTTTATCAGTTCTAAGACTTTTTTGGTGGAGTCTTTAGGTTTTTCTGTATGTCAGATTATGTTGTACACAAAGAGCAACAATTTGACTTCCTCCTTTCCAATTTGGATGCCTCTATTTCTTTTTCTTGCCTGATTGCTCTGACTAGGACTTTCAGTTATGTGTTGAATGGGAGTGGTGGAAGTGGGCATCCTTGTTGTGTTCAGGTTCTTAGAGGAAGGGCTTTCAGCTTTTCCCCATCCAGTATAATGATACCTGGGGAGCTGTCTTATATGGCCTTTATTATGTTGAGGTATGTTCCTTCTATGCTTGAGAGTTTTTATCATGGAGAGATGTTGAATTTTATCAAGTGCTTTTTCTGTATCTGTTGAGATGATCATATGGTTTTTGTCTTTCATTCTGTTGATGTGATGTATCACTTTTATTGATTTGTATATGTTGCATACCTGGGATAAATCCCACTTGATCATGCTGTATTATCTTTCTGTTCTGTTGTTGGATTTGGTTGGCTAGTATTTTGTTGAAGATTTTTGCATCTGTGTTCATCAGGGATATTGGCATGTAGTTGTCTTCTTTTGTTGTGTCCTTGTCTGCTTTTGTCATCAGAGTAAAGGTGGCCTTGTAGAATGAGTTAGGAAAATTTTTCTCGCCTTCAATTTTTTTGGAATACTTTGAGAAGAATTGATGTTCTTCTTTATGAAGTTGGTAGAATTCAGCAGTAATGCCATCAGGTCCTGGGCTTTTCTCTCTTGGGAGACTTTTTATTCCTGGTTCAGTCATGTTACTCATTATTGGTCTTTTCAGGTTTTCTAATTCTTCCGAGTTCAATCTTGGTAGGAATTTATTTCCTCTAGGTGTTCCTATTTGTTAGCATATAGTTGTTTGTAATAATCTCTAATGACCCTTTGTATTTCTGTGGTTATCAGTTGTAATATTGCCTTTTCTGTTTCTGATTTTATTTATTTGGGTCTTCTCTTTTTTCTTGGTTAGTCTAGCTAATGGTTTATCGATTTTGTCTTTTTAAAAAACCAACTTTTTGTTTCATTGATTCTTTGTATTGTTTTTTAGTCTCTATTTTGTTTATTTCTGATCTGATCTTTGTTATTTTTTTCCTTCTGCTAATTGGGTTTTGTTTGTTCTTGCTTTGCTACTCGAAGTGCATCGTTAGGTTGTTTATTTGAAGTCTTTGTACTGTTTTTATTTTTTAGATTCAGGGGTACATGTGCTGGTTTGTTAAATGGGTGTATTGTGTGATGCTGAAGCTTGGGCTTGTATGTATCCTATCATCCAAAGAATGAACATAGTACACAATAGATAGTTTTTCAGCCTTTGCCCACCCTCTGCCCTTGCCTTCTTTTGGAGTCTCCAGTGTCTGTTGTTCCCATCTTCATCTTTTTTTTTTTTTTTTTTTTTGAGATGGAGTCTCGCTCTGTTGCCCAGGCTGGAGTGCAGTAGCATGATCTTGGCTCACTGCAACCTCTGTCTTCTGGGTTCAAGTGAGTCTCCTGTCTCAGCCTTGCAAGTAGCTGGGATTACAGGCACACACCACCATGCCCAGCTAATTTTTTTGTATTTTTGGTAGAGATGGGATTTCGCCATGTTGGCCAGGCTGGTCTCGAACTCCTGATCTCAAGTGATCCCCCCGCCTCAGCCTCCCAAAGTGCTGGGATTACAGGTGTGAGCCACCATGCCTGGCTTATTATTCCCATCTTGATGTCTGTGTGTACTCAATGTTTAGCTTCCACTTGCAAATGAAAACATGCAGTATTTGGTTCTCTGCTTCTGTGTTAATTTGCTTAGGATAATAGCCTGCAGCTGCATCCACATTGCTGCAAAGAACATTTTGTTTTTCTTTTATGGCTGTGTAGTATTCCATGGTGTATATGTACTACATTTTCTTTATCCAGTCCACCATCAATGGGTACATAGGTTGGTTTCATGTCTGCTATTGTGATTGGTGTTGCGATGAACATGTGAGCGCATGTGTCTTTTTGGTAGAATTATTTATTTTCCTTCGAGTATATACCTGGTAATGGAATTGCTGAATCGATTGGTAGTCTCATTCTATTTTTAGTTATTTGAGAAATCTCCAAACTGCTTTCCACAGGGGTTGAACTAATTTACATTCCCACCAACGGTGTTGCCTTTTCTCCACCGCCTCACCAACATCTGTTATTTTTTGACTTTTTAATAATAGCCATTCTGACTGGTATGAGGTGGTATCTCATTTTGGTTTTGATTTGCATTTCTCTGATGATTAGTGATGTTGAACATTTTTCAAGTTCCTTGTAGTTTATGGATATTAGCCCTTTGTTGGATGCATGGTTTGCAAATACGTTCTCTCATTCTGTAAGTTGTCAGTTCGCTCTGTCGGTAGTTTTTTTTTCTGTGCAGAAGCTCTTTAGTTAGGTCCCAATTGTCAATTTTTGTTTTTATTGCATTTGCTTTTGAGGACATATCTTTTTGAGTCATAAATTCTCTGCCTAGGCCAGTGTCCAGAAGAGTATTTCCTAGATTTTTCTCCTAGGATTCTTATAGTTTGAGATCTTACATTTAAATCTAATCCATCTTGAATTAATTTTTGCATATGGTGAGGAAGTGTAGGGGTTGAGTTTCATTCTTCATACAAGTAGCCAGTTTTCCCAGCACCATTTATTGAACAGAGTATCCTTTCTCCATTGTTTGTTTTTGTCAGCTTTGTTGAAGATCAGTTCATTGTAAGCGTGTAGCTTTATTTCTGGTTCTCTGTTTTGTTCCATTGGTCTATGTGTCCATTTTTGTACCAGTATCATGCTGTTTTGGTTACTATAGCATTGTAGTGTAAAGCAAGGCAATATGATGCCTCTAGCTTTGTTCTTCTTGCATAGGGTTGCTTTGGCTATTTGGGCTCTTTTTTGGTTCCATATGAATTTTAAAATAGTTTTTTTCTAATTCTGTGAAGAATGACAGTAATTTGATAGGAATTGTATTGAATCTATAGGTTGCTTTGGGCAGGACGGCCGTTTTAACTGTATAAATTCTTCTAATCCATGAGCATGGAATGTTTTTCTATTTGTTTATGTCATCTGTGATTTCTTTCAGCAGTGTTTTGTAATTCTTTTTGTAGAGGTTTTTCACCTCTGTAGTTAGATGTATTCTTAGATTTTTTTTTATGTGTGGCTATTGTAAATGGGATTGTGTTCTTGATTCAGTACTCAGCTTGGACGTTATTGCTGTATAGAAATGCTGCTGATTTTTGTACATTGATTTTGTATTCTGAAACTTTACTGAAGCTTGTTTATCAGGTCTAGGAACATTTTGGTAAATCTTTAGGGTTTTCTAGGTAAAGAATCATATCATCAGCAAAGATAGATAATTTGACTTTTTCTTTTCCTATTTGAATACCTTTTATTTCTTTCTCTTGCCTGGTTGCTCTGGCTAGGACATCAAGTACTAGGTTGAGTAGGAGTGGCAAGAGAGGACATCCTTGTCATGTCCCAGGTGTCAAGGGGAATGCTTTTAACTTTTGCCTATTCAGTATGATATTGGCTGTGGGTTTGTCATAGATGGCTCTTACTATTTTGAGGTCGGTTCCTTCGATGCCTAGTTTGTTGAGGGCTTTTAACGTGAAGGGATATTAAGTTTTATTGAATGCTTTTTCTGCGTCTATTGAGGTGATCATATGGTTTTTGTTTTTAATTCTGTTTATGTGATGAATCACATTTATTGATTTTTGCCTATGTTGAACCATCCTTGCATCCCAGGAATAAAGCCCACTTGATTGTGATGGATTATCTTTTTGATGTGCTGCTGGATTCAGTTTGTATTTTGTTGAGGATTTTTGCATCTATGTTCATTAGGGATATTGGTCTGTAGTTTTTTTTTGTTTCATCTTTGCCAGATTTTGGTATCAGGGTGATGTTGGTTTCATAGAATGAGTTAGAGATGGATCCCTGCTCCTCAATGTTTTGGAATAGTTTCAGTAGTGGTACTACCTCTTATTTATATGTCTGGTAGAATTTGGCTGTGAATCCATCTGGTCTGGGGCTTCTTTAGTTGGTAGGCTTTTTATTACTGATTTAATTTTATAACTCGTTATTAATCTATCGAGGATTTCTCTTTCTCCCTGTTTCAATTCTGGGAGGTTGTGTGTTTCCAGGAATTTTTCCATTTCCTCTAGATTTTCTAGCCTGTGTGCATACAGATGTTCATAGTAGTCTGTGAGGATCTTTTGTACTTCTATGGGATTGGTTGTAATGTCACCTTTGTCATTTCTGATTGTACTTATTTGGATCTTCCTTTTTTTTGGTGATTTAGCTAGCAGTCTATCAATCTTGTTATCAACTGTTTATTTCATTTGTTTTGGTCTCAATTTTGTTTATTTCTGCTCTGATTTTAGTTACTTCTTTTTTTCTGCTGGCTTTGGGTTTAGTTCTTATTTTTCTAGTTCCTTTAGGTGTGACATTACATTGTTTTAGGTTGTTAACTTGAGATCTTAATGTAGGTGTTTAGAGCTGTAAACTTTCCTCTTAACATGGCAAAGAATTTTTTCATATCTGCCTTTGTTTACCCAAAAGCCATTCAAGAGCAAGTTGTTTAGTTTCCATGTATTTTTGTGGTTTTGAGAATTCCTCCTGGTATTCTTATTTTTATTGCACTGTGGTCTGAGAAGATACTTGGTGTGATTTCAATCTTTTTTTTTTTTTTTTTTTTGTCTTTGTGCTGTTTTGATGTAGGCATCTATTGCTATAAACACTCCTCTTAGCACTGCCTTTGCTGTATCCCATAGGTTTTGGTATGTTGTATTTTCATTTTCATTTGTTTCAAGACATTTTTGCATTTCTTTTTTAATTTCTTCACTGACCCAGTGGTCATTCAGGAGCATGCTGCTTAATTTCCATGTATTTGTGCAGTTTCCAAAGTTTCTCTTAATCTTGATTTTTAGCTTTTGTCCATTGTGGTCTAAGATACTTGATATGATTTTGATTTTAAAAAATTTGTTGAAACTTGTTTTGTGGCCTAACATATGGTCTATCCTGGAGAATGTTCTGTGTGCTAAAGAATGTGTATTCTGCAGCTGTTACATGAAATGTTCTATAAATGTCTTTAGGTCTCTTTGGTCTGTAGTGTAGAACAAACTGGATGTTTCTTTGTTGATTTTCTGTCTAAATCACTTGTCCAGTGCTCAAAGTGGGGTACCGAAGTCCCCAATTATTATTGTATTGGAGTCTGTCTCTCTTTAGCTCTAATAATATTTGCTTCATATGTCTGTGTGCTCTGGTGTTGGATGTATGTATATTTACAGCTGTAATATCTTGTTGCTGAATTGATCCCTTTTCATTATATAATGACCTTCTTTGTCAGTTTTTATGTTTATATGACTTAAAGTCTATTTTGTGTGATATAGGAATAACTACTCCTGCATGTTTTTGGTTTCCCATCTCTTCATTTTCAGTTTATGCGTGTCTTTACAGATGAAGTGAGCTTCTTTTAGGTAGCACATAGTTAGGTCTTGCTTTTTATAGAGATATTCAGCCATTCTATATCTTTTAATTGGGGAATTTAAACCATTTACATTCAGGGTTGTTATAGATAGGTGAGGACTTAACTCTTGTCGTTTTGTTAATTGCTTTCTGGTGGTCTTGTATATCCTTTGTTCCTTTCTTCTTCCTTTATTGTTTACCTGTGTAATTTGGTCTCTCTCTCTTTTTTTTTTTTAGTGATAATGTTTGATGCCTTTCTCTTTCTCATTTGTGTTTCTCCTCCACGAGTGAGTCTTATACTTTTTGTGTGTTTTCACGATAGTAGATATCATCCTTTTGCCTCATGATGTAGGAATCCCATATGCATTTTTTGTAGGGCTGGTCTAGTGATGATGAATTATCTCAGTTTTTGCTTGTCTGGGAAAAACTTTATTTCTCCTTCATTTTTGAAGGATGGCTCTGTTGGGTATAGTATTCTTAGACACCAGTTTTATTTGTTTTCTTTTAACACTTTGAATATATCGCCCCATTCTCTCCTGGTCTGTAAGGTTTCTGCTGAGAAATCTGCTGTTAGTCTGATGGCAATATCCTTATATGTGAGGAACTCACAGAACATCTGACATTTTTCTCTTGCTGTTTCAGAGTTCTTTGTCTTTGACTTTTGACAGTTTGACTATAATGTGCCTTAGAGAAGACCTTTTTAGGTTGAATCTATTTGGGGATATTTGAGCTTCCTTTATTTGGATATCTATATCTTTTGCAAGAATTGGGAAGTTTTCAGCTATTATTTTGTTAAATTGGTTTTCTGTACCTATGCCATCTTTTCTCTTGCTGGAATAGCAAGAATTTGGATATTTGATCACTTTATGGTCTCCCATATGCCATGTAGGCTTTCTTTTTTCTTTTTTATTCTTTATTCTTTTGTTGTTTTTGTTGTTGTCTCATGGGGTTATTTCAAAAGGTCCATCTTCAAGTTCAGAAATTCTCGTACTTGTTTTTACTCTGTTGTTGAAACTCAATTGCATTTTTAAATTTCATTTATTGAATTCTTCAGTTTCAGGATTTCTGTTTGGCTCTTTTTAATGATATCCATCTCTGTTGAATTTCTCTTTCAGAACATAAATTGTTTTCCCGATTTATTTTTATTATCTGTGTTTTCTTCTATCTCACTGAGTTTATTTAATAACATTATTTTGAATTCTTTTATAGGCATTTCATACATTTCCTTTTCTTTGGGATCTGTTACCAGAGAATTATTGTGTTCCTTTGAGGTGTCCTTTTTCTTTCCTTTTTCATTTTTCTTGTGTCCTTGTGTTGATTTCTGTGTATCTGGTATAATAGTCACTTCTTCCAATTATATGGATTGGCTTTCATAGGGAAAATTTTTTTCATATAGGTGTATCTATAGTGTTGGTTGGGTAGGGTGCTTTTGATTTGATTCTCAGTGGGTGCAAGAGTGTAGTTTCTATGATTTTTCCAGCCATAATCAGTATCAGTGGTTTCTGTGAGTTTTTCAGTGACTTGGACTGTGATTGTCAGTGGAGGCTATAGCAAGGCTCTGCTGGGGTAGGGACACCAGGCAGACTGGTCATCACGTACCAGACAGTGATGCCAGTGGCAGGCAGGATGGGCTTGTCCTCAGGCTCCCAGATGGCATGCACAGGCACTGATAGTAGCAGGCAGGGCAGATCAATCCCCAGGCCCGTGGGTGACATGCACAGGCACCAGTGGTGGCAGTAGTGGGTGAGGCAGGCCTCTCCAAGGTCCCTGGATGATGTCCATAGGTGCTGGCAGTGATCACGGTAGGTTGATTCTAAGTCACCTAGTGGTGGCAGGAGGGGCTAGGCTGATCACCAGTGCCTCAGACAATGTGCCTGGTAGTAGTGATGGGCACAGCAGGCCTGTCCTCAGGTCCCTAAGTGGTGTGTGTGGACTCCCAGTGGTAAGTTTTCTTTTAACCTTAAGCTTCTCACTGCAGTTTAAAAAACTTATCTGAGTTGTGCCTCTGACCATATTGTGCTTTGGGTACAGAAGCAAAAGTGTTGAGCAAAAGCTAAGTTGATCCATGTCATGGTCACAGCATTTTGGGGGGACTTTTTTTGGGTTGTTTGCCTCATCACAGCAGTGTGAAGCTAGTTGTTTGCCTACATCCTATCTTGAGTTTTCTACTCTTAAGAAGCAAAAGTACAAAGGTTCTGTCACACTAAGAACAGGTGCTTTTTGAAAGTATTTAAGCCTTACTGAGAGCTGTCTTGTGGCCATTTCTGGAAACCTCTTTGAATCTAATATATCTGTGTCCACTTCTGTTTCTCAGCAATATCTGGCATCTCCTGAAATGCCAGGACATCAGTAGGTTTACAATAGTAAGGTAGACTACAGTAAGTTTCTGACAGAAAGGTGGGCAGAAATAGTTGAAATAAATCTGGCTGAAGGATGAATTTCTTGAAGCAGCTCTTACAATTGTATTATCACTTTCCTGCATGATAGTCTGCTTTCTTCCAAGGCTTTTTCCTTTAGCTAGATGAAAATGTGATGTATAGGCTTGTCTGGATCCTTCCTGAAAGCTTCCTTAATATGTTACAGAGGCGCTTGTTGGCTGTAGCAGCCTGGCTCCACAAACCAGACTTAAAACATCAATCTTGTGCTTAACCAAACAACTTGGGCTTTAGGTTGGCTATGAGAGGAAGATAAGATATTCTGTGGAATAAGTAATCATCTTAATATGAGCATTAAAAGTAAAAGCTCAGGCCGGGCACGGTGGCTCACACCTGTAATCCCAGCACTTTGGGAGGCTGAGGCTGGCCAGATCACCTGAGGTCAGGAGTTCAAAACCAGCCTGGCCTACATGGCAAAACCCCATCTCTACTAAAAATAAAAATTAGCCGGGCATGGTGGCGCATGCCTGTAATCCCAGCTACTCGGGAGGCTGAGGCAGGAGAATTGCTTGAACCCGAGACGTGGAGGTTGCAGTGAGCCATGATCATGCCACTGCACTCCAGCCTGGGCAACAAGAATGAAACTCCATCTCAAAAAAAAAAAAAAAAAAAAAAAAAGCTCAGCAATCCTATTCTTTGCTTCTGGTAATTTATTAATTTACATTAATGTCATTTAATTATTTACTTCAGGTAGATTTACATCTGCTATATTTTTACATGAAAAAGATGAAAAGCCACTTGAACATATCTTCTGTTTTTTTAATGATCTGTTCTTCTTTATAGGGGATTTTTGACATCTTGTGAAGCAGAACTACAGGAGCTCATGAAACAGATTGACATAATGGTGGCTCATAAAAAATCTGAATGGGAAGGACGTACACATGCTCTAGAAACTTGCTTGAAAATCCGTGAACAGGAACTTAAGAGTCTTAGGAGTCAGTTGGATGTGACACATAAGGAGGTAAAGCAATTTATTTGTTCTTCTTTTTGACATTTTTATCTTGTCTTTTATATTAAATGTGTTTCTTAAGTATTTGTTGAAGAAAGAATTTGTATACCAAGTTAGTTTATTGTTTTTTATTATAATTCTGCTGTTTTATTTTAGAAGAAAAATTCATTGTGAAAATGTATAAGAATGTTATCATTTATTTCAAGGATCATTTTACCTTGGTTACATATAATATATACATAACTTCTTTAAGAAAATGTAAAAGGGTACCACACATTGTTTGTTTAACCTTCATCATATTACATGTTTATATTAACATTCACTGAGTTTCATGGAAATTGCTTTTGGCTTCACTGTATGGCTGGTATTACAAAAGAAGTTCCAGATTAAAGAATTTGCCTCTTTTGGTTAGATTTAAAACAAAGTTAAGAGAATCTTTAAAAAAAAACAAAACAAAACACGTTTACCATGTTGAAAATTAGAGGAGAAGAAAGAAAAGAAGAAAATAAAAATTACTTGCAGTCCCACCACTCATTGATATTGGTAATTTGGGGGAAAAGTTTAATAATATTTGCTGGTTGCCTTCTCATAAATTTAGCTGGTAAATTAGGAGGAAGTACACAGAATATTGGAAGGGAAGTAGAAAGCATTTATGTGTGAGAGTTGCCTGTTAATTTTTGGTATGGATGTCAATCTCAGAAGGATTGGAAGAGTTAGAGTTATAGGGGAGCACTGGTCCCATTTCTCACTCTGAAGACCTTTTCTACCAGTAGGGTCACCATTCATTAAGGCTGTCATCAGCTTATTCAGGTACACTTCTGTGAGTGGTACACACTGAGATTGTGATTTTGTTGAGAAAACTTATTAAGAATAGTTTAGAAATGTTTCTCGTAACAAAGAGTTTGACTTGTTAAAAATGTTATTATGCTTACCCAGAAAATTTCTCCTTGGTTGGCCATTTGCAACTTGGGTCAAAGTAGTGCGTGGCAACACTGGCTGTATCAAAGTTTTCTGCTAATGCTGTTTGCTAAATTGCAATTAATTTAAAATTTGACTAAAACTTTGAGAATATATTTTAAAATTACACACCATGCGAAAATACAGAAGGTGATGCAAAAGTACAGTGAATGGTGATCTTGTTTGATTTTTTAAAAATCATAATTTAGGCAGGGTCAATGTTCCTTTTATGGTAGGCTACTTAGCTAGCACTTTGTTTCTCCTAGGGCAAAACAAAATTCTGTTTAGCAAGTTGAAATGAAAGTGGTTTTCTGGTTGATAAATAGATTGTTTATTTTGTTAGAAACTCATTAAAGAATTATGTGTGATTATGATAATATTTAGTCACTGTAATGCTAAATTTGAACTTATTCCTGTGGCTTAGTTTTGACGCCACGGGCATTGTTGCCGTTACTTAATGCCCTTGACATCAAAATTTCTCTCAAAGAGAAATTAAGAGAGATTTAAGGGATTAAATGGATAGATTCCATGGTAAGGATATGAAGATGTTAAGTTTGGCCTGGGGACATACAAGAAATTTAGAATTGCAGCTCTCTGGTTAATTTGCTACTTCATTGATTGGGCTGCTGAAAGTTGATTAAGTTTCTAGAAGTAGGTTTCTGAAGATAATCTAGTAATGGGAATCTATTCCATAGAATTTGTGTGTGAGATTGTGTTGTATTACAACACTTCTTTCTTGCTTTTTTTTTTTTTAAGGAACAAATGTGTTTATTATTGTGCTGAAAAATTATGACCACCAACAACCAATGAAGGGCAGGAAGGAACAACACTATGAGATCATGAAAATATTTTGCTTCTTGTATTAGTCTGTTCTCACATTGTGATAAAGAAATCTGAGGCTGGGTAATTTATAAAGGAAAGAGGTTTAATTGGCTCACAGTTCTGTAGAAACATAGTTGCTTCTGGGGAGGCCCCAGGAAACTTTCAGTTATGGCGGAAGGCAAAGGGAAAGCAGGCCTATCTTCACGTGGTGGAGCAGGAGAGAGAGAGTGAAGTGGGAGGTGCTACACACTTCTAAACAACCAGATCTCAGGAAAACTCACTACAACGAGAACAGCACCAGTGGGGACATCTGCCCCCATGATCCAGTCACTTCCCACTAGGCCCCACTTCTAACATTGGGGATTATAGTTCCACATGAGATTTGAGCAGGGACACAGACCCAAACCATATCACTTGTCAACAAACTTTCTTCTCTTGCTTTAACATTTTTGACGATTCTTTCCCAAACCTATTAAGTAATGATGATGGTTACAAATTTTCCAGTTCTACCACTCTTTCCAGTGCATTATTTTTTATATCTTCATTAAAGGAGCAAAGCAAATCCCCTACTTGTAATAATAAGACAATATTGGAGACTGCCATTAAAACACAGGAGAAGTAAAAAAACAGATCTGTTCCAAGACACACAGGACTATAAATTTAGGAAATACACAGAAAATTAAAAGTTAAACTCAATTGGATACATTAAATATGTGCAGCTTTTTGTATGTCAATCATACCTAAATAATGTCATTTTGAAAACAAATGGTCCAACCTGTACCACCAACAGGTTTTGAGTATATATAAATCTAATATGTATTTATGAGTAGGGAGCAACCTTAAACATTTTAAACAGCAGAAATACACAAAGCAATTATAGGTGGAAGTAATACAAAGTGCCTTGTGTTTCTATCCTAGAATCAAACTATAGAAGTCTCAGGTTATTAAGAAAACAAATATTGTTTTGAATATTAAAAATCATGTGTTTTGGAGAGGGAGAGAATTAACAGCCTTTCTCTGCCTTAGAATACTTTACATTTTGTGAAATTTACAATCAGAATGGAGCATCTCCTAAAGTTGTCAGTATGCTAGGGAGGGAAATTGAGCACAGGAGCAAACCACTGTTTTCTTAGTGCTCAGCTGAAGAAATTTTCACTTAAAAGAGCTGTAGCTGTTGAAGTCATTTCCATTTTAGAAGCGTACTATAAATGACTTTTTCTATGTATTAACTAGAATTAATGGTAATTTGTGAAATGTTTTATCATTTTTAAAATTAGAGTCTATATCTCAGCCAGTGAAGCAGCAGGCACTGCTGCATGTCATAGTCTAACACCTGCAATCCACCAGTCTGCATGGACTGTAAGCAGGTATGGAGAGAACCGGAGTTCACCTATCAGCAACACCACCATGGAATCGACTGTTGAGCCTTTCTACTATTAATTACCATATATGTGCCTTTTTTCTGGTATTTTATTCCCACTGGATGCTTTTTATTAAGACCTTGTACCTGTGAACACATTTGGGGCACAACTTACTGTCTTCAAGGTGCAGGGGTGGGAAATTGGGAGGCGGGAAGCAAGAAGAGTGCACTCACTCTCCCTTCTTGCATTTCTGGAGCCCAGGCTTGTCTAGCATGAAACTGGAGGTGAACCCAACCATCTGTATCTGCAGGGAGACTTCTCCCATGGTCTTCTCTTGTGGAGATTCCTCTGCCTCTGGTGTCCCACCCTGGCTGCAGTTCTGGCCCTGGAGGCCAGCAAAGCACCTGGGGTAGAAGTTTTCTTACAGCTGTATTAACTCCTTCAAGGAGAGCAGCAGACTCTTCCAAGGCAGGCAGCACCCCCCCAAGAGGGAAGAGCCATCTCAGGAGGATGTCTCCTCAGAACTTTTCAGGGACGTTTACCCCTTGTCCACCTTTGATTTTTTTTTTTTGTAATGATTTCTGAATTCTGGCCTCTTTTGCTGTGCTACGAATGTCCTTTTATTTTGGGTAGGTGAAGGCACACGGGTGCTTATGTGCATCTAATTTCTGGCCTTTGGTGCTCAGCTTTAATTGTTGGCACCAGGCACACAGAATGTCCTGGCGAATCAGGTTAATGGGTAGCAGTTTAGAGGGTAATGGAGGGATTGATATCTTCTTCTGAGGTTTTAGGTTGTTGTCACTGAACTCTGCCTTCCTCTTTGGGCAGAGCACTTTGTCACCTTTTCATTTGGTCCCCTTTGCTGATGTTCCTGGCAAAGCAATTGTGCTTGGTTAATTAGAAGTTTACTAATCCTCTTCCCTTGACTTCTCTGTGGATTTCCACTCTTTGCCTTTTTGACTTCTCCATACTCGGAAAAGAAGTGGAGGTTGACGAAATTTTTCCAGAATCAAAATACTTCTTTCAAGTATGTGTTATAACACATTCATAATCCAATTTGAGCAGTATATGAAATAAGAACTAGAAAATAGGGCTTTATGTTTTTGTCATTGTATTAGTTCATTCTCTCATTGCAATAAGGAACTACCTGAGACAGGGTAAGCTATGCAGAAAAGAGGTTTAATTGACTCACAGTTCCACAGGCTGTACAGGAAGCATGGCTGGTGAGGCCTCAGGAAACTTAATCATGGCAGAAAGTGAAGAGGAAGCAGGCACATTTTCACATGGCGGAGGAGGAGACGGAGCAAAGGGGGAAGTGCTACATACCTTTAAAGAACCAGATCTCATGAGAATTCACTATCACAAGAACAGCAAGGGGGAAGTCTGCCCCCATGAGCCAGTCACCTCCCACCAGGCCCCTTCTCCAACATTGAAGACTACAGTTCAACATGAGATTTGGGTAGGGACACAGCCAAACCACATCAGTCATTCTTACTTGTTTGAAAGGTACAGACCTAGAAGCACTTAGTCCTAGGGTGTAAACCACTGCTAATCAAATGACAGGTCCATGATGAGATTAAAAGCTTGCACCAGAATGTAAATCATTGTAGAGAGCAAAACCCCTCATCTTTCATAGTACCAAGTCATTAAACAGCTAAAACTGTTAACAGCTAAAATCAGTGTATATCCATCTTTTGCTGAGAAAATTTTGGTTGTAAGAATGTCTGTTACACTGAACGGTGTGTTTCAAGACATACTTGATTTACACTCTGCCTCAGGCTTCTTGTGCTGGATTGCTGTCTGTGAATAACTTCAGCCCACCTGCAAATCATACTTGGTGGATCACTAATATAAGCAACTTGTTTTGTAAGTTAAGGCTTTATGTGTTTCTGGTTACAGTGTTGGCACTGGGTTGGTTTTAATGGACATTCCTGCTGTTACTATCTTCTAGCTCCCTACAGGGCACGTTGACTTTGTGAAATGAGTAAGAAATTTAGAGTCCTGGCCCTGCCTCTTTTCAGCTGAATGGCCTTGGACAAGTAACTTCCATCATTATTAGCATTTAATGTTCCTAAACTTTTCTTCACCTTTATATTTATACTTGTCACAGTAAATAAAAAGAAAAATGATTCTACAAGGCTCATAAGAAAAAATAGTAATCTTCCCCACCCCTCTGAACCTAGGATTCTTACTTCTGTGAGGAGTAATTTCAAGCCTTTAACTCTTTCTTTTGGCATTTTCCCTATGTTTCCAAGGAAGCTTTTTTACTGCTGTATTTTCATTTATAGTTTTAGCTGTTTAATGACTTGGTACTATGAAAGATGTGGGGTTTTGCTCTCTTACATACAATTATCATCCCCTCATCCTTCCAGGAGTGTATATCTTAATTTTTTGTTAGATTAATATTCAGTATTTACATCATTAAATGGTAAATATTATTCACAGTTGAGTCAGGTAGTGTAATTATAAGCAGACTTGTTTTTTGTACTGCTTTTTTGTTTTCCTGGAAATTACTAATTGTCTCACTTTCATTTGGTTTTTTAAACATACCTACCATTGATTCTTTCTGAAATCTCTGACACAGGTGTAAATCTTCTGCCATTGTGTTTAAACAAGGCAATTAATCTGTCCATTTTCTTTTCTTTCATTTCTTTTCCCTGTGAAGACATCTCTCCTGGAGCTTGCCATTCTCCACCGTGGATAGGTTGCTTTCAAGGATAGGTGTATAGCTGTCATCATGAGAACTCCCTTCATCATTATTCTGGAGGTTTTCTGTGCTCCTCTATTTGTGCTTCTTTGCATTCTCTGTCACCATATTTATATGTTTACATTTCTATTTTGATAGAGCATAGTTTTGAGATCTTGTATATCTGAAAATAATCTTTATTCTATTTTCAGGCCTGATTGAAAGTTTGACTGGCTGTAGAAATCAGCTTTAGAAGTAAATTTCCCTCAGGACGTTTACAGTTAAATATGAATTATTTCAGACTTTAATATTTGATAATGGCAGATTAGGTAATTTGGGCCAGTCCACTCACCGAGGACAAATAGGTAAGTTAGATTTAAAAAAAATTTTGCTTGAAGTAAAATGCTATCAGGATGGTGAACAATTACCAGGCTGGGATCTGGGCTGGGCAAGCGGTTCAGGGAGGTGTGTCCAGGGTTTGGGGCCATTATTAACTGAAAATAAAGAAGGCAGCCGAGAGGATAAAAGGTTGAGTGGTGTTTTTGATAACTTTAAGGGGCTAGGGGTCCATGATGGCTCTGAACGCCTCCTCAGTTTGGCTAAAGACCCTGAAAGGCTGCACCCTAGGAGTAAGGATGGACCAGAACAGGCCCTCTTGAAAAAACCACTCAGCTTCAAACATCTAAATCCCTGAAATCAGTTTTAAGTTAAACTTAAGAGTGCTACTGTCCCCAGGCATCTCCAAAGTGCTAGGGCTTCCAGGAACCTGGAAGTAGCAAATATAAATTTTCTTCAAAGGAAAAATTACCATTCTGGGTTTCAGATTATTCAAATAATTTTGCAAATAATGCTTGGTACTTGCTCAGAAAATAACCTGAGACAACAAAGACCAGGAGACAAGACAACACAAAGGAAAAATAGTAGAAGCAGCAGAAGATAGAAATAGACCCATGATAAATCTAGATATTTGTCATTATCATGCACACAGTTTACAATAACAATGTTTATTGCATTCAAGGCACTAAAAGATAAGATTGAGCATTTCGAAAAAGAATTAAAAACTGTAAAAAAAATGAGTGGAAATTTTAGAATTGAAAAATAGAATGACTGAAATTAAGGTCTTAAAGATTAAGGGATAATTAGTGAACTAGATGATGTGACAGAATAAAATGTCTAGAATAAAGCACAGGCAAAGTGATAGAAAATATAGATGAAAGGATATGAGAAAGAGAAGACAACAAGAAAGTCTAATATAAGTGTTTTTGGAATCCCTGAAGGAGAAAAAAAATGAGAATGGGCACAAAAGATATTTGGAGAGATACTGGCTGAGATTTTGCCAAAAGTGAGGAAGGTCAAGTATTTAAGAAGTCCAAGAATCTCAAGCAAGATAAGTAAAAAGAAACAGTTGCCATGGTTGAAAACTAAAGACAAAGGGAGGAATCTGAAAAGCAATCAAAGAAAAAAAAGATTATCTACAAATAGCTCTTAACAGTTGACTTGTCAGCCAAAAAAGTGAAAGCCAGAAAACAATAAAATGTCTACAAAGAAAGAACATGACTTTTTCCTCTACCAAACGAGAATTCTGTATCCAGAATAAAGGTAAAATAAAGACATTTTCAGATGAACAAAAATTGAGAGAACTGGTTACAAGCAGACCTGCACTAAGGAAATATTAAAAAATGTTCTTTAGGTAGAAAGACAGTGATCCCAGATTGACCCTCAGAGCTGCAGGAAGAAATGAAAAGCAGTAGTAAATGTATGGGTAAATCTAAATGAATATTGATTGTATAAAACAACAATAATAGATGGAGTTTTGCTATGTTGCCCAGGCTGGACTCGAACTCCTGGGCTTAAGCAATCCTACCTCAGCCTCCCAAGTACCTGGGACTACAGGTGCATGTCACTGTGCCCAGCTAACGGTAATTGCCTTTTGAGTTTAACGTATATGTAAAATTATGGTGGCAATGGTGTTATATTTAAGTCAGGTTGGGATAAATGGAATTGAAGTATTTATAGCTAACATTAGACCTTGTTAAGTCACAAATCCATGTTTTTATCTTGAGGGAACCATTAAAAGTATATATTAGTAGAGAATATCTTCCATGCTAATAGAGAAAAATGGAATGATAAAAAAAGTAATCAGTCCCAAAGAAGGCAAAAAAGAAGAGAAAAAGGAACAGAGCTTATTAAGTACAAATATTATGTAACAAGATGAAAGCTTTAAATCAAAATAGGTTTGTTAAATGTAAATGCAGTAACTGGCTTAATTAAAAGAAAAACTGTCCAACTGGATCAGATAAACAAATGCAATTATTATTTAATGTTTATAGAAATATAAAAACATTGAAATTAAAAGGTAAAATATATAACATGCAAACAGTTTGACTAGAAAGATGGTATAACTATATTCTTACCAGAAAAAGTATGATTGGAGCAGAAGCCGAAAGCATTACTCAAGGTGAAGAAAAACACTTCATAATGAGAAAATGTGAAATTTCAGGATATGTAACTTTAGTAGACATTCTTTGTGCCCTGTAGTATGTCCTCTTTGCCTCCTGATTTCCTTTTAGCTATTAAATATAGGTCCTTATGCGCTGCCAACATCTACTATAACAGGAGTTTCCAATCTTTTGGCTTCCCTGGGCCAGATTGGAAGAAGAATTGTTTTGGGCCACACATAAAATACACTAACACTAATGCTGGCTGATAAGCTTAAAAAAAAAATCTTGTAATGTTTTAAGGAAGTTCACACATTTGTGTAGGGCTACCTTCAAAGCTGTATTGGGCCACATATGGCCTGTGGCTTACAGGTTGGACAAGCTTGTAGTATACTTTGTTTGAAGGGGTGGGTTGCCCCTCCACACCTGTGGGTGTTTCTCGTTAGGTGGAATGAGAGACTTGGAAAAGAAAGAGACACAAAGTGTAGAGAAAGAAAAAAGGGGGCCCAGGGGACCGGCGTTCAGCATATGGAGGATCCCGCTGGCCTCTGAGTTCCCTTAGTATTTATTGATCATTCTTGGGTGTTTCTCGGAGAGGGGGATGTGGCAGGGTCATAGGATAATAGTGGAGAGAAGGTCAGCAGACAAACATGTGAACAAAGGTCTCTGCATCATGAACAAGGTAAATAATTAAGTGCTGTGCTTTAGATATGCATACACATAAACATCTCAGTGCCTTAAAGAGCAGTGTTGCTGCCTGCATGTCCCACCTCCAGCCCTGAGGTGGTTTTCCCCTATCTCAGTTGATGGAACATACAATCGGGTTTTATACCGAGACATTCCATTGTCCAGGGATGGGCAGGAGACAGATGCCTTCCTCTTGTCTCAACTGCAAAGAGGTGTTCCTTCCTCTTTTACTAATCCTCCTCAGCACAGACCCTTTACGGGTGTCGGGCTGGGGGACGGTCAGGTCTTACCCTTCCCATGAGGCCGAATTTCAGACTATCACATGGGGAGAAACCTTGGACAATACCTGGCTTTCCTAGGCAGAGGTCCCTGCGGCATTTGTGTCCCTGGGTACTTGAGATTAGGGAGTGGTGATGACTCTTAAGGAGCATGCTACCTTCAAGCATTTGTTTAACAAAACACATCTTGCACAGCCCTTAATCCATTTAACCCTGAGTTGACACAGCACATGTTTCAGGGAGCACAGGGTTGGGGGTAAGGTTACAGATTAACAGCATCTCAAGGCAGAAGAATTTTTCTTAGTACAGAACAAAATGGAGTCTCTTATTTCTACTTCTTTCTGCACAGACACAGTAACAATCTGATCTCTCTTTCCTTTCCCCATACTTTGTTTCTCTCTCTGGGGCCTTGGAAAGCTGCTTAGATGAAATCTGGAAGTGTTGAGGAGTTAATACTCTTAGATCTTAGGTCAAGGTTCAAGTAGTGGAGGGACTAGGTGAATTCTCCAACTTCCCATTCCTCAGAGAGACGATTCTGAAAGATTCCATCTGGTTCCTTAGTGGATTCCCAGTGGAATTCATCACCAGCTGCTTACTTCAGTAATATGCTTAATATGCTCAATAGCACGTCCTTTATTAGCTTTCCTTCCTTCTCTGCCTTGCTCTCTGTGTCCTCACTGTGCTTTCTGGGGTCACCTCCAGTTGCCCTGAAGTCCATGTCTCAGCCCACACTTTGCTGGGGGACTCAAACCAAGATGAAAATGTCTGCGTATCTAATGTGTCTAGTTAAATAGTTTTAAAAGAAAATCCTCTTTCTGTCTTATCTGTATGTGAAAAGTGACAGAACTAGGAAAAAACAGATGAAGCCACAATCATAGGGGAGAATTTTAACACATTTTTCTTAGTAACTGATGGAATAAGAGACAAACATAAGAATATAGATTTTAACAGCATGATCAGCGAACTTGACTTAATTTTTATATATAGAATATTATACAACAGAATTTCAGAGTACACATTCTTATTAGCACAAAAAATACCCTTACCAAAATTGACCATATGCTGGGCCATAAAGTAAATCTTGATACAGTTCAAAAGCTTGACGTCACAGGTGTGGTCTCTGAACATAGTGGAAATAAGTTAGAAAAAGATAACTTGAAAATCTGCATACATTTGGAAATTAGGACATGAAGTTCTGAATAATTCATGGATCAGTGAGGAAATCACAATGGAAATTAGAAAATACTTTGAATTCAAAATGAAAATACAACATCAGACATACAGAATGCAGATAAAATATCTCAGAGGGACATTTATAGCCATAAGAGCATATATTAGAAAAGAGGAAGGGCTGAAAATCATTGAGGTATTGATTCATCTCAAGAGGTTGGGAAAAGAACTTGCTAAATTTGAAGAATGTAAAAAGAAGGACATTTTTTAAAAATGAAAGTAAAAGCCTGGAAGTGATATGACATGAGAAAACTTCCAAAAGAAAACTGATGTAACTGTATTGGCATGAGACAAAGTAAACATCAAAGCCAGAAGCAATACTAAAGATCTAGGGACACTTAAAAATTATGAATGGGTCAGTTAACCAGGTTGCTTTAATAATTCAATTCTATAAATACTTAATAATGTAGCCTTAAAATATACAAAGAAAAATGGGCAGAATCAAGGGAAAAATTAAGTACATGGTAATCATGGAAGACTTAACAAGTAGCTCTCAATTAATACAACAAGCAGAGAAAACCTCAGTTCAGGTGAAGATTTGATCAAGATTAACAAACTTAACCTAGTTAATAAACTTGACCTAATTAATCTAAATAGAACATTGTACCTAGTAACTGCTGAATACACATCCAAGTGAATATGGACCATTTACCACTACTGCCGTAAAGCATGTCTCAACATATTTCAGAGGATTAGAATCATGTTTTTTGACCAAGGTGGATTTAATCTAGAACTCAGAACAATGAAAGACATCCAGAAAAAATCCTCAAAAGCTTGGAAATTAAGCAATACACTTCTAAATAACCCATGAATCAAAAGAAATCAAAATGAAAATTAGAAAATATTTTGGACTGAATAATAATGAATATGGTACGTATCAAAACTTGTGGAATGCAGCTAATGTGGTGCCTAGAATGTTAGCTATGTGTGTATACATATAGCTACATTTTATATACAGCTAAAATTATATATATTAGAAAGGCTGAAAGTGATCTAAGTAGCCATTTCAAGAAAAACAAAAAAACCCCAGCAAATTAAAACCAAAGAAATGAGAAAGAAAAGATGTAATAAAGATAAGAACAGAAACTAATAAAATAGGAAACAAATGTATAAGAGGATGAACAAAGCTATTCTCTTCGAAAAAAATTAATTAAATTGATAACCTTGGCAAGACTAATTAAGAAAAAAGGGGGGAAAATAACTAATGTTAGCAATTAAAAAGAGAAACCATAATAGAGCCTCTGAATAGTAAAGGGGTTATAAAAAGATACTATGAATGACCATGTACCCACCCCCCCACCACAGTAAAACATTTAGATATAATAAAAAATCCCTAGGAAAGCACAGCATACAAGAAAGGTTGAGACATGTGAATAGTATCCTATTAAATTGATTTTTTTTTTGTTTTGAGATGGAGTCTCACTCTGTCGCCCAGGCAGGAGTGCAGTTGCGTGATCTCAGCTCACTGCAACCTCTGCCTCCTGGGTTCAAGCGATTCTCCTGCCTCAGCCTCTCGAGTAGCTGGGTCTGCAGGTGCGCACCACCATGCCCGGCTAATTTTTGCTTTTTTTTTTTTCTTAAGTAGAAATGGGGTTTCACCATGTTGGTCAGGCTGGTCTCAAACTTCTGACCTCAGGTGATCTGCCCGCCTCAGCCACCCAAAGTGCTGGGATTACAGGCGTGAGCCACCACGCCCGGCTGAATTGAATTTGTTATTGAAAAACCTGCTCATAGATAAATCTCTTGGGCCCAGTAGACTTCATTGGTGAATTCTACCAGACATTTTAAGAAATAAGTAACATGAATTTTATATAAAATATTCCAGAGAACAGAAGAAAAGATAAGATTTTCCTAACTCCTTTTATGAAGCATCATAATCTTTATTTCAAAACTTAACAAGGATGTAGCAGTTAAGGAAAATTACAGGCCAGTCTTATGTGAATGTTAATATAAAACTGTTAGTCAAAATATTAACAAACTAAATCCAGCAATATTTAGAAATTACATACTAACTTAGGTTTATTCTAGTCATTCTGGGTTGTTTCAACATTCATAAATCAACATAATTCATCATATTATCAGAGGAAAAAACACCATAGTTATCTCAATCCAGGAAAAGAATTTAATGAAATTCAGTTATCCATTTGTGATAAAAATATTAAAATCCCTTAGAAAATTAGAAATGTTAAGGGAATTTCCTTAATCTAGTAAAATGGTATATAAGAAACATAGCAAGTAGCAATTAATGTAACCCATTGTTAGAAGCTTTCCTTCAGAGATTGTGAATGAGACAAGGATGCCCAGTATCACCACTTTTTTTGTTGTTGTTATTGTAGTGGAGGTGTAGCTAGTGCAATAAAGCAAGAAAAATAAATAAAAGACATAAGGATTAGAGAGGAAGAAATACCACTGCAGTAATTAGCACATGCTTTGTTGGTGTACACAGAAAACCCAAAAAATCTATGTAGACAGAATTAACAAATGAAATAGTAGATTTGCTGAGTTAAAGGTTAATTTACAAAAATTTATTGATTCTTTGTACCAGCAAAAAGCAATTAAAAATGAAGTTAAAAAAGATACCCTTGACAAGAGTATCAAAAAAGCACCAAATAGAGTAAATCCAATGAAAGAGGTATAAGACCTCTGCACAGAAAGCTCTAAATTATGGAGAGAAATTAAAACTGATATAAATGGAAGAATAGATGTTCATGGATAGAAAGACTCAATATTTTAAAGGTATTGGTTTCTCCAATTTTGATCTATTCAGTATTATTCTAATTAAAACTCCAGTATATTTTAAAGTGAAAATCAACAAGGTTGATTCTCAAATTTATATGGCAGTAGCCAAAACAATCTTGATGAAGAGAAATTAAGGTGGAGCACTTAGGGTACTAGAAAACAAGATTTATTAAAAACTATATTAAGACAGTGTGGTATTGCAAGGATAGAAAAACAGACCAATGGAACAGAATAAAGAGTCCCGTAACAGAGATCCCACATATGTGAACATTTGATTCATGACAAGATGACACTGCAAGATGGTGGGGAGTCTTTTCAATACATGTCACTGGATCAACTGAGTAACAATATGGGGGAAAAAGAAAGATTTTGACTTCTAGTTTTATACCATATACCAAATTCAATTCTAGATGGATTACGAATTTAAATGTGAAATGCTGAAGATTTTCTAGAAGATGACATAAGAGAAAATCTTAGTGCCTTGGAGTAGGGAAAGATTTCTTAAAAAATAGTGATAAAAGGTTACTAATTTAGACTATATTAAAATAATGAACATTTCATATATTTACAACATACAACCAACAAAAGATAAAGAACATCTATAAATTAATAAGTTAACTGAGTAGAAAAATGGGCAAAAGACAAATAGTCATTTCACAAAGGAAGATATCAAAATGACCAGCGAGCATGTGAAAAGGTGCTTGGTTTCACAGGTTACTAGGAAAATGCAAATTACAATCACAAGATAACCCTAAACATACACCAGAAAGGCTAAAAGTTAAAAGACTAATAATACTAAGTTACTATAGGGGTATGAAACAGCTCAGTATTTTATCAAAAAGAGTGCTGTACTTTTCTGTGCAAATATTTACTTTCAATTTAATTTTGTTTTAAAAAGCAACAGTCAATTCCCATTTTCAGTAGTAGAAGATACACATTTTGTGTATTTTTTCCCATGGGTATTCTGGATTGTTCCCCCGTTGGGCCTGGAAGTTTGGAAATGGTTGAACATGACTTAGCATGTTTGCTTTCTGCTTTAAACACTAAAAGTCCTTGTCTTTTCACATTTTACATTTATGCAAAGTACATTTGTATTTTTCTCCTTGCTTATTTCTTTTATATTAATATATTCTGTTTACATGCATAATTTTTCCCACTTTGTTTTATTCTAGAACTCTTGTAGTAGGAAGTACTAGAAGATCTGTGAATATCTTAGTCTTGTTACCTTCATTAACAGCTAATATTCTCACTTCTGTTTAATGATCAGTGACTTAGTATTGCATAAGAATCAATAGTCCAATTAACTAAATTGAAGCGCTAATTTCTCCCTTTCAGTGTTACTGAAGTTTTATTTTCTGGGAGGGGGATGTTGAATTCCACATTATTGTTTTTAGTGTTTTTTCAGAATCATTTTTCCAGAATACTTTTTACCTTTTTGAGGATGGACTTTTTGCAGTGCACTTTAACTGTATAGAGTGTGCAAATGACATTTCAGCTGGACTTGGGGGAGCTGTTCTGGCATTTTGGTTTGCAAATCAAACATGCACTCTCTTTTAGTCTCTTTTCTTTGTATTTCTTCTCATTGTTTCTTTTGGATCTGGTACTGTCATCTGCATTTCTTCATTAATTAACAAATTTGCCTGGAGATAATTTTTACTGCTCCTTGTCTTAAAAACATTTTACTTCCTACCTTTCTCCTTGTCAATAAACAGGATATATGTAATTTGGGATTTATCTAATCTGTTAGTGATGGATGAAAAGACTCAAAGTGCCAAGAGATCAGGAAAATTCAGATCAATCCAGGCAGGAGGAATCATTAGGTGTGACTCTCAGAAGGACAGGGATCTTCAAGTGGGTCACAGGGTCAGACTGGCAAAGCGTTTTCTTCTGGATGTGGGTTCACAAGGGATATAGGTGATTCTAGTGAAAGAAGAGAGCCAAATGAGAGTGATTGTGAAGCGTTGTAGTCAGAAATGTGATTGTTTTTCTTTTTTTAAAATTTAAATTTTATTTTAAATTCAGGGGTACATGTGTAGGTTTGTTATATAGGTAAACTTGTGTCGTGGGGGTTTATTGTACAGATTATTTCATCACCCAGGTATTAAGCCTAGTACCCCTTAGTTATTTCTTTCCTGATTCTCTCCCTTTACCCTCCAGTAAGCCTCAGTATGTTGTTCCCCTCTATGTGTCCCATGCGTTCTCATCACTTAGCTCCCATTTATAAGTGAGAATATGCGGTATTTGGTTTTCTGTTCCTGCAAAAGACGTGATCTCATTCTTTTTTATGGCTGCATAGTATTCCAATGTACCTCATTTTCTTTAGTCTACCATTGATGGACATTTAGGTTGATACTGTGTTTTTGCTCTTGTGAATAGTGCTGCGGTGAACTTACGTGTGTATGTGTCTTTCTGATGGAACGATTTACATTTTTTTGGGTATATACCTAGTAATGGGATTGCTGGGTTGAATGATATTTCTGTTTTTATATCTTTAAGGGATCACCATCATCTTCCATAGTGGTTAAACTAATTTACACTTCCACCAACAGTGTATAAGCGTTCTCTTTTCTCTGCAACCTTGCCAGCATCTGTTATATTTTGACTTTTAAATAATAGCCATTCTGACCAATGTGAGATGGTATTTCATTGTGGTTTTGATTTGTGTTTCTCTTAAGATCAATGATGTTGAGCATTTTTTTATATGATTGTTGGCTGCCTGTATGCCTTCTTTTGAAATGTGTCTGTTCATATCTTTTGCCCAGTTTTTAGTGGGGTGGTTTGTTTTTTTCTTGTAACTTTTAAGTTCTTTATAGATGCTGGATACTAGTCTTTTGTCAGATGCATAGTTTGCAAAAGTTTTCTTCCATTCTATATGTTGTTCACTCTGTTGATAGTTTCATTTGCTGTAAAGAAACTCTTTAATTAGATCCCATTTGTTGACTTGCTTTTGTTGCAGTTGCTTTTGGTGTCTTTGTCGTGAAATCTTTGTCTGTTTCCATGTCCAGAATGGCATTGCTGGGGTTGTCTTCCAGAGTTTTTTATAGTTTTGGGCTTTACACTTAAGTCTTTAATCCATCTTGAGTTAATTCTGTATATAATACAAGGAAGGGGTCCAGTTGCAATCTTCTGCATGTGGCTAGCCAGTTATCCCAGCACCGTTTATTGAATAGGGAGTCCTTTCCTTATTGCTTGTTTTTGTCAGTTTTGTTGAAGATCAGATAGTTACAGGTGTGCAGCCTTATTTCTGGGTTCTCTATTCTCTTCCATTGGTCTATGTATCTGTTTTTGTACCAGTGCCATACTGTTTTGGTTACTGTAGCCCTGTAGTATAGTTTGAAGTTGGGTAGTGTGATGCTTCTAGGTGTGTTCTTTTTCCTTGGGATTGCCTTAGCTATTCAGGCTCTTTTTTGGTTCCATATGAATTTTAAAATAGTTTTTCCTAGTTCTGTGAAGAATGTCATTTGGTAGTTTAATAGGAATAGTGTTGAATCTATAAATTGCTTTGGGCAGTATAGCCATTTTAATGATACTGATTCTTCCTTCCATGAGCATGGAATGTTTTTCCATTTGTTTGTGTCATCTCTAATTTCTTTGAGCAGTGTTGTATATTTTTTCTATAGATTTTTCACCTCCCTGGTTAGCTATATTCCTGGGTATTTTATTCTTTTTGTGACATTTGTGAATGGGATTGCATTCCTGATTTGGCTCTCAGCTTGACTGTTCATGGTGTATAGCAGTGCTGTGACTTTTGTACATTGATTTTATATCCTGAGACTTTGCTGAAGTTGTTTATCAGCTTAAGGAGCTTTTGGGCTGAAACTATGGGGTTTTCTAGATAGAGGATCATGTCGTCTACAAACAGGAATAGTTTGACTTCCTCTCTTCCTATTTGGATGCCCTTTATTTCTTTATTTTGCCTGATTGCTCTGGCCAGGACTTCTAAAACTATGTTGAATAGGAGTGGTGAGAGAGGGCATCCTTCTCTTCTGCTGGTTTTCAAGGGTTTCCAGCTTTTGCCCATTCAGTATGATATTGGCTTTGGGTTTGTCATAGATGGCTCTTACTATTTTGAGGTGCGTTTCTTCAGTACCTAGTTTATTGAGAGTTTTTAACATGGAAGGGTGTTGAATTTTATCAAAAGCCTTTTCTGCATCTATTGAGATAATCATGTGGTTTTTGGCTTTAGTTCTGTTTATGTGATGAATCACATTTATTGATTTGTGTCTGTCGAGCCAACCTTGCATCCTAGGGATGAAGCCTACTTGACTGTGGTGGATAAGCTTTTTGATGTGCTGCTGGATTTGATTTGCCATTATTTTGTTGAGGATTTCTGCATCAATGTTCATCAATGATATTGGCCTGAAGTTCTCTTTTTTTGTTGTGTCTCTGCCAGGTTTTGGTATCAGGTTGATGCACAACCCATAGAATGGGTTAGAGAGGAGTCCCTCTTCCTCAATTTTTTGGAATAGTTTTAGCAGGAATGGTACCAGCTCTTCTTTCTACATCTGGTAGAATTCAGCTGTGAATCCATCTGACCCTGGGCTTTTTTTGGTTGGTAAGCTATTTATTACTGATTCAATTTCAGAACTTGTTATTGGTCTGTTCAGGGGTTCAGTTTCTTCCTGGTTCAGTCTTCGGATGGTGTATGTGTCCACGAATTTATCCATTTCTTCTAGATTTTCTAGTTTATGTACATAGAGGTGTTTATAGTATTCTCTGACGTTTGTTTGTATTTCTGTGGGGTTAGGGGTGATATCTTCCTTATCATTTCTGATTGTGTCTATTTGAGTCTCCTCTCTTCTTTATTAGTCTAGCTGGTGGTCTGTTTTAATTTTTTCAAGAAATCAGCTTCTAGATTTGTTGATCTTTTTAATGTTTTTTCATGTCTCAGTCTCCTTCAACTTAGCTCTGATTTTGGTTATTTCTCATCTTCTGCTATGTATGTCACTGCATGTGAGATGGGTCTCTTGAAGACAGCATACCAATGGGTCTTGATTCTTTATCCAGCTTGCCATTCTGTGCCTTTTAATTGGGGCATTTAGCTCATTTGCATTCAAGGTTAGTATTGATATGTATGGATTTGATTCTCTCATGATGATGTTAGCTGGTTATTTTGCAGTTTTTTGTGTGGTTGCTTTATAGTATCACTGGTCTGTGTACTTTAGTCTGTTTTTGTAGTGGCTGTTAATGCTCTTTGCTTTCCATATGTGGTGCTTCCTTCAGAGCTTAGTTTGGCCAGATAATGAAATTCTGGGTTGAAATTTCTTTTCTTTAAGAATGTTGAATATGCCTTCAATCTGTTCTGGCTTGTAGGGTTTCTGCCAAGAGGTCTACCATTAGTCTGATATTCCCTTTATAGGTGACCTGATCTTTCTCTCTGGCTGCCGTTAACATTTTTTTCCTTAGTTTCAACCTTGGAGAATTTGATGATTATGTGTCCTGGGAATGATCTTGTGAAGTATCTTACTGGGGTTCTCTGCATTTCCTGAATTTGAATTTTGGCCTCTCTAGCTAGGTTGGGAAAGTTCTTATGGATGATATCCTGAAATATGTTTTCCAGATTGGTTCCATTCTCCCCATCTCTTTCAGGGACACCAATGAGTTGTAGATGTGGCATCTTTACATAATCCCATATATCTTGGGGGTTTTATTCATTCCTTTTCATTCTTTTTTTCTCTATTCTTGCCTGTCTTATTTCAGAGAGCCAGTCTTCAAGCTCTGAGATTCTTTCCTCTGCTTGGTCTATTTTGCTATTAATACTTGTGATTGCATTATAAAATTCTTGTGGCATGTTTTTCAGCTCTATCAGGTTGGTCATATTCCTTTCTATACTGTCTATTTTGTCTGTCAGTGACTGTCTTATTTCAGAAAGCCAGTCTTCAGGCTCTGAGATTTCTTTCCCCTGCTTGGTCTGTTTTGCTATTATTACTTGTGATTTCATTATGAAATTCTTGTAGTGTGCTTTTCAGCTCTATCAGGTTGCTTACATTCTTCTCTATACTGCCGATTTTGTCTGTCAGTTCCTGCATTGTTTTATCATGATTCTTAGCTTCCTTGGACTGGGTTTCAGTATACTCCTGTAGCTCAGTGTTCTTTGTTCCTATCCATGCTCTGAATTATATTTCTGTCATTTCAGCCATCTTAGCCCAGTTCTGAACCCTTACTGGAGAAGTGATATGGTTGTTTGGAGGAAGGAAGATACTCTGGCTTTTTGAGTTCTTGGAGTTCTTGCACTATTTCTTTCTCATCTTTGTGGGCTTACATTCCTTCAATCTTTGAAGTTGCTGACCCTTGGATGAGGTTTTTTTTTTTCCTTTTACCATATTTGATGACCTTGAGAGTTTTATTGTAGTATAAGGTGGATTCAGCCAACTGGCTTTGTTTCTGGAAGATTTTCGGTGGCCATTGCTCAGCCCCCAACTCCTAGACTGTGTGCTCTAACTCTGGGGGGGCTCGTATTGGGCCCCAACTTTTTTCTCTGGCTCCTTGAAGTTAGGAATCCACTGCATTGGGGGGTCAGAGTGCTCCCAGACCACTAGTCACTACACCACAATGGGTGGTGGCAGCCAAAGCATTTCATAGTGTGGTGACAGTGGGATTCATCCTTGTTTACATGTGCCAGCAGCAGTGGTAGCAGCAGTGCAGTGGGGGACACACTTGTCAGCTATGCCAGGGTGCTGGTGGGTGCCAGGGTGCCTGCCTCCCTGAGAGCATTCACCACAGTGGAGGAGGCAACACAGCTGGGAGGTGAGCGGGGACCCCTGCTGGCGACTGTGCACAGTGGCACTGGTGGTGGTGTTGGCTTGGGGGCAGGGCGCTGGCAGTTGCAGGTCTGTGTGCCTTCTCTGTGTACTGCAAACAGGAGTGGTTGCTCCATGCAGGGGAGGATCTGTTATTCTCTGTGCCTAGTTTCACTCCTGCGGCAGTGTTGGTGCAAGGAAGGGGCACTGGTGGAGGCAGGGCTGGCTGGTTTGGTGCCCACCAAGGTTCTGTCTGCAGTGGTGGTCAGTGGGGACATGGGAAATGAACTGCACTCCCGCCACAGCAGTGTCAAGGTGGATACATGTACACTTGCCTGCTGGTGGGGCAAGAAAAGCAAAACCTGCCGGCATAGGCACATGCCAGCAAAGCCATGTGGGGAGTTGCTATGGGCCTAGGGAAGCTGCAGTATGGGGACTGAATGTACAGGCTGGTGCATAGCCATGGGGGCCACTCTGCTGGAGCTCTCTGCTGGTCAGGCATAGTCTGCCAGCACAGAAGCTATGATGCAGTCCCCCAGGCCACCCAAGGCTGCCCTGTAAGCATGTGTGGCCAGGCTGGGGCCCTGGGAGAGGCCAGCAGGCCAAGGGGTGGTCAGATGAGACCGGCCCCATATGATGGACAAGACTACCCTGCAGAGTTCGGGTCCAACAGTTGCCTTAGAGCTAAAGTCTCCTATGGGTGCCAGTTAAGCCTAAGGGGATGGCTATCCCTGGCCATGCCCCACCACAGATTCTCTCACACCAAACCCTCTGGGCTCCATATCAGCTGGCTTGCTGCCCCTATCACTTCTCTAAGTGGCTCACCCTGTCAACTTGAGTGTTCATGGTGGGCGAGAGGTTCCAGAGGCCCGTGGCAAGAGTGGGTTGCTCCTTGCTAGTTCAGCTCACTTGTTTTTCCAGAGCTGTTTGGGCCAGGAATGAGTCCAGGTGCGTAGTCGCCTCATGTATGGTTCCCAGCTTCCTCCCCCTTCAGCCCAGCTTCTGTGTCTTCCCTCCATCCACTCTTCAGTGACCCCCTCTGAAGATCTGTTAGGAGCACACCAGTTGTCTCAGTCCCTCATTGGCAGCTTTTCCTCCTGGCTGTGTCTAGTCAGCCATCTTGCCCTCCCCCTGGTTTTTTTCTCCCCCGTTCTTTGTCTTCAATTTTTAAAAACCTTGGTCAAAGAACTCTTTAGGCTAAGTTTGAGAACTCCGTAGTCAGCTTCCATGCTGTTAGCAGATCTTATGAAATCATTTAAAGTTTTTATAATTCTGCAGGTGGGTCTTGTCTAACATGTGATAGAGGGCCAAAAGGCCACACTACTGAAAGCTTAAGGAGGGGTGTGTGTGTGTGTGCGTGTGTGTGTGTGTGTGTGTGTGTGGTGTTTTGAGGGTTGCCTTTTCTCTTGGTTGTGGTATGTTAGGAGTAATGGCTGTTACATACTGATGTGCTTGATGTGCTTTGTCTTTACGGGTTATAGCAGTGTAGACATGAGTCTCCTTTTGGGATAATCTGTTTCCCTTTTTTCTTCTGTCTTTGCTAAAAGCTATTGCTCATTTCTGCTGAGCATTGCAGTTACCCCTTCTACCTACCATACTTTCTAATTTTGGATCTTCTGGTGGATTGTGGGCTAGGAAATACGAATAGTTAAGACTCTTCAACTTGTTTTAATCAAACAGATGAGTCCTCATGATCTTTATCAAAGCAAAGTAGGTGGGCTTAGGGTCAGCCTCTTTTCTTTTCTTTTTTAAAATGTTCTTTTCTTGCTAATAAAAGCAGTAGCCATTGGAGAAAATTTAGAAAAGACCAACTATGAAGCAAAACATAATCATAATACCTTGAATCAGAGTTAATCTGTATTAACATTTGGTGTATTTCCTTTAAGCTATGTAAGTAGACTTCAGTAAAAATCCTTCACAAAATTGGGATTTTAGTATAGTATACTTTTTATATCGATATGTCTTTTAAATGGTAAGCATTTTTCATGTTAACTATTTTAATACAGCTTAATGTTTGCATATTTTATTATGTACATTCATTCATTATATTCATTCACAGTTTATTTATAAACATACAGATTTTTTCCAATTTGTCCAGTTTTTATAAAAGAACAAATCCCCATTGACTTTTTTTTTTTTTTTTTTTGAGACTGAGTCTCACTCTGTTGCCCAGGCTGGAGTGCAGTGGTGCCATCTCAGCTCAGTGCAACCTCCACCTCCTGGGTTCAAGCGATTCTTGTGCCACAGCCTCCTGAGTGGCTGGGATTACAGGCACCTGCCACCAGGTCTAACTAATTTTTGTATTTTTGGTAGAGATGAGGTTTTGTCGTGTTGGCCAGGCTGGTCTCAAACTCCTGAACTCAAGTGATCCGCCTGCCTTGGCCTCCCAAAGTGCTGTGACTACAGGTGTGAGCCACCGCACCCGGCCCCAACAAATTCTTAACATCTACATTTATTTTCTTCTTTTCCTTTTTTGTAGAGAAAGGGTCTCACCATGTTGCCCAGGCTGGTCTTAAACTCCTGGGCTCAAGCCATCCTCCTGCCTCTGCCTCCTAAAGTGCTGAGATTACAGGTGTGAGCCACTCTACCTGGCTCTACATTTATTTTTTTTACATGGATTTCTAAAAGTAGTGTTTACCAAGTCAAGGTTAAGAAATTTTTTTTTTTTTTTTTTTTTTTTAGACGGGGTCTTGCTCTGTCGCCCAGGCTGGAGTGCAGTGGCACGATCTGGGCTCACTGCAAGCTCCGTCCTCTGGGTTCACACCATTCTCCTGCCTTGGCCTCCCGAGTAGCTGGGACTACAGGCACCCGCCACCACACCTGGCTAATTTTTTGTATTTTTAGTAGAGATGGGGTTTCACCGTGTGAGCCAGGATGGTCTTGAGCTCCTGACCTCGTGATCCGCCTGCCTCAGCCTCCCAAAGTGCTGGGATTACAGGCATGAGCCACCGCGCCCAACAAGGTTAAGAATATTTATAAGTGTTTTAATATCGACTCCCACATTGCTTTCTGGAAAAGTCATGTGCTTTGTATTTCAGCACTTTATGGGTCTTTGATTCCAGATAACTTACCCGCACAAGTTTCGTTTTATAAGATCTTTGCTAATTTGATAGATATAAAATGCCATTGGATGTTTTCCTCTGATTGCTAGTGAAATTAAGCCTTTTTTCATGTTTATTGGACATTTATATTTTTGTGGGAATCATTCTTGTCCTTGAGTTATTTTTCTGTTGAGAGCTTAATACTTTTTACAAATTTGTAAGTCTTTTGTGTACTAAAAGTTAAAAGCCCTTTGATTTTTTTGTAAATATTTTTCTCAATTTATTTACCTTTTAATTTTGTTAATTGGATTTTTTAAAAATAGAAGTTTTACATGGTTAAATTTATCATTTTAAAATTACTTTTTCATTAGTTTTAAGCTCAGAAAATTTCCTTTCATCCAGAAATTCAGTTACATCATTCACTTACATCTTTTTTTAAAACTAGACTTTTCCATTTTATTGGCTGTATTTACCCATTCTTCCAGTTTGAACTTTAGAATGACTTTTTCAAGTTTCTTACAAAAATAAATTCCACTATAATTTTTTATTGGAATTGCATTTAGTCCTCATTCTTATAAGTAGCTTATTTCTAGTACTTTAAAAAAATTTACTGTTGTAGATTGTGATTGTTTACTCCCTTGTGTTCCCTGTTTTCCCTCTCCCTCCCTACTTACCAGTAGATGAAATTCTAGCTGGTTATTAAAAGAAATACTGCTGGATACTTGTGGAGGTGAAGGCTTGGCAGAAAATAGGTGTCACTGGTATCAAATCATTGAAAAGTGGGTTAGGATAACTTCCTTACCATGGTTGGTGGAACTCGTTTCTCTGGAGTTGGGTGAATGGTAAAGCAGGCACAAACCTCCTTTTGTTTTCCTGTCTGACGTTACTATTCTGTACTTTATTGTAGAGAAATTATTCCTAAGGTCTTCTAGATTTTTTATGAAGTATTGTTGGTTTCCAGGACTCTCAACACTTTATATTTCTTATTTTCATGAGTTTTTTTGATGAAAAGGGTTGAGTAGGATAATCAGACAGAGAGACACAGTTTCGGCCGGGCGCGATGGCTCACGCCTGTAATCCCAGCACCTTGGGAGGCTGAGACAGGTGGATCACGAGGTCAGGAGTTCAAGACCAGCCTGGCCAAGATGGGGAAACCCTGTCTCTACTAAAAATATAAAAATTCGCCAGGTGTGGTGGCATGCGCCTGTAATCCCAGCTACTTGGGAGACCGAGGCAGACAATTGTTTAAACTTGGGAGGCAGAGGTTGCAGTGAGCCAAGATTGCACCACTGCACTCCAGCCTGGGCGAGAGTGAGACTCCCATCTCAAAAAGAAAAAAAGAAAAAGAGAGAGAGTCTTCATCTAAACCTAGAAATTCTAAAAACTAGCTGTTTGTTCACTATTTTTTGGCAGTGTAAAGAATTCTTAAATAACTAGGTATTTGACTTCCTAAGAAGTGGGGTATCACCATATATATGCATTTGAGAACTTGAATTTACAAATAAATACAGAGATTATTTTCTATTTTTATATCTCAGGGATGTTATTTCAATGCTAATAGTGAAAAATACTACCACCTTTCTGCTTTTAGGTTGGAATGTTGCATCAGCAGGTAGAAGAACATGAAAAAATCAAGCAAGAGATGACCATGGAATATAAGCAGGAGTTGAAGAAACTACATGAAGAAGTGAGATTTTAGTTTTGTTAAATGTTGTGTGTGTAGTTCTCTCTCTTTCACCCTTGAGAACTTTGTTAATGAAAGCCAGTTTCTACTTTGTAAAGTGGGAAATACATACTCCATCAAAGATACAGGAGTGGGAATCCATTTCTCTGTTCTTTAATCCAGGTAAAGAGGTTTGCCTAACTGTAGGTTTGATACTACCTAGAAGAGATGCTAAAATATGTTTCTTGGTTGAGTACCTGAAAGAAATAGAGCTGTTTTTATGTAATACTGTGAAATACTTGATACCAAAAATTACATTTAATATTTTAATTTTTATCAGTTACTAGATTATAAATAATGGAGGATCCAAAGATTTAAGAAACATTTTGGGATAAATAAGACAAGTAAGAAAATTCTGTCCATTAACTCAATTTTATTCTTCAGATTTGGAAAAAACTGCTTTTATTCTGATTTAATTGCAAAGTACTCTTCTCCTGCATCCTGAATATCAGTGCCCTGCAAGAGCATGGCTTGAGAATCACAGACCTAGAGGAAAGAAAAAGAGTTTTTATTTGCTGCTTTATTGTGGGGCTGGGTGGTAGGGTCTTTAAGTGCAGGGCTATTGTAATACAAAACTTTTGTTTAAAATTTTTTTTAAAATTTTTTCTTTGAATATATTTCTTTAGTAGTGTTTGTTTTACATATTTAATTTTTAGTTTCCTTTTGTGTTTTAGTTTGGAAATCTAACATGTTCTCAGTAGTACTGGTTAGCACTGCTCTTGTTTTCATAATACCAATTTGTCTCACCACTACTTCTTACAAATTCTTAAACTTTAAATATAGAAATAACTGTTTCTACAGTTATGCATACTGAAGAGAAGCTATGAAAAGCTTCAGAAAAAGCAAATGAGGGAATTCAGAGGAAATACCAAAAATCACAGGGAAGATCGGTCTGAAATTGAGAGGTTAACTGCAAAAATAGAGGTATGTTCATAGTAATAATTTGTTCATAGTGATTGTCAGCCTTCACGTAGGAAAATGCGGTTTCTAATGGCACTATTTTCTGGAACCAATTTTCTACTATCTTAAGGACTGCCACTAAGCTATTTCAGAGGTGAGAGGGTGATCCACCATACATCCTATCATCATCTAGTTCCCTGGGTTAACGGGGTTACTGGCCATCAGTAATTCTCAACAGGGCAGTACCACCCTTAGGGAGCATTTGCAAATGTACGGAGACATATTTTTTTGGTTGTCAAAATGACTGAGCTTAATAAAACTGGCATTTAGGGGACAGGGACCAGGGATACTAAACATGCCTAAGAGTGTTCCACACAGGAAGGATTATTGTACCTCAAATGCCAGTAACTCTCCAATTGGGAAACATGACCACTAGTTATAGGCAGTCCTCTATGGACATTGTTCTTGTCTTATATATCATTGTATCTCAAGCACCTAATAAAGTGGGGGCTTAGTAAATGTGGAAAGTACATGGCACTTTTCGTACAAAGTAATCTCTGTATCAGATTATTCTCAATTCCCATTTAGATGTAGTAAGGCATTCACTTCCTTCTCTGCTGACTTTGTTTTTATTAAGACTGAATAACTCCATGATTATTGTATATATTGAGAACTTAAGGGGAGCTGGTGAGCTAATAGTACCAAGAGTAGATGAAGGAAGAGCACAAGGCTGTCATTCTCTTCGTCTGTCCTTGCCATTAGTTCTTCACTGGACATAAGAATTCCCAGGGTGCTTTTAGGCTCTCAGAAATGCTGATCCAGCAGTATGGCATAGGACCTAGGGATCTGCATTGTATCCAGCTCCCCTAGCTTATTCTGATTTGAGAAACATTGTTCAACATCTTTGTGTGATCACTTACAAGTTTGTACTCTGGGTGACCTGTCACCCACAAATGCCAGTATATTATTATTACTTAAAATTATAATTTCTGTGTTTAATATTCCTTTATATCTCAATATTTTTTTACATTTGAAGAGCTTAGAATCAGAAGACTGCAGCTACTGCTTCCCTTCCACCCTTTTCGGCAATACCTTTTCCCCCCAAACCCTATATCCTTCTTGCTTCTCATTGCCACTTCCTGACTATTCTCTTTTCTTTCTACCTCAAAAACCCCATCTTTGATTTTCATGTTACCAGCCTATACTGCCAGCCAATGAACATAACAACCAAAATAGTCATCGTCTGACCTCTGGGTTATTTCCTTGGCTCATTGATTTCAGCACCCAGCTCACTGTCAATTCTCTCTGACATTACTCTTATCATAACTTTGAGGATCTTAGGATCTGGAGAGATGATGCTTATAATACTCTGACCTTACAGTTTCTTGGCTTTCTTTCCTCCATAGATAGTTTGATTATCTTTGTGTCTCATCTACTTATTCCCACTGCCATTCCTTAGCTCTTGTCATTACCAATATATGCCACCCCTCTAGAATCTCATTTTCAAGCATTCAATTATCAGACTACCAATCCCTATCTTTTCAGCTAACTCTCTCTAGTCCTTTGACTCTCAGTAATCATTAACCATCCCTTAAAATGATTAAATTCTGCCACCTTTTTACTGCTCCATTATCTACTTGGTGTTCTCACTTATCGGTCCTTAGCCAGCTTTTAAATTCTGTCATTACATTTTTTACTTTCCCCTTCATCTCCTGTGCTCCTCTCTTGCTTCCTCATATTTGCTTGGCAGAATCACAGTTCTGCTTAAGTCCACCTTTCTGCCCACTCTCTACCTGTCATGTATCGCTGAACGTGGCTAGAGAAAAACCTAATCATACTGTCTGTTCTCACTTTAAATTCATGGTCACTAACCTCAAATGGGTCCTAATGCTACCTGGAATCATACTGTATTTCCTCTCATCTCCTACTTTCCACAATGAGTATTTCAGACTTCTGCTTTTCTCCTCAAACTCTCAACACCTTTCCCCACATCCTCACCTTTGGGTTATATCTTCCTTTCTGTTTATAGACTTCCAACTCTTGTGTCCACCCACCTATCTGCATCTGTGCCCATGTACCCTGCCTTCCTTCCTGGAGGAACTACGCATGCCCTCCCCCTTTTCTACCCAAGGCATTACCTTAGCAGTTCACCTTCTCTTTTCTGCACCCTTAATTTTTTTTCTCTACTGGATATTTTTTACCAGCATCCAAATTTCCCTCCTCTTAAATATCCTCTCTTGACCCGTCTCTTCCTCCTCTGCCCCATTTTATTTCTTCCATTTTATAACTAAAAAATTACTTCAGTCATCTATACTTGTCTCCAGTTCCTCTTGTCTCATTGTTCTTGTACCCACTCAATAAGGCTTTTGTCCCCTCACACTGCAGAAGCTGTTCACATAGAGGTCACCAGTGACTTCCACATTCCCAAAGCCTGTGGGCTGGTCCTTATCTTCCTCATCCTACCTACAGCTTTGTAGGAGAGCTGGTCTCTCCCAACTCCTTAACCACTTTCTTGACTTGGCTTGAGAAAAACCACATTTCTCTCATTTTTTCCTTGTTCATCACTCCTCAGTCTCCATTATTCCTTAACCACCTAGGGTCATGTCATTGGACCTTTCCTTTCCTTTTTTTTTTTCCTATCTACGCTCACTCCCCTATTGATCCCATTGAATTTCATAGCTTTAACACTGTGTATATGCTGACAATTCCTAAATTTATATATCTAGCCAAGACCTCGCCTCTTCATGACAGAATAACTTTCAACTGCCTGTTTCCTATCTCCACTATGATGTCTAAAATGTGTCAAACTTAACATGTCCAAGCTAAAGGTCCTGTCTTTCTCTTCCTCATCTCCCCAACACTGATTCATGTTTTAGTTGATAACAACTCAATTTGCTCAACCTAAAACCTCGGAGTCATCCTAGACTTCTCTTTTCTCAGCATGATAGCCAGAATGATTCTGCTGTAATGTAAGTCAAATTATATCACTTCCTATACAAAAACCTTCCAGCAGCTTCTCTTAAAAATCTGTTATCCTAATGGCCTACGTGGTCTCATTCCCAGTTATCTCTCTTACCTTGTCTTCTCCTACTTTCCCTTTCATTCACTTTATTCCAGCCACACCAATTTCCTTTCTCACCCTTAAACACACCAGGATGCTCTTATTTCAAGGCTATTCTTTCCACCCAGAATATTGTAACTTCACCCTCATCTCCCTAGGTGTTTACTTAAATGTTTTTCACTCAGTCTGGCCATCCCTTTTAAAAATTACAACCCCAACTGTGAAGACTTCATGCTCTGTTTTCTCCAAAACGTGTATTACCATCTGCTATACCATACAAGAAATGTGTCATCTGTTGCCCCCAGTTGAGTAGGACTAGGGTTTTTGTTTGTTTTGTTAAGTATTGTATCCCTGACTCCTAAAGCAGTACCTGGCATATATAGTAGAATGATTGAATGAATGAATGAATATCAGAAATTTGGTTAACAACACTTATCTTAAGGAGCCTGAGACTTCTGGAGTTGAGGGTCCTGGAAGACAGTGATAGAAAGATTGAGTTTCCTTTCCCTTTGATTTGCCCCATTTTCATAAATATTGAAATCACTTTCTTGATCATGCAATTTGATGTTACTATTGATCCATCATTAATTTTGAACTGTTTGGCTTTGGGTTACAAATATTTGTTAAAATTTGGTACAGATTTTCTTTGTTATTCAAACTTTTGCAGTTCCTCTGTTGAGATAATACAAATTTGGATATCAAAGGATATTGTGTTATCTGAATCTACTTGGTTCCTTAGTTTTAGATACTGGGAAGTAAGATTTGGGTTACCAAGGGACTTATCTGAAAATTTAATCTGTTCAATTCCTGGGTCTGGATATCAAGAATTTGGATAGCGAGGGATATCTGTAATCATACTTTAAAATTTTAGTTATCTTAGCATCAGTTTTCTGAAAATTCACTAGAAAATTATAACAACCCTTAGGTGGCAGCAAATCAGTGAAAAACATCTGAATCCAGTGCTTAACATCTGCGTGTCATACTCCTCACCATCAGGGTGTTAAATTTAGAAAGACAGATATCCAGAGGCACAGTATGTGAGGAAGTTAGTATTACTCTCCAGCTCTGTTAGCTGAGTGAGTAATGGGGCTCCCGCTGTGGAGAAAGGTGCAAGCGTACCCAGGGACATGGGGAGAAATTAAAGTTAAAGGGAGTCTGGGAAGTAGTGACAGTGAGGAGAAGCACTCAGAAATTAAGTACTCTAATTGCCTCCTCAGGAATTCCGTCAGAAATCGCTGGACTGGGAGAAGCAACGCTTGATTTATCAGCAACAGGTATCTTCACTGGAGGCACAAAGGAAGGCTCTGGCTGAACAATCAGAGATAATTCAGGTAGGCCTAAGACTTTTTAAAATAATGAGAAGCAGATAGGTTTTGATCAAGTTTGAACTACCTTAATGCAGTGTCCTAGTACCATTTAGCCTCTTTCAGCTTCTCTCCACGAACCCTGCTCTCTTGTTTAGGAAGCCTCTCCTCAGCATCTAGACTCAGCTCCTTCTTCCCGCCTGCCCTCACACATGCGTGCATTCACTCTCCTGTCCAGGCTCATGTCCTTGTGCCCGCTTGCTGCTTTGCCTCCTTGCTTGTTTCTGACTTGCTCACCCACTCTCTGTCATTGTCTTGCTTACTCAGGCTCACTCTATGCTTGCATCCATGTTCACTCTCCTCATCTTGGTCCCTAGCTTTGTCGCCCTCTCTTCCTCCCCTCTCTTTCTTCCCTACCACAGTCCCATTCCTCCCTCTGTCTCCTTTTCCATGTCTTTCTGTCTCTTGTTGGGTCTCTCAGCTCTACTATAGTCTGTGCCTTGCTCCATCCCTATGGTCACTGGGGTATCTTGGCCGAAGTGTCTCAGCTAGGGAGCTTCAGTTAGTCTGCCTATGCGGACAGATACGGAGAGAGTCACATGGCAATGGTGTGCACACCAACTAAAAGTGGTGTCTTTGTGGTAACAAAAACACTTATTTTAGAACATTGATAGAAACTTTTCTTGTAATGGCTTAAGCAAAACCAAAAAACAGACACCTACTTTAGGAATATGTCTTGTAAGAACATATTCAGCTCATTCCTTTTTCAGTTAGAATCAAGAACATAAAGGAAACTAAAAAAATTTGTGATCATCTGTTATGTGCTAGACATTGACCCAGTGCTTCTTGTATGTGTTCTCTGTTTAATATTATGATAATCTGTCAAGGTTGGTAGTTATCTTAGTTTTATAGAATGAGGGAACAGCCTGGGTAAGTTGAAATAGCTAGAAGGGAGGGTTTTTTTTTTTTTTTTTTTTGGCTTTTTGGGTTTTTAAAAATAATCTGCATTTATTTGCTATTTTAAGTCTCAATAATGCATTAACTTTTTGTTCGTCTCCCTGAAATATCAGCAGTCTGATAAACTACCGACAGTGGCTGTGGCTCTGCTGTGAGTGACTTCATTCAAAATGGTAGGAAAAGTCCACAACAATTGCAAGGAAGAAATTTATTTTCTAGGCCACAGCAAGCTGTGCAGCCAGACAGACCAGTGAAATCCTGAGATGTCTGGACCAGTTTTTTTGACTTGAATGCCAAAGCACCATAGAGACCTAATAAGAAATTGTGTGTGTGTGTATATATATATATATATATATGTATATATATATTTTTTTAACAACAAAAAATTTTTTTTGGTTTTCTTGAGATGAGGTCTTGCTGCATTGCTCAGGCTGATCTTGAATTCCTGGGCTCCAGCAATCCTTCCACCTTGGCCTCCTAAAGTGCTGGGATTACAGGTGTGAGCCACCACACTTGACCAAGATATTGTTATATTCTAGTTGTAGCCTTCAGATTGACAAAAAAGCAAATTGAGTCTTAATTTTTACAGTTCTCAATTATTTATCCATGGAGTATTATTGATTATAGATTCTCTCTTCAAATTACTGTTATCCTATTTCATATTACTGTTGTGATTATTGACTCTATGTAATTAAAACTTCATTATTAGTAAAAATGGGATTTTTACTTACTGTAATTCAGCTAGGGCTAGGGTAAGAAGCCTTTCAACAGCCAACATTTGTTTTTCCTACTAAGGGTGTTTGAATTAATTCTTCTGATAGTTTTGTTTAACCTAAAACTGTCTGATTGTTTAATAAAAATGTTACATATAAATGTATTTATCCTTCTCCCTTAGCAAACTAAATAAAATTAAATCTTTCAGTGATTCAGTATATACCAGTGCTGTATGATCATCATTTTTTTAAACATCTAAATAAACTTATCTATATCCATTAAGTAGCATTAATAGTTGTCATCATCTTGTCAATCTTTATTTTAATTATGGTAAAATACACATAAAATGTTCCACCTTAACCATTTTTAAATGTATAGTATAGTAATGTTAACTATATGTACACTGTTGTGCAACAGATCTCTAGAACTTTTTTATCTTGTCAAACTGAAACTCTATACCATTCCCTACTTCTTATTTTTGGGTGGAATATTACAGAGCAAATCATAGATATCATCTTATTTCCCAACAGGTAAGGACTTAAAAAATAACAATATATCAGTATCACATTAATAGAATAATAACTTCTTAATATAATTTAATATCCAGTCTGTTCACATTTCTCCAGTTGTCCAGAAAACTATCTTTTTACAATTGAATGTTTGAGTCAGAATCCAGTCAAGGTTGATGTATTGCATTTGGTTGAAAGGTGGGTCACCATTGAACAATGACAGTAGAAAACCTGGGAGGCTGAGTAAGTGGATATTAACCTACCCTCCATTAAAAAAAAATCTCTGTATAATTTTTTTCTTATATGTTTTTAACATCTAAAAGTATAATTCGGAAACAACTTCTCCTTCTTTGACATATGTTTGCTTGAATTCATTTCTTTTAATCAGCTATTAAAATTACATAATACATGCTTATTTTAGAAAAATGAGAAAATGCGGATAAAATGAGAAATAAATAAATCACCCATAATTCTACCGTTAAGAGATTTACGATGAATAAAATTTTGGTGTAAATTTCTTCTGACTTTGTGTATGCTTACATACAGTGTGCAGTACATTCATGTACTTTTGATAGGAAAAACCTATATGCACTGTGAATGGGAAAGGAGGGGTAGTTGCAAACTTTAAAAAGTCCTGAGAGTAGCAAAGTGTTGATAATTTTTGAAGCTGTGTGATAGGGGTTCATCATCTTACTCTCTCTATATTTGTGTATGCTTGAAATTTTCCATGAAACAATAACTTTAAAATATATAGAATGCTTACTAAGTGACAGGTACTATGCTAAGCACGTCACAGCTTTAAAATTTTTCCTTTTTAAATATGACATGTCAACAGATTTGTAGTCATAATGATTGTGTAGAATTCCCCCCTATCGTTAAATGTATAATGACATTTGTAACCAGTCCCTTATTGTAGAACATTTAGTTTTTTACTTTTCACTTTTGTAAATAGTGCTTAGATTAACATCCTTATATAAACATTTAGGAGTATTTATTTTCTTAGGAAATGGCCCTAGAATTGGATTTACTGTATCAGAGTACCTTCAAATATTTTAATATATATTGCCAAAGTTTTCTCCAATGATGGATTGATAGACTTTCTCTAGCAGTATGTGAGAATATCCATTTCCTCATACTTTCCCCACATTGAGCGCTATTATTTCTTTTGACTTTCCCCACTTTTAGGCTTGTCTTTGCCAATCTTATAGGTGAAAAAAAATGATACCATTGTTTTAATATACATTGTTTTAATATGAGTGAGGTTGAGGACTTTTTTCATCTGTTTATGGCCATCTTCATTTTTCATAAATTATTTGTGTCCTTTATTCACCTTTGTTTTAGGATTTTTTTTTTTTTTTTTTAAATCTTAATTTATTTTCTTTTTTGAGATGGAGCCTCGGTTGCCCAGCCTGGAGTACAGTGGCCTGATCTCGGCTGACTGCAACCTCTGCCTCCCTTCAAGCAGTTCTCCTGCCTCAGCCTCCTGAGTAGCTGGGATTACAGGTGCTCACCACCACGCTCAGCTAATTTTTGTATTTTCAGTAGAGACAGGGTTTCACCATGTTGGCCATGTTGGTCTTGAACTCCAGACCTCAAGTGATCTGCCCACCTTGGCCTCCCAAAGTGCTAGGATTACAGGCGTGAACCATCGCACCTGGCCGGATGTTTATATTTTACTATTCTGAAAGAGCTTTCCATACACTTAAGTATGAAATATAAGCCCTTTGCTATTATGTTACAGTTGCGTATGTGTACTCAATTTACCTTAATTTTTGCCCAGTATTTTTTATGGAAGTACAATTGTTTTATAAACAGTTAATTAGAATTGCTTAATTCTATCAATTTTTTGTTCAGCGTTTCTATCTTTGATATCATACTATAAAGTCTTACCTAAGTCAAATTTCTTCTAATGCTTTATCATTTCTTTTTAATACATTTTATCTAAAAATTACTTTAGTGTAAGGTATTTGATAGGAATCTAAATTTGTTTTTTAAATGGTTATATAATTTACTGACTATTACATTTTCAGGATTGGACAAAATGACTCTAAAATTCATATGGAATGATAAATGAACGATACTAGCCAACTTTTTTTTTTTTTTTTTTTTTTGAGACGGATTTTCGCTCTTGTTGCCCAGGCTGGAGTGCAGTGGCACAATCTCGGCTCGCTGCAACCTCCGCCTCCCAGATCAAACGATCCTCCTCCTCAGCATCCCAAGTAGCTAGGATTACAGGCGTGCACCACCATGCCCAACTGATTTTGTGTTTTTAGTAGAGATGGGGTTTTACTATCCTGGTCAGGCTTTTCTCGAACTCCTGACCTCAAGTGATCCACCCGCCTCAGCCTCCCAGAGTGCTGGGATTACAGGTGTGAGCCACTGCGCCTGGCCACCAGCATTTTTTAAAAAGGAGTAATGGGGGGATGTTTGTTCTATCAAATATTAAAATGTATTTTATTAAAAAGTACAGTTGTTAAACTGTAATGCTAGATGTAACAAAAGAGTCGTGGTTATATAGTATAGGAAAAGGATCAGTACAGTCTAAAACTAAGGTCATTTCTGTTTAGAAGGCTACTTTTTCTGTTGCCTACATAATGCAAAGGAAATGTTCAAGGAAATCTTAGAGAACAGTAAGAACATTTGAAAAAAATTAAAATATTAAGCCAACATAAAATGTAAAATATTTAACTGATAAACAGTATGTGAAAAAAGTAGAGGTTGCTCTATGTTTTCCTTTTGAAATACTTAGATGAGCTGTAAAATATTCTTCAAGTTAATTTTAAATCCACTGTTAATTATATGTATATAAATATATTTATACGTATATATGTTGTATTTTTAAAAGCATCCTTTTCCTGTCACAACTTTTGAAGAAAAAAATGACCCTAACTCAAATGTTGATCTGTTGTCTTGGTAGAATTATCAGAGTTAATTGAATTGGCTTAGACCTACTGTTTAAAAGTTCGTAGTAGCATAGACACAACAGTGATAAGAGAATCTTACTAGGAGCTGTGTTGTTAATAGGCTCTTTAGGCTGCTCTCTAGTGGAAATGCTGTGAGGCTGTGGCCTGCACTGGCGCATTTGGAGTTGACAGTGATGGGGAGCTTGGTAAGGGATTGATGCTTACAATGGCCGTACCTTCATACTGGGATTCTTTGGAAAATAAAAAGCCTTGTTGCTTCATATCACATTGTTCATAGTAATCTCACTCTCTGGGAGAGTCATTTTCTTGAAGCACCAGGAAGTAGCTATCACAAATCCAGAAGAGGATTTGAATTCAACCCCCACTCCCCAATTTCTTCTCCACTCTCTTTCACACTTTAGCTGGCCACACTGGCCTTTTGTTTCAGTTTCAGTCTCCCTGATGTAAACTGCCTTCTTGATTGCTTCTTTACTTTTAACCACCTCTGCTGTGATTTGTATTGTTGAAATAACTTCTACCCACTCCAATAGAATGCTAAATGTTAGATTAATAAGAGGAATGCCTGTTTCTGGCTCAAAGAATTAGTGGTTAGTGCAAAAAAAAAAAAAGTTTAAAAATATGCCAGCCTTAAAATACCTCTAAAGCCAGATAATTATCAGAAATAATCATTATTTTAGAAGTTTTTAAATAATTATTTCTGACTTTCTTAGTATTGATGAAGTGTTCTTGAGATTAGTGTAGTGCTAATAGATATTGGTGAGTCACATGTAATTTAAAATTTTCTACTAGTCACATTAAAAAGTAAAAAGGTGAAATTAATTTTAATAATATATTCAACTCAATATGTCAGAAATATTACAACATTTACTTTACATTTTTTTAATGAGTCTTTGAAATCTTCAACTGAATTTGTATTTTACGGTTAAGAGCACATCTCAATTCAGATTAGCCACAGTTCAGTTGTGCAATATCCGCGTGTGGGTGACTGCAATGGTATTGCAGCCCTAGTGCATTCTAGGCAATGAAAATTTAGAATTTGTACTTGAGTTGATTAATGTACTTTTCACTATGCTTAAAAAACACTGTATTTTTGTGTGACCAAAATAGTAAATCAGTGAAAGAAGGTTATGTTCTCCATTCTTCAAAACTGAGAAGTTTATTAGTATTTAGCAAATCTAGACTCACTGGTTAAAGTATGCCTTGGTTTAACTATTAGTTTATTATATCAATACTGAGTTTAAGATCACAGATTTGAGTTGATAGTGTTAGGTAGCTATTACAGTATTAAAAAGATAGTGTTTTGCAATTATGTATTATCTGAGTGCCCATTTTGGCAGTGGGTTTCTAGTTGTGTTTTGCTGAGACCCAGGGCTGCTGTACAGATTAAGGGTAGGACTAAGGGACATTTCAGCAAGCTGGGCTCTAACCCTTTTCTCCTTCTCACCCTCACCCAATATCTGCATTTATTTATTCTGCACAGGAAACCTTTCCTCTTTGAAAGAAAAGTTTATATTATATTTAAAAGTTTGGAGACAGTTCCATGCTTAGCAGTTGTTCTAGTGAATCTAAACCTAAATGTTGATGTTCTTCCTTTATACCATTGTAGGGATCTGGTTAAAAAAAAAAAAAGGCTCTTTGCACTGAAATCTTGATCGGTAATTTATACAAACAGTATTTGTCTATCTCTTCACCTCTCTCCTACCCTCTCTCTGGCTTATGGGAAGTTTTTAGCATCTACTTTATTTGACTACAGTATATAGTACAGGATTTGGACCTGTACTGTAAATAATAAAATCTTTAAATCTGCAATAGATAGATTTCCCAGAGATATTTCTACTTGTATTTCTAAAGTAAAATTGTGTGATTTTACCTTTAGAAATATTTCGAGTAAGGGAAGTTTACCTCTACAGATTATTTATATTCATCTTCAATGTGTAGATGAAGTACCAGCCAGGATGCTGGATTAAAACTTGTAAAAACTAAAAAGTTTGGAGCTAAAACCCAATACTGCTGGGATGCATAGCCTAAAACATAGTAGTCAGTAAACGTATCATTCAGAGAAACCAGTTTGAGATGCATTATATTTGTTTACCTCTTTTAACTCAGGAAGTGTCCAAAAACTGATGACAGAACCAATCTCTCCTCCCTTATAAGCACCTTTTCCTCCAATAAACAAAAGACCACAATTTCCCCATTTCTCTGAATTTAAAGAGCATTTTATGGTCACGATGACTAATCTAAATATGAATGTTTATAATGTTAAAACAGAATAATTACAACATGCTCTAGGTGGGGGGGGGAATTTAAACTACAAATTTAGTGATTTTGAAATTCTAATTTCTAAACTTCCATCAGAAATATAATAATGCATTATAGTTCCTATTTCCTATGTTTTAAATAGGAAATAATTCCAGCCAGGTTGCGGTTGAATTTCTGTGTGAGTAGGTAGAATACTGTAGCATCTCTTCTCCTGAGGAATCCCTTTACTTTATCCATTCTTTTCTATTTATTTATTTATTTGAGACAGGTTCTTACTTTGTCACGCAGGCCGGAGTGCAGTGGTGCGATCTTGGCTCACTGCAACTTCCGCTTCCTGGGTTCATGTGATCCTCCCATGCCACTGTGCTCGGGTAATTTTTGTATTTTATTTGTTTGTTTGTTTGTTTTGAGACAGAGTCTCATTCTGTCACTAGGCTGCAGTGCAGTGGCGCAATCTCGGCTCACTGCAACCTCCAACTCCCTGGTTCAAGTGATTCTCCTGCCTCAGCCTCCCGATCCCGAGTAGCTGGGATTACAGGCACGCGCCACCACGCCCAGCTAATTTTTGTATTTTTAGTAGAGACGGGTTTCACCATGTTGGCAAGGATGGTCTCAATCTCCTGACCTCATGATCCGCCCACCTCAGCCTCTCAAAGTGCGGGATTACAGGCGTGATCCACTGCACCCGGCCAATTTTTGTATTTTTTATAAAGACAGGGTTTCGCCATGTTTCCAGGCTGATCTCGAACTCCTGAGCTCAAGCGATCTGCCTGCCTCAGCCTCCCATAGTGTTAGGATTACAGGCGTGAGCCACCACTCCCAGCCTCTCAATTCTTTCTTACCCCTTCGCAATATATATATATATATTTTAGTGAGCCAATGCTTTATGTTTTTATGGAAATAATAGTTTCATTTTAGTCTTATTCATTGATTATTTTATCATTTCCCTTTTACCTATTGATTGATAGTCTGTGTTTCTAGGCTCAGCTTGTCAATCGGAAACAGAAATTAGAGTCTGTGGAACTTTCTAGCCAATCAGAAATTCAACACTTAAGCAGTAAACTGGAGCGGGCTAATGACACTATCTGTGCCAATGAGTTGGAAATAGAGCGCCTCACCATGAGGGTCAATGACTTGGTTGGAACCAGTATGACTGTCCTACAGGAGCAGCAGCAAAAAGAAGAAAAATTGAGGGAATCTGAAAAACTATTAGAGGTATGTTTTAAAATCACTATAATTGGGGGAAGTGTGTGTATGAGTATTTTAAGAGAGTGTTATTAAGCTAGAACTAGGTTCTACAATCCATACTTTCTTCCCTACTTTATAAATGATGGATCAGATATTGATAGTTTTACTAATATTGTGACTTTATTACAATATTTACAATATTGTAATATTGTTACGTAACTTATAGTCTGACTTCCTGGCTTCTCGTGAAATAGAAAAATTGTAATAATAGCTGGCTTAGAAATTTCTGAGTATTTTGCAGGTTCTGCAGGAATTAAAAAGAAGGAAAATTATAATCATATTTGACTTTTTTGCAGGCTCTGCAGGAAGAAAAGAGAGAATTGAAGGCAGCTCTTCAGTCTCAAGAAAATCTCATACATGAGGCCAGAATACAAAAGGAGAAGTTACAAGAAAAAGTAAAGGCAACTAACACTCAACATGCTGTAGAAGCTATAAGGTAAATTTAATCTTAAATATTATTCATCTTAGCCACTTAATGACTAGGTATTAAGCACTAGGCTTATTTTTATTTTTATTTTTATTTTATTTTCAGATAGTCTCCTGTTGCCCAGACTGGAGTGCAGTGGTGCAATCTCAGCTCACTGCAACCTCAACCTCCGAGGTTCAAGCCATTCTCCAGGCTCAGCCTCCCAAGTAGCTGGGACTACAGGTGCATGCTACCACACCTGGCTAGTTTTTTGTATTTTTAGAGACGGGCATTCATCATGTTGGCTAGGCCGGTCTTAAATTCCTAACCTCAGGTGATCTGCCCACCTCAGCCTCCCAAAGTGCTGGGATTACAGGTGTGAGCTGCCACGCCCATCCAAGCACTAGTTTTCATATTGCATATTCATAATTTTATGTTTGATCATATTGTGGATTTTCTTAATTGGCTTTAACTTCTGAGTTAGGTTTTTAAAGTGTTATAAAATTTTGTGTGGTTAATTTTCTTCTGCCACCAGTTAGGGTCCCTAACAGAGACTCTCATGTTTAGAAAGTTAGAAACCAAGGTCAGTTTGCATGCTTGGTGAAAATCCAAATGTGCAGGGAATTGTCATCCATGTCTCCTGGAGGCCTCACTTTGTTGGTGGAATAAGTTGTGATTAGTAGCTGCTTATCATTAATAGCAGCCAGCCATTGGGCTAGCCCTCTTGCTTGATTTAAGTCTGATGCACACTTTTATTTTTGCCAGAATTCTCCTGTAACTTTTCAGTTTTTTTGGTACAGGGTTTCAAGTGTCACTGAAGTGATTTTGCCATTTTGTCTTTTTCCCTTGAAAAAAGGCCAAATCCCAGTTAAGAAGGGAGTAAATTGCTACTTTTTGAAGTATCAGCATCTCTTGACTCTTTCTTTCCTCTCCCAATATTCTTTTTATAAAGCAGGAGACAAACTTGAAGAGTTCCAAAGAGGTTACCAAAAATGATGGGGAAACACAGACTAGATGAGCATTATTTTTGTTTGCAGAGATAAAGGCGTTAACAATCATCCTATGTCTTTCCATAGGCCACGGGAAGAATCTCTGGCAGAAAAGAAGTACACCTCTCAAGGGCAGGGGGACTTAGACAGTGTGCTCTCCCAGTTGAATTTTACCCATACTAGTGAGGACCTTCTGCAGGCAGAGGTGACTTGTCTTGAAGGCAGGTACATAATTATACACACATTTCAAAAATTTCAAGTTGTTAAAATGAATTTTTGATCATCATATTGTAAATGAATGTAATAGTCATAGTAAAAAAAATAAGATTTTTTTCTAGTATCCACAAATGGCCTAAGTTCTTATTTCTTTTTTTTTTTTTTTGAGACGGAGTCCGCTCTGTCACCCAGACTGGAGTGCAATGGCACAATCTCAGCTCACTGCAACCTCCGCCTCCCGGTTCAATTGATTCTTCTGCCCCAGCCTCCTGAGTAGCTGAGATTACAGGCGTGCACCACCATGCCTGGCTAATTTTTATATTTTTGTAGAGACGGTGTTTCACCATGTTGGCCAGGCTGGTCTTGAACTCCTGACCTCAGGTGATCCACCTGCCTTGGCCTCCCAAAGTGCTGGGATTACAGGCATGAGTCACCGCACCCTGCCCTAAGTTCTTATTTCATTGAGAAGACAGAAGCAATTAAAGGAGAACCTCTTAATCTTTCTGTCATCAAATCTACCAGTCTGCCCATACCTGTGCCTTTCTGCACTTCTAAGACCAACCACTCCACTTGTGTCCTTTTTCTGTAGTTATATCCTTTCTCTTCTGCATCATCAAGTTCTTTCTGTCTGCTGAATCTATCCACTGGTATAAAATACGCTGTAACATCACCCATCTGGGGGAAAAACCATCCCTTAATCCTATGTCTCCGTCAAGTTATTTCCACATTTCTGTACTTCTCTTTAAGACCAAATTCTTCAAAAGAGTTGTCTATACTGACTCTACTTCTTTACCTTTCACCTGTTTAGCAGCCCTTCACTTAGGTTTTCCTCCTTGCCACCTCAGAAGCAGGGTAGGAAGGGGTAACAGTTGACACATGGTGATCCTTTTTGTTCTGCTGTGGTGTTGTTACTTCCTTGGGTGTTAATTGAATCCTGACTAATGCTATACCATACCCACCTAAACACTTGTCATTGTCGTACTTATAGAATTTTTTTTGGTTTTTCATAACCTCTCAACTTTTTGATTGGGAAGAGTGTGATATCTTGTTTTAAACACATGAATCATGATCATTTGTACACTGACATTTTCTGTATGTAAAAGATAAAATTGCTTTTAACATGAACTGTTAACCTTTAGGCAAACAACAAGAGAAATATCATTTTACACTTTTTAGGTTATCTTTAAGTAATACATTTTTTGTTTTTACATTTATTTCTGGTTTTGGAAACCAGTAAGTATTTTCTTACTTTTATCTACATGTTAAATACACAAACATGCATACACACACATATTTTCTGCTTTATTCCTTTTGGAATACTTGGAGTACTTGAGATAGTCTTTGTTATTATTGAAGTATATGTGTACTCTTCCGTTTGACTAAAATTAAGTTTATTATTTTTGACGTTGGGACAACAGTTTACATTTTTATCACAGTTTTTTTATTGATTGGCTTTTTAGTAATATTTTAAATGACTGAGGTGATGTTTAAGATATTGGCTGGATATTTTTTGGATATCAAGAATGTAAATTAGATAGTCCAATTTATAGGTTTCAGGATTTTGGTTTTAAGTATGGGATCTTATTTTTGTCATACAGTTTGGAATCTGTGAGTGCAACGTGTAAACAGCTGAGCCAAGAACTAATGGAAAAATATGAAGAACTGAAGAGGATGGAAGCACATAACAATGAATACAAAGCAGAGATTAAGAAGGTAAAAATCTGCATACCTAGGATTGCAAAATTGTATGTGTTTATGGACAAAGCTGTGGATTGGGAGATTATAGGGGTTATTTTTAATGAGAAAAAAATGTAGTTCAAGGGACCACTTGATATTTAGGAGTGGAAGAGTTTGTGGAATGTGCATAGGGAAAGTGCCTTCTTTCTTTGGCATCGCCCCTGATGCCCAATAAATATTTTTAAGATAATTGAAGGCTGTCCCCTTTGAACTCAAAAACTTTATTTTAAACATGTTTTGATGAAAAGTTTTCTAAAAGACATACACTCTGTTGCTTGCAAAAAAATATGAACTGTCACTTAATATTTTCTTATTGCCTAAAGATAGTATTTATGTATTGTCTCCTGTGCTATGATGTAGTTAGTATCCTTGTCAGCTATTGAGGTATGCAGAGCTGTTTGTGTCTATATGAATGGGCCCTAACTGTCCTATTTGTTTGATTTGTATTTTTTGTTACTTCTTTAAGATTACTTCTAGTTCCTTACTTCCTCTTGTTCTATTTGTTATCCTGTGGACTAAGATACCATATGAGCAAAACTTTTAGATTCACAACTAAAAAAAAGAATGAAGGTCACAAGTACTCTCCTCTAAATTGTGTGCATGGACCTTGATTCTGGTCCTCAGCACTTGAATAACCCATCTCTCCCTGTTTTGAGGTATAATAAATGATTGTAGGTATAACCACCTGACCTTCAGTACAGATATGCAACTTGGTAAATTGCTAATTTTTCTGCAGATTTAATTTAAGAGAAATTTAATGTCTTGAGATAAGGTGAACTTTTATTTTATTAGCTAGTAACATATTATTCTATCTAAATGCTTTCTCTTAACTTTTGGTGCTTTCTTTTCTGCTTCTTTATAGTTGAAAGAACAGATTTTACAGGGTGAACAAAGTTACAGTTCTGCACTAGAAGGAATGAAGATGGAAATCTCCCATCTAACTCAGGAGTTACATCAGCGAGATATCACTATTGCTTCCACCAAAGGTTCTTCCTCAGACATGGAAAAGCGACTCAGAGCAGAGATGCAAAAGGCAGAAGACAAAGCAGTAGAGCATAAGGTGAAGCCTGAACAAAACCTTTTTTAAATTTGAAATTTGTTTTAAAGATGGAGTTGATTAAAGACATAATTTTCATAATATTTAATTCAGTGAATTTTTATTAGATACCTGCTTTGAGCTGAGAGTATGCTGGCTAGCAAAGAGTTTAGTGAGCATGGTGGGGAGGTGAGAGTAGACACAGACAAGTAAAGTGACTGTATCAGTGGTGTATGGTGAGAGTCACTAGAGATCACAAGCAGCCTGAATCTAGACCACTCGCTGCAAAGGCCTTCCAGAAGGTGTGATAGCAAAGCTAAGTTAGGAGCAAGCTGGGTGATGGGGAGGAAAAGTGTTTCAGGCACAGGAAAATACAGAGGTCTCTAAGAGAGAGTAGAAACACGCTTGCTGTGGTTGAAACTAGAGTACAAGTGGGATGAGTGGAAGGTATGAGACTGGAAAGCAGGGACTGGCTGCTGAAGGGCTACGTTAGCCACGTAAAGGAGTTATACTGTGACCTTGAGGTCAGTAGGGAATGGCTGCAAGCAGGAGTAAAATTCAGTGGTCCTTAAATGGAGAATAAGCAGGGAGACAGAGCACCCAGATGCTGTTACAGTGGTAAGATGGTGGCCTGAGCAGTGGGCAAGGGAGGCAGAGGGAAATGGATGAATTCTGGAGATACTGGGCTGGTAAAAATGACTGGGCATTGTATTTGATTGGCAGGGAAGGTGAGGTAGGCAGAGTTAAGGAATGGTGCTCCACAGGATTTAAACTTAGGCAACTGATGGAAAGTGATGCTTTTTAATGAAATAGAGAAAAGACAGGGAGCAAGTTTGGTGAAGGATGATGAATTTGTGTGAAAAGTACACAGACTGGGGAAACTGGTGGAGAGGACATTGGTTTGACACATTTGTTTGGAATAAAGGCTGGAATTTTGTATGGGTAATAGTCAATTCCACAGAAGGCCTGGAGTTGAAGATTAAAATCAGGATTAGGCATTTAGCTGTGGCTGTCCTTTCTTCATGGTGACATTTGAAACCCCCTGAGAGACTTAATGATTATAGTGAGAAAGCATAGCGTAAGAAGAGAAGTGACTCAAACCAAACTTAGGATACTTCTCATTTAGTGTAAAAAAGATGTTGGAATGAAGCTTAAAAAAAGGAGCAGTGAGGAGGGAAATCAGATAGTTTTTGCCAAGCCAAGGAAAGAAGGAATATTTTCAAATGGGAATGGTCAAGCACAAAAGCTGAGGGGAATGAGAACTGAATATAAGTTGTTATTTTGTGAATAAAGTACAATTCCATGTGACGTTGCAGGTAGAAGCCAAATTGGAGGAGGCCAGCACAGGAGAATGGGTAGGGATTTAAGGGGTTCAGTGGATTGAAACTTTGCTGCTTTGTCACCTGATTTATCCTATTAGAATGATATCTTCATCCCATTCATGTTCATTCACCTTAATAACATCTTAAAAATCTTTTTAGAAAGTCCATATATATATATATATATATATATATATATACACACACACACGTACATATATATATGTATATATATATATAAATATGTATATGTATATATATATAAATGAAGAATATGACTTAGCCTAATGAAAATTCCATGTGGAAAAATTTTGTAAGATGCATGTGATTTACATGTTATATTTATTTTTTTCTGTTTTCCCCTTTTCAGGAGATTTTGGATCAGCTGGAGTCACTCAAATTAGAAAATCGTCATCTTTCTGAAATGGTGATGAAATTGGAATTGGGTTTACATGAGGTACATAAATAGAAACTTAAGTTTTTCTACTATCCAAGCCTTCAAAAAAATTACTTTGTAAATATTTACATTATAAAGAGAGAATTAAGATCAACTTAGATCCTTTTGCAGAAATTTTCTCAAAGAAAATGAAGGTAAAACAATACTGGAAGTGAGCAAAATATGACTCTCCACTCCAGCAGCAGGAAGGGTTTTTGTTTGTTTTTTTGAGACGGGGTTTCACTCTTGTTACCCAGGCTGGAGTGCAATGGCGTGATCTTGGCTCACCGCAGCCTCCACCTCCCGGGTTCAAATGATGCTCCTGCCTCAGCCTCCTGAGTAACTGGGATCACAGGCATGCGCCACCACACCTGGCTGATGTTGTATTTTCAGTAGAGGCAGGGTTTCTCCATGTTGGTCAGGCTGGTCTCGAACTCCCAATCTCAGGTGATCTGCCCGCCTCAGCCTCCCAAAGTGCTGGGATTACAGGCATGAGCCACCGTGCTCGGCCAGGAAGGTATTTTTTTATATTATGTATGTGATAAAATTTACCTACAGTCTGTGTTCTTAGTTGGAAGAATGTATATGAAGGACTTAGCATATAGTACATAGTACCTGACACTTAGTAAGTATGCAATACATCCTAGATGGTGGTATTATTATTATTATTATTATTGTTAATGATTATTATGTTTGTTATCTTTTTAGAAAGTATATTGTCTTTAAAATAATTTAATTTTAATTTTATTTCTACAAGATATTCACATAATAAAATATTTTAGAATCTTTTATATCCAAGGACTTTTAGTAGGTGCTATAATGAACACAGGCTGAATAAGATAGCATTCTTGCCTTTAAGAGAGATTTTGGATCAGCTGCAATTACTCAAATTACTCTAGCCTTTAAGAGACTAGAGTAATCTAGTAGCAAGGATAAGAAATGCATACAAGCTTCTGTGAAACCAGAGAGAACATGATTAGCCAACAGTGAATTACAGTATAGATGCTCTTTTAACTGTTTTGTTACAAAATTCCTATAATTTGCAAAATGACTCATCTATTCTGACCCATCTTTTCTTGGTGTAGGTCAGATGTCTGAAAATTGTATAAATGCTTTTTTCCTGCATTTCCAGAGAGTATTCCTCCAAAAAGATATATGGTTCCAACATGCTCCCTGTTTGCTCTGAAAAATTCTAATTTCACAATCCAGGATTGTGGATACTGGGGTGGAAGAACATGCAAAAGACTATTATAGAGTACCTTATTTCAACTGGAAAAATGGGGGACTATTTTTGTAATCTTTCAGAAGGGTAAGATTCTCCAAACATCATGACGCCATAGAGGATTTTACAACATAAAAATGTGAAGTTTCTGGATGGTAAAAGGCCCTATTAAAAAAGACTAATAGGGAGAAAACAGTTTATAATCAGACAAAAGGTTAATGTAAATTATTAATATATAAAAATTCCCTACAAAGATAATAAGGAAAAGATAATCTAGTAGAAAAATAGGCAAAGAATGTAGATAGATACCTCACAGAATTAATATAAATATCTAGTAAACAAAGAAAACTGTTCAACCTCTCTAATAAAGCAAAATAGACATTCTTTTACTAATTGGTTTGATAATAACCTTTAAAAACTAATATATAGCCAGTGTTAGAAAGATGTAAGGAAACAGACTTATTGCACTGTCAATGAGAAAGTGAATTGATACGGCCTTTCTAGAGGACAGCTTAGCAATATCCATCAAATGCGTAAATACGTATAGCCTCTAAATTCCTGGGTCATGTGTGTTTCTGATTTTGATAGTCCTTGCTGAATTGTTTTCAGAATGGTCTTATCTTTTTACATTCCCATGGAAACCATTCTCTAGGAGCAAGTGTGCATAAAATGGTCATTGAAGTATTGTTCGCAATATCCAAAATTTTGAAATAAACTATATTTATTTCAATGGTTAATTTTTGATTTTATGAATATTACACTGTCATTGAAGGTGGCAGATGAAAACACTCATCTGATCTTGCTCTATCCTCAAATCCCTCTAAAACTGTCATGAAAGGATTTATTTTTGTTCTATTTTATTTTTATTTTTTTCCTTTTATTATTATACTTTAAGTTTTAGGGTACATGTGCACATTGTGCAGGTTAGTTACCTATGTATACATGTGCCATGCTGGTGCACTGCACCCACTAACTCGTTATCTAGCATTAGGTATATCTCCCAATGCTATCCCTCCCCCCTTCCCCCACCCCACAACAGTCCCCAGAGTGTGATGTTCCCCTTCCTGTGTCCATGTGATCTCATTGTTCAATTCCCACCTATGAGTGAGAATATGCAGTGTTTGGTTTTTTGTTCTTGTGATAGTTTACTGAGAATGATGATTTCCAATTTCATCCATGTCCCTACAAAGGACATGAACTCATCATTTTTTATGGCTGCATAGTATTCCATGGTGTATATGTGCCACATTTTCTTAACCCAGTCTATCATTGTTGGACATTTGGGTTGCTTCCAAGTCTTTGCTATTGTGAATAGTGCCGCAATAAACATACGTGTGCATGTGTCTTTATAGCAGCATGATTTATAGTCCTTTGGGTATATACCCAGTAATGGGATGGCTGGGTCAAATGGTATTTCTAGTTCTAGATCCCTGAGGAATCGCCACACTGACTTCCACAATGGTTGAACTACTTTATAGTCCCACCAACAGTGTAAAAGTGTTCCTATTTCTCCACATCCTCTCCAGCACCTGTTGTTTCCTGACTTTTTAATGACTGCCATTCTAACTGGTGTGAGATGGTATCTCATTGTGGTTTTGATTTGCACTTCTCTGATGGCCAGTGATGATGAGCATTTTTTCATGTGTTTTTTGGCTGCATAAATGTCTTCTTTTGAGAAGTGTCTGTTCATGTCCTTTGCCCACTTTTTGATGGGGTTGTTTGTTTTTTTCTTGTAAATTTGTTTGAGTTCATTGTAGATTCTGGATATTAGCCCTTTGTCAGATGAGTAGGTTGCCAAAGACAAAAACCACATGATTATCTCAATAGATGCAGAAAAGGCCTTTGACAAAATTCAACAACCCTTCATGCTAAAAACTCTCAATAAATTAGGTATTGATGGGACGTATTTCAAAATAATAAGAGCTATCTATGACAAACCCACAGCCAATATCATACTGAATGGGCAAAAACTGGAAGCATTCCCTTTGAAAACTGGCACAAGACAGGGATGCCCTCTCTCATCACTCCTATTCAACATACTGTTGGAAGTTCTGGCCAGGGCAATTAGGCAGGAGAAGGAAATAAAGGGTATTCAGTTAGGAAAAGAGGAAGTCAAATTGTTCCTCTTTGCAGACGACATGATTGTATATCTAGAAAACCCCATTGTCTCAGCCCAAAATCTCCTTAAGCTGATAAGCAACTTCAGCAAAGTCTCAGGATACAAAATCAATGTACAAAAATCACAAGCATTCTTATACACCAGCAACAGACAAACAGAGAGCCAAATCATGAGTGAACTCCCATTCACAATTGCTTCAAAGAGAATAAAATACCTAGGAATCCAACTTACAAGGGATGTGAAGGACCTCTTCAAGGAGAACTACAAACCACTGCTCAAGGAAATAAAACAGGATACAAACAAATGGAAGAACATCCCATGCTCATGGGTAGGAAGAATCAATATCGTGAAAATGGCTATACTGCCCAAGGTAATTTACAGATTCAATGCCATCCCCATCAAGCTACCAATGCCTTTCTTCACAGAATTGGAAAAAACTACTTTAAAGTTCATATGGAACCAAAAAAGAGCCCGCATCGCCAAGTCAATCCTAAGCAAAAAGAACAAAGCTGGAGGCATCACCCTACTTGACTTCAAACTATACTACAAGGCTACAGTAACCAAAACAGCATGGTACTGGTACCAAAAAAGAGATATAGATCAATGGAACAGAACAGAGCCCTCAGAAATAATGCCGCATATCTACAACTATCTGATCTTTGACAAACCTGAGAAAAACAAGCAATGGGGAAAGGATTCCCTATTTAATAAATGGTGCTGGGAAAACTGGCTAGCCATATGTAGAAAGCTGAAACTGGATCCCTTCCTTACACCTTATACAAAAATCAATTCAAGATGGATTAAAGACTTAAACGTTAGACCTAAAACCATAAAAACCCTAGAAGAAAACCTAGGCAATACCATTCAGGACATAGGCATGGGCAAGGACTTCATGTCTAAAACACCAAAAGCAATGGCAACAAAAGCCAAAATTGACAAATGGGATCTCATTAAACTAAAGAGCTTCTGTACAGCAAAAGAAACTACCATCAGAGTGAACAGGCAACCTACAAAATGGGAGAAAATTTTCGAAAGGATTTATTTTTAAAGCGCAAACCCACGAGGTTGGGAATAATAGGAGAGGAGACAATAGCTAAACATTTTGTAAGGGGGAAAGTGGGAAGGAGGGAAGGAAGGAAGGAAGGGAGGGAGGGAACTTGATATCCCCTAATAAAGTCAATACTAAGCTAGTAGTGGAGAACTCTAAGAACTAAACTGATTTACACCACAGAATTCTGTAAAGGCTTAGGATTCAGCAGTACTTGGTTGAGAGACTCTTATCTTATGCAGTGATTATCTGTTCATATTTAAGAATTGAGAACTCTCAGGGGAACTTAAGCCAGACCATGACCAGAGATGCTGTTCAGCTTAATTTCTCCTGAAACTTCCAGCTATCAATAATAGTGGTAATACTGTTCTTTCTTTAGACAGCTAGATGTGTGCTCGCTACTCAGTTTTCATATTACCTTTCATATTCATTTATCTGTAGTAATTGTTTATAAAATAATAACTTAGAGAAATTTTTAAAACATACCTGAATGAAGGTAAGCATTATCATTTTTTAATAAGTATGTTTAATGACATCAGACATCAAACTGGTGAAAACCTTGTCAGCAGTTTAAGCTTTCTCTAGTTTTGAAATTACATACAGTGTGAATATGTTGTACATATTATGAAGAATAATTATTAGAAAATGCCCTTTTGTATTTTACCATGTAGGAAGCTGAAGTTACTTGTACAAATGAATGTTTGGGTTAAATGTCTATTTTAATAAATTACCTAATTATCTTAATAATGAAAGCAACAGCTCTGATAAATTACTGACCATGTTTTAAAAACCGATAATAGTTTCATTTTAACTCGTATGTCCTGCAGATGTTCTTCTCTGATATTTTATCTGGCATTGACAACTTGTTGAAAGATTTTGTAGCTCATAGTCACTACTTGTACACAGATAGTTCACAGGTATATTTTAAAGTTTATGTTTTTGTTAGGAAAATTATGTTTGTCAGACCACTCTTGACCAGCTTACTTTCATAATTTGTTTTTTTTTTTTTTTTTTTTTTTTTTTTACAGAAAAGACCAAGCTAACCATGGTATTAAACTCCAAAGATTACCATAACTTTGCATAATACTAATTAAAATATTTTGTCATTAGAAAAAAAATCACCCAGACTACCATTTTTTCAAGTAGTGTCTTACCAGGAAACACCTAGAATTGAAGAGCAATAAAATTTATGATACCAGATCAGAATAGTAATTCCCACTATATACTTGAATCCTGCTTTATCATGTCCAAATTTATATATGAGTAGATACCAAAGTTGTAGAAAAGTGTTTAAGATTAGAGATTATTTATTTAAAAGTTGTCCCTGCCAGCCAGAAGATTTTTCTCACAACTTTTTGTTCAAATTTCTTTCCTTGAACTAGGTCTCCGTTTTCTTTCATTAGTATTCTGGGGCTATTCAACCTTCACCTTCTTGCAGAAGAAACATGGCTGCTATTTTCCTTCTTCTTCCCTGTTTCTGATTCCCTCTTACAGCTTTCCTCCATCCTGATTCCATCCTTCCTCCACCTTCTTGGAATTCCTTGCCACACAAGGAAGCCCGTTGTGCTTCTAGTGTTCCACTACCATTTACTTGAAGAATTCTTTATCTCTGTTAGTCTTAGGAGGCCTAAAAACAAAGCTTCATTAAAGCCATAGATTAACTACTTACAACTAAAAAACACTGAATTTTCCAACCAGCAGTATCACAGATCACAGGTATTCTTGTACAGATTAAGTGACTCTAGTATTCTTTTTTATTAGGCAAAAGAGATTTCACTAGCAGACCTCCAGGAGAATTATATTGAGGCATTAAATAAATTAGTGTCTGAAAATCAACAACTACAGAAAGATTTGATGAATACCAAATCTCAGCTGGAGATTTCTACTCAGATGTGCAAAAAACAAAATGACAGGATCTTTAAACCAACACACAGCAGAACAACTGAGTTCAAGAATACAGAGTTCAAGTAAAATTTTTTAAAAGTTTATTTAAAATGTGTATTGGTACAATATAATTCTCATTTCTTTGAGAATAATTTTTGACTTACAGAAATTAAATCTTCATCAAAGGACTCTATGTTTAATTCTGAAGTATAGTGTGCACAAGTAAAGCTATGATCATGTTAAAAAATGGCTGGGGGAGGTGTATAGCATTTTCATTAAAGCTTTAGTTTTGTACACTCTGGATATCAGTGTAAACAAGATGTGTATTACCTGAGGCTTTTCATGCTGCCTTCCACCTCTTCAACCCCATTTGCCCATAAGAAGTAGAATTTGGCTTTTTATAAACAGCTTCCTTTGTCTTTTTAGTCAATTTGTTATAGGCTGTTACCGTAAGAAATAAGCATTCGGTGAAAAGCCACTTGGCTTCAGCTCATACTATATGGCTTACATGTTTTCCTACCCAAAGCCTTTGCTGACACCCTCACCTCCACTCCTACACCCACCCAATCCCCTAGTTAGGTTAGGTGCCTTCTTATGTGCACAGCACTTCTCCTGTCCCAGCACTAACCACACTAGATTACTCTGGCAGCTTGTTTGTCTTTCTTGCTATACCATAAGTGTGTGAGGGCAGGGACTTGGTAGTTGGAATTGGATATTTGGGGCCTGAATGAATGAAAGAAATCTCTTTCTGATCTGAGTAGGTTGCTCATTTTGTAAATTGTAGCCTTATTAGTTAGGCTATTAAGCAAATTTCCTACATTTCTGTTGGAAAGAGAAAAGTTGCTACAATTTTTTATTTGTTTTGTTTTCTAATCTACCATCCAGGCCAACCCATGGCCAGCACAGACATGATGGAATAAAGACTGAGCACTACAAAACAGATCTTCATTCTCCAAGAGGACAAGCGTCGGATAGTATAAACCCCATGTCTAGGGTGCTAAGCCCCCTGAGTCCTCAAATCAGCCCTTGCAGCTCCACCAGGTCTTTGACTTCCTACTCTCTATGTAAAACTCATTCTTTGCCTTCAGCGCTAGATACAAATGAAGCCAATTTTTCTGACACTATGTCTGAGAGTATGAATGACCAAGAAGAGTTTATATCTTCGGTATGGAAACTTTCTGATCTTAGTAATTTGTTAGTTTTTTAAGTTTGCTTTGATTTTTTATTTTAAGGGTGAAGAAGGTGATTTTTTTTTCCTTACTGATTCTTTTATCATAAGTACTCTTCATTATTCTTAGGTATCCCTGTCATACAGTTTTTGCTTGTGAAGACACTTTCGGCCAAGACTACTTTTCAAAATGTTCTGAAATATGTTATACGTATTCATTTGTCTTTAACCCTTATTGGAAATTCCCTTCTTGCCCTTTTCAGTGATGCTCAATTTTCTTCTGGAATGGTTAGTTCAAGAACTGTCTCTGGATGCCAAGATAGTCCTGAGGCACAGGCAGTGAAGGAGGAAAAGAGGAACTGCTGGAAAGGAGAAAGGGAGTGTGGAGGGGGAGGAAGGCTGTGCCTCTGATGTGTGCAGAGCATGGCTTGGGGGTCACAGATGGTGGCCCTCAGGGCAGAATGTGCCTTGGACACCATGCCGGTCCCTTGCTCCTTCCATTGCTGGGCAGGCTGCACCATCTTTTTGCCTTCTGCACCAAAGCACTTGCCATGGGCCCTTCATTTCCTGTCACCAGCTGTGGCCATATAGATGTGAAAGTGCAGTATTTCTGACTTATTAATGTGCTACCAAGTCCATGGAAAGGTTTTCTTTTATTTTTCAAAATAAGTCCTCACTTCACTTTCTTCCTAAGTTTAGCAGCAAAATTTTTTTGGCACCAGAACTTTCCCTGGCCTGAACTGATGTGTTAGTATGTATAGACTTTCTCTATTCCACTTAGTGTGAGTATCCATGTGTTTTGCTTCAGAAATATCAGTGTGTTTGGTGATGGGATGTTCCCTCAGACTCCACTGGGGTAATACAGTTGATCCTCATTATTCACAGATTTTGTATTTGTGAATTTGTCTACTCCCTAAACTTTATCTGTAACTCCCAAATCAGTATGCGCAGCACTTCCACAGTAATTCGTGGACATATGCAGAGTGACAAAAAATTTGAGTGACCGACTTGCACAATCCCAGCCAAGGTCGAAGTAGGCAGCACTCTGCCTTGTTGCCCCTGCTTATGCGGAGGTGACCATAGGGTGGAGATGGACGGGACAGCGCAGTGTAGGGAAAGAAGCTCAGCTCCATGCCAGCTGGATAGAGTCTGAATCCCAGCTTCAGCACCAGTTAGTGGGGCAGCCTCAGGAGAGTTACCACTTCTGAACCTCATGTCTCTCATGTGAAATAAAAAATACAGAATCTACCAGAATGATTTGTTCTAGGATTTAGGATTATGCTCTCTGTGTGGGGTATGTGTGTATGTGTGTGTGTGTGTATTTGTTGTATGTGTGTATTTTCCCTGGGCCAAAAATTCTGTGTTTGCTAATTCAGTGTTTTGGGTGACTTTATAGAACACAACTACTGCTATTGTGAATGAGTATTGACTGCATATGGCATATGTTCTATGTTACCTTTCTAAAATCAGAATTCTGAAATATCACTAGCCTCAAGGGTTTCAGATAAGGGACTGTGGACTGAAAATTTGGAGGAGAAAAAATAATTGATTTTAGCTGGCATCTAATTTATTTTTGTTAAATTTTTGTGCTTTAAAATAAAAGTGACATACTTAGGTTTTTAAAGTGAGTTTGAAATAATAGGCATTAACTATGGAAGCATATATAAGTCTAAATTGAAACATTCTTCAGACCAATAACTAATATATGATACTTTACATTGTTACAATTTGGGTCAGAAACGGAGAGATCTGTGTTAATTTTTGCAGAACTTACTGATTTTTGTTCTTTTATTGCTCTTGTCATTAGGATGAAAACCAAAAAAGTATCTTCAGAGGAAAAAAATCACCTTTTAATATTGCTAGTTAGAAAATGTCATGAACAGTGTATCTTAGAAATATAATATTCTACTTATTTACACATGTCAAAATTTGTGTCTCTTCCAGTGTTCCTTGCCTGTATCTCCCCTTGGTTCAATAGCTACCAGATTTTTGGAAGAGGAGGAACTGAGGTCTCATCACATTCTAGAGCGCTTGGATGCCCATATTGAAGAACTAAAAAGAGAGAGTGAAAAGACAGTGAGACAATTCACAGCCTTAAAGTAGCCTCTTAAAAAAATCACTATCTTGGAAATAAAAATAAACACCAAAGAGTTACTGTCATCTGAAGTAGCAGCTCTTTAAAAACATGAAGAGATAAAATTATAAAAATGATACATCTAAAGCAGTGGTGAAGAAAGCTGAAAAACTGATACTTTTGATAGGCATTTTCTCTGCACTGGTTTGTTTAAAGGACTTCTTCCAGCAATAAGTTGAAAGAATAAACCACTTTGCTAGACTTTTTTCTCATACGAATATTTATTATCATAAAGTGATACTTACCTTGCTGACTTAAATGTGAATAGCTATGTACTAATTGAAATAAGGATTTTATGATACATGTTGAAAATAAAGTAACTGCAGGAACTTTCTTTAGGGGAAATGTGTAGAAGCATGGATTTAGGGGTCAAACATACCTGGATCGATAGACTGGTTTTGCCACTTACCAGCCAACGGGGCTTGTTATTTACTGGGCTGGTAGCCCCTCCTAGCCAAGGGGCTGGTAGTGTGTAAAGTCAGGCTGGTAGTGAATAAGGGGGGGGTGTGCTAAAGAACCTTATCAAGCAGTCCTCTCTTGCTCAACACTCATGCAGAGGAGAGAGGCAGGGAGGGCAAGGGACTGGCTGTCATGCACGGTGCCCATGGAATATCCATTGGAAATAAATGTTCATCGTCTGCACTGCTGAGGACAAGTTTAGATGGGAGACAAAGATCTGGATGTTGATGTGCCGCAGGCATTTGAAACGATGGGAGTTGATAAGATCCACCAGGGAGGCTGTGGAGAGAGAGAGGAGCAGGAGGCTGGGTTTGGGGCCCTGAAAGATGCCAGCATCTGAGGATCACAGGAAATAGATCTAGCAAAGGAACTAGAATGTGCAGTTACAGATGAGAAAGGTCAGTGTAGTGTACTTGCCAGCTCAAGGGTGTGGCCTCTGTGAACCCTCTTTCTGTAGTGGATCTTTCCCATCAGCGTAAAACATCCTGTTATTTCCCCTTTTTAAATAAAACCTCAGTTTTTTTTAATGCCTCTCTTTTACTGCTCTGTATGTTTGCTTCCCTTCACCCAAACACTTCTGGAAAGAGTTGTCTGCAGTGACTCTTTCCAGTTCCTCACCCCGCCCCACCGTAGTTCTCTTCCTAACCCTCTCCAACACCACTTCCATCCCCAGACTGCTTTCTTGCTCTTGAGTTCACCAGTGACCTAATCAGTGTCTGAGCATCATTCAGCACAGTTGGACTCTCTCTTGGCTTCTGTGACCTGGAACTTCTGGTTTCCTCTCTACCTCATCCTCCACTCCATCTCATGGCTTTTCCTCTTCTAACCTCTAAGTCAGAGGGCCCCCTAGAGCTCTGTCATGGGTTTTCTCCCTCAGCATTCTCTTCCCTAGAAGTTTCCATTCCATTCTCAAGCTCTTAATACCACCTATAGGCCAGTGACCCTTACATTTATTACTAATCTTGACCTCTCCCCAGAGCTGCTGTCTTAGATACCTAGCTGCTTATGCGATGTCTTCACTTGGATATCTGACAAACATCTTGTTTCCAAGAGAGAACTCTTTATTCTCCCTCTTGCTAAGATTCCATATCAGGACATAGCATTATGTTTGCCAGTTCCTAGGAGTTACTTATAATTCCTTCCTTACCCACATCCGCATATCCAGTCATTTGGGAGGTCCTGTCATTTCTTCCCCCAGAATCTTATCTCAGACCCAACCGTTTCCCTCCTGCACTTCTACCACCTGATCCAGACTACTTCTCTCTCACCCTGATTCTGGCAGTAGCCTCCTAACTGATAGTACTCACACCAGTAATTCAGGGAGCTTCTGGAGTTATCCTTTAGAAATGTAAATGAAACAGTGTCACCACTGCTTCCCTTCAGACTCTTCCAAGGCTTCTCTTTTTTTTTTTATTGAGACAGAGTCTCACTCTGTCGCCCAAGCTGCAGTACAGTGGCAGGATCTCGGCTCTCTGCAACCTCCACCTCCCGGGCTCAAGTGATTCTCCTGCCTTAGCTTCCCGAGTAGCTGGGATTACAGGCGCATGCCACCAGGCCCAGCTAATTTTTGTATTTTTAGTAGGAACAGGGTTTCACCATGTTGGTCAGGCTGATCTCGAACTCCTGACCTCAAGTGATCCACCCGCCTGAGCTTCCCAAAGTGCTGGGTTATAAGCGTGAGCCACTGCACCCAGCCCCAAGGCTTCTTACTGCACTCAGAATAAAATCCAAATGAATTAGTATAGCCTACAGAGTGTCAATAATCTGGGCCTAATCACCCATTGCATCATCCTTTACTGTGCTCCACCCATGCTGGCGTCCTTTCTGTTTATTGAGTGCAGCAAGCTTTAACCTGTTCGGGTCTTTCATTTGCAGTTTACCCTGAATATTCCCTTTCTCTTACCTCACCTTTGATTGGCGTTTTCCCCCTTGCAGACCTGCACTCTGGCATCCTCTCCTGAGCAAGCCTTCTTTGATTGCTGCCTCCCAAACCTGTTTCTCCCCATTTCTCTAGCTCATTGGCCTGTGTTACTTGCTTCATAGTGCTCACTACTATCTGAAATCATTTCATTACTTGATTTATGTTTGTACTGTCTATTTCTGTCTTTAGAATTAAAACTCCTTGAGGGCAAGGACTTTGCTTCTCTGGTTCATGGTGGGATCCTCATCACCCAGCACAAGCCCAACACTTAGGAGAGGCTCAGCTAGTTTGAACCAATGGAAAATGCCATTCCTGAGGTGCACCACATCGTTTCTTTTGTGTTGGTGTGCATGCTGTCCTTCAGTTTGTCTCCTCTTCCCACACCCTGTCATGTGCTCCTAAAACTCCCCCTTTACTTGGCTACTTTATCTGGCTTGGCAAAGCTTTCCCATATCCCCTGACCCATGTCAGGGAACGTTTCTCCTCATTGCTGTCATGGCACCCTGTGTGTGGCTCTGACCAGACTTTGCTATCCGCTTTGATTTCTGTCTTTCAGGGGCTAAGTCCTGCCTACATCCTCAGTCAGCATGCTGCCTAACACATAACAGATCCTAAGCAAATATTGGGTGGATGAAAATCACTACCATTCAAGGCTTCATTGTATTTATCAGTAAAACTGAAATAATATCTAATGGGGTCGAGAAGATTTACTGAAAATATATATTTGAAAGGGCTTTGCAGTTTTAAGTACTGTACCTATGTGCATTGCTGTTACATTCAGGAGATTTCTGAGTTTTAGACAGTCCCAAGCTTCAGCTTAAAATCTGTAGACTGCAGCCCGTTTCTGAAACGTTTGTACTACGTGTTGACTAGGAGGAACAATGACAGACTCTGTAGTCACCGGAAATACTTAAGGAATCATGAGGTACTATGTATTTCCTTAAATTATACTGTTTTTTAAAGCTGAAGTATCTAATAGTTAATGGGTTGTCCAAATTTGTCAGAACATTTGACTGTAATTTAATGTCTCACCATTTTTCAAAAAGATATATTAATACCAAATATTAAAATGTGTCAAGACTAAATCTGAGTTAGTGTCTTAACACACATTTTCCAAAATCTGTCCGTGATCAGGGTACCCAAATGAGATGAAAAGATTAGGGATTTGTAGTCTACATCTGGTGTTTACAGATAATGTTTTATTGGGCAAGTCATCTCATTCTTCTTGTCCTGGATTCCCATGAATTTTCATCTGGATTCCTACGCAGATTTTAGCTGAAGAGGGCAAAGTTGACTTCCCACTGTGGGCTGGACATTACCTTCCCTTGCAGACTCATTTGATCTCAACAAGTGTAGAAAAAATACTACAACACTCTGTTTCTGTGACATCTGCTTAAACCCAAACAATTCTTACCTTCTCTCTCTTACATACACATAACACCTGGTAAACTGTGGGTGATGATTTTCTGTTTGCAAAACACTCGAGTCCAGTACCTAAAAGTTGCAGATAAGAAAGATAATTATAAAATAAGCTCTATGGCATGAGAACATACGTTAAGCAAACAGTTGTCATGAACAGCACTGAAATGTAGAAAAAGTTAGAAATGTGTCAGCTTGTCCCAAAACAGTTTGAAATAGTATAAATGCATCAAAAAGTAACAAACAGAATCGGGGCAGAGGGAAAATGAGGGCTGTAAACATTGATTCACTAATGAATCTAGTTGTCCAGTCCAGTTGCTAGAGGAAGGCAGCCAAGTTACCTCTGAGCTTCAGAGGGGGAAAAGCAGAGGAGAAAACATTTACCTAAAAGTTTTATGGTGCCCATAAGATAAAAAAAAAAAAAAATCATAGACTTAAGAAAAGCACAGATTTTTTTTGTGTGTTTGAATAAGCGTTTTGTAAAGTATGTGAGTATCCAGAAGAGAAGTCCAACATTTTCATAACTGGTAATAATAATCTGCACAGCTCCCCCCACAGTATGCTTCACTGTGGGTTGATGGCATAAGGCTGACATCCAAATTCAGAGGAAACTGTTCTGAGAGGGCCACAAACATGATTGCGTAAAGCTCTCATGGCCTGAAAAGGGAAAATTTAGAGGGATGATAGACTGCTTTAAACCAATCTTTTGTAAAAGCTATTTCTCCGCAGTGCAATTTTGATAATTCAGACATACAATTCACATCTTTTTTTTTTTCCCTCTCTGTGAGGAACTAGAATTTGGGAATTTTATGTTGCCCATTAAGACCAGGTTCAATTATTTGACAATCATCCAGTCAGAAGAACTTTTGCACTCCTCTTACAAAAAGAACGTAAGGCAGTAGTTGATAGGGGAAGGTCTAAAACTCCTTGATATTAAATGCAAAACATTTATTAATGTTAATAATAGTAATATAATAATATTAAATGCAAAAAATGTGCATTGTGCATTTTTCTGGGGAGAAGGTTCATAATTTTCATTAGAATCTTGAAGGTGTCTGTGAATCAAAAAGAGATTAAAAACCATAGCTTTAGGGACTAGAGTTGTCCCAGAATGGTATCCCATTTCCTGGGGAGAGACATAAAATTGGAGGAGTCCAACCTCTCCCTTCTGGGGCTGAATTTTAAAGTGCAGTTGAATAGTCATTCAAAATTTAAGCTTTTCAATAATAAAAAGACAATTCAGTTCAAAAATGGACAAAAGATTGGAATAGACATTTCTCCAAAGATGTACAGATGGCTATTAAGCAAATGAAAAGATGTTCAACATCATTAGTCATCAGAGAAATGCAAATCAAAATCAAAATAAGATACCATTACACATCCACTATAATAAAAAAAAAATGGACAATCACAAGTGTTGAAGATGATGTGGAGAAATTGGAACACTCATATGTTGCTGATGGGAATGTAAAATAGTGCAGTCACTCTGGAAGACAGTTTGGCAGTTCCTCAAAAAGAGTTACCATATTACCCAGCAATACCAATCCTAAATATATGCTCAAGAAAAATGAAAATATATCCACACAAAAATTTGTACACAAATGATCTTAGCAACATTATTCACAATAACACCAAAGTGGAAGCAACCTAAATATCCATCATTGATGAATGAATAAACAAAATGTATATCCATGTAATGGAATGTTATTTGGGAGCAAAAAGATTTGAATGAAGTATTATACTACTGATGCCACAGCATGGATGAACCTTGAAAACAGGAAGAAAGCAAAAAAAAAAAAAATCACATATTGTATGACTCCATTTACATGAATTGCCCAGAATTGACAAATCTGTAGAGATAGAAAATAGATTGGTAGTTGCTAGGGATTGGCGGCGGAAGGTTGGGGTGGGAAATGGGGTGGGGATAGGAGGATTGGGAGGTGAAGACTAAAGGGTATGGGGTTTCTTTTTGAGATGAAAATGTTCTAAAATTGATTGTGATGGTTGCACAACTCTGAATATAACAACTAAAAACAACTGAATTGTGTACTTTAAATGGGTGAATTATATAGTATGTAAATTATATCTTAATCACTGTTACCAAAAAAAAAAAAAAAAGCCTCTGATGCATGGCAGCTCCTTAAAAATATCAAGTTTATATTAAGGGAATACCACAACACATATAGCACAAGCTATTCTAAAGTTTTCTATTTTCAACTCTCAGTTCACAGGAGTAACGGTACCTTTCTTGGAGAGAGTGGATGTTCAAGCTCTGTTAATCATTGCTTGTGGTGTGGGGTGGCTCTGCACTGTGCAATATTGTGGGGCAGAGGGCCAGGGGCCTGCACACCGCAGGGGTTCCTGCTCTTCCGGGTGGGAGTTCAGTCTTGGTGCTGCTTCCTGTTAGGCGAGGTTGCAGGCAGCAAAGGCCACTCATCAGCCAGGCAGTGTCTTGGCTAAGTGTATTCTAAGGAGAAGCTGCAGGAATGCTTGGCGCTAACCTCAGTGCTTAGAGGAGGACTGTTTACAAACACTTTAGAGGGTTACAGACCACTGATGTGGAATATGAGCATATTGAAGTTCTGCCCTAAGACTGCTTAGCAAGTCCCTCAGTATCTCTACAAGCATGACTGGGCAAAGTAAAGAAAGAAAAGCCAAGTACATTACCTAAACCTGCTTTATTTCTTTGGCTATGAGAAACAGATGAGCTAAGATACTCTTTGAAACTAGTCTTCCTAGTCCTTTTCTGGAGTGGCTATCCCTTTGACAGGCATCCACTGTGGATGGGCTAATCATCAGTTCCCAGAGCTGTCCTGATTTCTGTGGCACCAGCTTTGGGAGGTAATGGGGGCCTCTCAGTGGGCCAGCTCTTGGATTTGTCTTGCCATTGATGTATAGCATAAACCCAAACAGCCCACCAGTCCCTGACTTTTCTGCGACCTAGGACATGTGTTTCAGATCCCCAACTTAAATAAAATACAACAAACAAGACCGGAAGTGTTATCTCCCAGTTAGTTTCTTCAGCCACAGGCAAGCATAGCCCTTGGTCCCAACAGGAGCATGCACTGCAACCCTGCAGGTTCCTGTGTAACCCAACAGGGCAGTGGCTGGGGCAGGAGCTCAGTGCTTCCCCAAGGATCCCCTTTTCTGGAAGACAGGCCCCTCAGCCCAGCATGGAACCCCAGCAGTAGCCTGTTCATATTAATAAATTCTGGACCATGGGCAAAGGACAGGAAAGGTTCCAGATTGGTGATATGTTCAACCTGCTACCTCCTGCATGAGCTATGGCTTGTAGACTAAGAAGGCATCACCTGATCTGTTTATTTTGCTCCAAAAAGGTTTAACATTAACCCATTGTTTAACAACACCAAGCAATTCCAGACGCTTCCCCAGGCAAAGTCATTCCTTAAATCCACATTTCTCAAGCTGTTTTCCAGAGATCCAAAATATTTGAAGTATTAAGTGTTTTATTAGTCCATTTTCATGCTGCTGATAAAGACATACCTGAGACTGGGTGATTTACAAGAGAAAGAGGTGTAATAGACTTACAGTTCCACGTGGCTGAAACCTCACAATCATGGCGGAAGGCAAGGAGGAGCAAGTCACATCTTACATGGAGGGCAGCAGGCATAAAGAGATCCTGTGCAGAGAAACTCCCCTTTTTAAACCATCAGATCTTGCGAGACTTATTCACCATCACGAGAACAGCGTGAGAAAGACCTGCCCCCATGATTCAACCACCTTCCACCAGATTCCTCCCACAACACGTGGGAATTCAGGTGAAATTTGGGTGGGGCCCCAGCCAAACCACATCATTCCACCCCTGGACTCTCACATATCTTGTGTCCTCACATTTCAAAACCAATCATGCCTTCCCAACAATCTCCAAAAGTCTTAACTTATTTCAGCATTAACTCAAAAGTCCATAGTCCAAAGTCTCATCTGAGACAAGGCAAATCTGAGCCGATGAGCCTGTAAAATCGAAAGTGAGTTAATTACTTCTCAGATACAATAGGGATACAGGCGTTGGGTAAATATACCCATTCCAAATGGGAGAAATTGGCCAAAACAAGGGGGCTGCAGGCCCCATGCAAGTCCGAAATCCAGCGGGGCAGTCAAATCTTAAAGCTCCAAAATGATCTCTTTTGACCCCATGTCTCACATCCAGGTCACGCTGATGCAAAAGGTGGCTTCCCATGGTCTTGCACAGCTCCACTCCTGTGGCTTTGCATGGTACAGCCTCTCTCCCAGCTGCTTTCATGGGCTGGCATTGAGAGACTGTGGCTTTTCCAGGTGCACGGTGCAAGCTGTCGGTGGATCTACCGTTCTGGGGTCTGGAGGACAATGGCCCTCTTCTCACAGTTCCACCAGGCACTACCCTAGTGGGGACTCTGTGTGGGGGCTCTGACCCCACATTTCCCTTTCGCACTGCCCTAGCAGAGGTTCTGCATGAAGACCCAACCTCTGCAGCAAACTTCTGCCTGGATATGCAAGCGTTTCTATACACCCTCTGAAATCTAGGTGGAGGTTCCCAAACCTCAATTCTTGTCTTCTACACACTTGCAGGACTAACACCACATGGAATCTGCTAAGGTTTGGGACTTGCACCCTCTGAAGCTATGGCCTGAGCTCTACGTTGGCCACTTTCAGCCACAGCTGGAGTGGCTGGGACACAGGGCACCAAGTTCCTAGGCTGCACACAGCATGGGGACCCTGGGCCTGGCCCATGAAACCATTTTTTCTTCCTAGGCCTCCAGGCCTGTGATGGGAGAGGCTGCTGTGAAGACCTCTGAAATGCCCTGGAGATATTTTCCCCATTGTCTTGGGGATTAACATTCGGCTCCTCATTACTTATGCAAATTTCTGCAGCTGGCTTGAATTTCTCCTCAGAAAGTGGGATTTGCTGTTCTATTGCATTGTCAGGCTGCAGATTTTCCAAACTTTTATGCTCTGTTTCTCATTTAAAACAATGCTTTTAACAGCACCCAAGTCACCTGTTGAATGCTTTGCTGCTTAGAAATTTCTTCTGCCAGATACCCTAAATCATCTCCCTCAAGTTCAAAATTCCACAAATCTCTGGAGTAGGGGCAAAATGCCACCAGTCTCTGCTAAAACATAGCAAGAGCCACCTTTGCTCCAGTTCCCAACAAGTTCCTCATCTCCATCTGAAACCAGATCAGCCTGGATTTCATTGTCCATATAGTTATCAGCATTTTGGTCAAAGCCATTCAACAAGTCTCTAGGAAGTTCCAAACTTTCCCACATTTTCCTGTCTTCTTCTGAGCCCTCCAAGCTGTTCCAACCTCTGCCTGCTACCCAGTTCCAAAGTCGCTTCCACATTTTCAGGTATCTTTTCAGCAACACCCCACTCTACTGGTACCAATTTACTGTATTAGTCTGTTTTCATGCTGCTGATAAAGACATGCCTGAGACTGGGCGATTTACAGAAGAGGTGTAATGGACTTACAGTTCCACTTGGCTGGGAAAGCCTCACAATCATGGCAGAAGGCAAGAAGGAGCAAGTCACATCTTACATGGAGGGCAGCAGGCAAAAAGAGAGCCTGTGCAGAGAAACTCCCCTTGTTAAAAACATCAGATCTCATGAGACTTATTCATCACAGACTTATTCTGTGCTGTCATGAGAACAGCACAAGAAAGACCTGCCCCCATGATTCAACCACCTCCCACTGGGTCCCTCCCACAACGTGGGAATTTAAGATGAGATTTGGGCAGAGACACAACCAAATCACATCAAGTGTTTTTTAAGAATATGCCAAAACAGAATGGAAAACACAGCAAGTCAAATTCCCCAGAGCCAGGTCAGCCTCTGAATGGGATTAGGAGTGCCCTCTCTCCCTCCCACTGGCAAGCATCTTGCCTCAGCCTCCTCTGTTGCTTCCCAAATGGAATGGGAGCTGGTGGCTTAGGTACTTAGAGGTTCTTTACCTTCTGTGTGTCAGGGATGCCTCTGGCAGAGTTGAGGAGCCTATGGACCCCTCAGAATAATGACTAAGTGCATAAAGTAAGATACAAAGGCCGGGTGTGGTGGCTCACGCCTGTAATCCCAGCGCTTTGGGAGACCGAGGCAGGTGGATCATGAGGTCAGGAGATCGAGACCATCCTGACTAACATGGTGAAACCCCGTCTTTACTAAAAATACAAAAAATTAGCTGGGCATGGTGGCGGGCACCTGTAGTCCCAGCTACTTGGGAGGCTGAGGCAGGAGAATGGCGTGGACCCAGGAGGCGGAGCTTGCAGTGAGCTGAGATCGTGCCACTGCACTCCAGCCTGGGCAACAGAGCGAGACTCTGTCTCAACAACAACAACAACAACAGCAACAACAACAAAAGATACAAAGCATTAAATGGAAAATAAAATATCATCATTCAGTTATGAAAACCTAAGAAAAAACAAATTTGTGATGTAGTATTATATGCACTTCTTTGTTAACTCATTAAATAACAAGACTGAGTGGCAGGTCTATCACCTACCATGCTTTTGAAGTGGGGACATATGAAAGTAATGTTTTAATATGTCCATCACAATTGTAATGAGCTATGAAAATATCTGTGATTTCTATTGGAATAAAGCTAAAGGTACTGCTAGCACTGTGGCCTATACTCATAATGGAAGAAAAGTACATTTCAGTCAGAGGTTATTGAAAATAAGGATGTCAGTTTTTCCCACCCAAGTTCATGGAACCCTAAATTGTATCCTTGGATCCTTGGGAAGTGTCTGTGGACTCCAGGTTAAGAATTTAGAGGCCTACTTATGTTTTATCTCATGCCTGGTCATGTTGGTTCCCTGCGAACATTCACTTGTTTACAGGAGGCAGTATTTGTGCTTAATGTCAGTCTTGACTCTAAGAACTTAGTCTTTTTTTAAAAAATAATTTCAACTTTTATTTTAAATTCAGGGGGTGCACGTGCAGGTTTGTTACATGGGTGTACTGCATGATGCTGAGGTTTGGGATATGAATGATCCCAATACCCAGGTAGTGAGCATAGTATCCAATAGACAGTTTTTCAACCCTTGCTCCCCTCCCTTCTTCCTCTTTCTATCCCCAGTGTCTATTGTTGCCATCTTTATGTCCGTTACTACCCAATGTCTAGCTCTCACTTGTAAGAGAGAACATACAGTATTTGGTTTTCTGTTCCTGCCTTATCTTGCTTAGGATAATGGCCTCTGGCTGCATCCATGTTGCTGCAAAGGACATGATTTCATTCTTTTCTATGGCTATGTAGTATTCCATGGTGTATATGTACCACATTTTCTTTATCTAATCCGCTATTGATGGGCACCTGGGTTGATTCTATGTCTTTGTTATTGTGAATGGTGTAATGCTGAACGTATGAGTTTATGTGTCTTTTTGGTGGAATGATTTATTTTCTTTTATATATATACCTAGTAATGGAATTGCTGGGTCAAATGGTAGTTCTGTTTTAAGTTCATTGAGAAATCTCCAAACTGTTTTCCACAGTGGCTGTACTAATTTATATTCTCACCAACAGTGTATAAAGCATTCCCTTTTCTCTGCGACCACACCAGCATCTGTTGTTTTTTTGACTTTTTGATAATAGCCATTCTGACTGATAGGAGATGGTTATCTCAGTATGGTTTTCTTTTGCATTTCTCTGATAATTAGTGATGTTGAGCATTTTTTCATATATTTGTTGACTGCTTGTATGTCTTCTTTTGAGAAGTGTCTGTTCATCTCTTTTGCTCACTGTTTAATGGGGTTGTTTGCTTTTTGCTTGTTGAGTTGTTTAAGTTCCTTATAGATTCTGGATATTAAATCTTTGTCAGATTGTTTAGTTTGAGGATATGTTCTCCCATTTTGTTTACTCTGTAGAAAGTTTCTTTTGCTGTGCAGAAGTTCTTTAGTTTAATTAGGTCCCACTTGTCAATTTTTGTTTTTGTTGCCGTTGCTTTTGGGGACTTAGTCATAAATTTTTTGCCTAGGCTGATGTCCAGAATGGTGTTTCCTAGGCTTTCTTCTAGGTTTCTTATAATCTGAAATTTTACATTTAACTCTTTACTCCATCTTGAGTTAATTTTTGTATACAATGAAAGGTAAGGGTCCAGTTTCAATCTTCTGCATATGGTTAGCCAGCTATCCCAGCACCGTTTGTTGAATAGGAAGTCCTTTCCCCATGGTTTATTTTTGTTGACTTTGTTGAAGATCAGATGGCTGTAGGCATGTGGCTTTATTTCTGAGTTTTCTATTCTATTCCATTGGTCTATGTGTCTGTTTTTGCACCTGTACCATGCTGTTTTGGTTACTGTAGCCTTGTAGTATAGTTTGAAGTTGGATAGTGTGATGCCTCTGGCTTTGTTCTTTTTGCTTAGGGTTGCTTTGGGTATTCTGGCTAAGTAAGAGCTTAGCCTTTAAATGGGCTGAGATAATAAATCAACTTACCCAAGCAAGGTAATATTAATTTTTTTTATTCATGACATACTTTTTGGAATTTTGGAGAACTATTGTTCTGCATCTGACAGATCAGAGCATTCTGCCTGTGTTAGAGTTAGGCCCTGAGGTTTTGGAAGCCCTCAGCATTTAGGACAGCATTTAGGGCAAGCCTGGGATGGTGAGTGCTCTTCTCCTGGGTCTTCTTGGAAGAAGACCAGGTTTGAACAAGCACACTACAGTCTCTGTAGGTCACAATCCCAATGCTTGACATGCAGCCTCGTGGGCTGGCTGCATATGATCAGGGAGAAGCTGGACCACTCAGCCATTTCCTCTGCAGAGTTGCAGGGTATGCTACTGTCCTCTGTGGACAAGGGGCCTATAGCACTATTGGAGGAGCTGGTGCTCTGTGTGCTCCAAGATAATTGCTCACTGCCGAAGTGCAGCTCCTTAGGACTGGGGTGAGAAGAGAGATGGAGGAGCGGCTTCTGCAGGGAGACCAGACAGAGCTCAGGTGGGCACAGCTCTAGACAGCAGTCCCAAATCTGTTTTTACAAAGCAATCCAACAGTTTCTGAGTCTTTCTGAAATCTCAAGATGCATTTTGGATCCTTGACCTAAACTTAAACACTACAAACAAGGCCAAAACTATTATCTAGTGATGTGTCAGACAATTATGTCTGTCTGCTGCTGGCATGCTCTGCTGCCTCTCATGCCAAGCTACAGGGTGCCTGCTCCAACAAGAAATATAATTCTTCAAATTAGCATTTCTCATTATTTTTTAACACTGGATCTAAAAATATTTGATTAGATTCAAAATTTATCCATAATATTGCTAAGATTTTGTTTTTTTGGTTATAGAGTCCCACTCTGTCACCCAGGCTGGAGTTCAGTGGTGCAGTCACGGCTTACTGCAACCTCCACCTCCTGGGCTCAACTGATCCACCTCAGCCTCCTGAGTAGCTGGGACTTCAGGCACGTGCCACCACACCTGGCTAATTTTTTATATTTTTTTTTGTAGAGATGGGGTTTTACCATGTTGTCCAGTCTGGTTTTGAACTTCGGGATTCAAGCAATCCGCCAGCCTCAGCGTCCCAAAGTGCTGGAATTACAAGTGTGAGCTACCACCACTGGCAGTTAAGAATTTTAACAATTTGTCAATGAAACAAGAATCTCAATTAGAGTCTTTATATACAATCTGTACTGTTGGAATTTTCAAATAAATATTGTAAAGAAAATTAACACTATTTTGCCAAAGCTTCTCATCAATACGGACTATGAAGAATTTAAAGACTGTCACTAAAAACATCAGGAATTTTCATGCTAGAAAGCTTAAGATAACTCCTTCCTTCCTTCCTTCCTTCATCCCTCCGTCCCTCCCTCCGTCCCCCTTCCCCTCCCTCCCTGTCTCTCTCTCTCTTCCCTCTTTCCCTCCCTCCCTCCCTCCCTCCCTCCCTCCCTCCCTTCCTTCCTTCCTTCCTTCCTTCCTTGCTTCCCTCTTTCCCCCTCCCTCCCTTCCTCCCTTTCTTCCTTTCTTTCCTTTTTTCTTTCTTTCTTTGGAGACAGGGTCTCACTCTATGGCCCTCTTTCTCCCTCCCTCCCTCCCTCCCTCCCTCCCTTTTTTCCTTTCTTTCCTTTCTTCCTTTCTTTCCTTTTTTCTTTCTTCCTTTGGAGACATGGGCTCACTCTGTGGCCCTCTTTCTCCCTCCCTCCCTCCCTCCCTTTCTTCCTTTCTTTCCTTTCTTCCTTTCTTTCCTTTTTTCTTTCTTTCTTTGGAGACAGGGTCTCACTCTGTGGCCCTCTTCCTCCCTCCCTCCCTCCCTTTCTTCCTTTCTTTCCTTTTCTCTTTCTTTCTTTGGAGACAGGGTCTCACTCTGTGGCCCAGGTTGGAGTGCATTGGCATAATCACGGCTCACTGCAGCTTAGGCATCCTGGCCTCAGGTGATCCTCCCACCTTAGCCTGCTGAGTAGCTGTGATTACAGGTGTCTGCCACCACATCTGGCTAATTTTTTAAATTTTTTGTAGAGATGGGGTTTCCCTATGTTGCCCAGGCTGGTCTCGAACTCCTGGGCCCAAGCAATCCACCCTAGGCCTCCCAAAGTGCTAGGATTACAGGCTTGAGCCACTGTGCTGGGCCATAGGATTTTGATCAAATATTTTTGCAAAGATTGTATTAGAAGTTTCATATAAATGCAATATTTCTTAATACTTGCATTTTATTTTCATCATCATAATTACATATTGCAGAGAAATGCAATGACTTTTACATGTAAGCCCCCTTAAATTCTCTCCAGTTTACCCCACAGGTGTAAATATAATTGTTTATGCTTTTCACGGGAAGTCTTCTCTTGAATGTTGGGCCTTTGGATGAAAGAGCCTTGGTGGTGAAGCCCTGGTATGGTTTCTGGGACATTGCAAGCCAGCCCTTTCTCCTCTTCTTTTATGCTTCCACTAAAATATTTCTGCAGTTAAAATTTATTTTGATTAATGCTTAAACATACATGGGCTACTCAGAATGACAGTTTATCCATTTATTAATTCATTCATCATACATTAATCAAGCAAACCCCTCATCTTAGAAGACTGAGTTCCTGCTATTCCCTGAAGATGCCAGCACAGAAGACACAGATGCCAGCTCCCTTCCTGCTCCAAGAACCTCTGACAAGTGCGCATGGCAGTACTAGTAACACACCTGTGCCCTTAGCAATTTGTATCACCAATGCTTGAAACCCCAGTGCCCAGGGCAGTGAGGCCCAGTGAAATGAGACTGAGAGCGGAGAGGTAGGGCCTCAAAGCCAGCTTGCCACTTAGCAGCTGTATGCCCTTGGGCAGTTTCTTCATATGCAGAATGTGGACTATGATCCTAATTCATCAAGGCTGTCACAAGGCCAGGTGAGATGCTGAAAAGGGAAGACAATAAAAATGCTGTAGATGGAACTCCGTATGTAACTTCAGCCACCCAAGAGGGCAGCTGTAGGAAGGCATCAGGGCAGGAAGTTGACCCTGGCCTCGGGGTCTGGGAGACAATAGAGGGGCACGCGTGGGGTGACTTGGAGAGCCAGCCCATCCAAAGGGAGGAACTAAAACTTGGCTCCCTGTGTTCACGGGCTTCTCAGGAAAAGCTGGCTGCTCAATTTTTTAATGCCATTTTCCTGGTTTTCAAATGTTAGCACCAATTAACTTAAAACAAACAAAAAACAACACTGCGCAGGCCAAACAGTAAAGTTTGTAACCTCTGCTCACACTAGTGTTGGCGTAGTAAAGATGTCCTGGGACCATGATGCATTACTGCAGTTAAGATTCCCAGGAAAGGGAGTGGGGGCCCAGCAGGAGGAGAGCCATCTCCCCTTGTCTGCAGGGCTCCAAACAAGACTGGAGCCACAGAAACTGGCCACCCATCATATGTCCCTTCAACCAGAATGGGGCTGTTTTTGCAATAGAGTGCCATCTATAAAGAACCAAAGCCAAAAAACTTCTAGGAAAAAAAAAATAGGAGAAAATTGTGACCCTGGGTTAGGCAAAGCTTCTTTTTAAAAAATAGTAGCATGGATGATTTTTTCTCTTGGATTTAACAAATGTCAACATTTCATCATATATGCTTCACACTTGTATGGAAAAAAAGCTTACCAAAAACTTTTTTGTGGCCTTTTCTAATCCACTTTTTTTTTTTTTTTTTTTTTTTGAGATGGAGTCTGGCTGTGTCACCCAGGCTGGTGCAATCTTGGCTCACTGCAAGCTCTACCTCCCGAGTTCAAGCAATTCTCATGCCTCAGCCTCCCCAAGTAGTTGGGACTACAAGTGTGCGCCACCATGCCTGGCTAATTTTTTATTTTTAACTTTTTTTTTCTTACTTTGAGTTCTGGAATACATGTGCAGAATGTGCAGGTTTGTTACACAGGTATACATGTGCCATGGTGGTTTGCCGCACCTGTCAACCCATCATCTAGGTTTTAAGCCCCAAATGCATTAGCTGTTTGTCCTAATGCTCTCCCTCATCTTTCCGTCCACCCCCGCGACAGGCCTCAGTGTGTGTTGTTCCCCTCCCTGTGTCCCTGTGTTCTCATTGTTCAACTCCCACATATGAGTGAGAACATGCAGTGTTTGGTTTTCTGTTCCTGTGTTAGTTTGCTGAGGATGATGGCTTCTGGCTTCATCTGTGTCCCTGCAAAGGACGTGATCTCATTCCTTTTCATGGCTGCATAGTATTCCATGGTGTATATGTGCCACATTTTCTTTATCCAGTCTATCATTGATGGGCATTTGGGTTGGTTCCATGTCTTTGCTATTGTAAACAGTGCTGCAATAAACGTGTGTGCATGTGTCTTTATAGTAGAATGATTTAAATTCCTTTGAGCGTATACCTAGTAATGGGATTGCTAGGTCAAATGGTATTTCTGGTTCTAGATCCTTGAGGAATCACCATGCTATCTTCCACAATGGTTGAACTAATTTACATTACCACCAACAGTGTAAAAGCGTTCCTATTTCTCCACAGCCTCGCTAGCATCTATTGTTTCTTGACTTTTTAATAATCGTCATTCTGACTTGTGTTTTTTTTTTTTTTTTTTTTTTTTTGAGATGGAGTCTTGCTCTGGTCACCCAGGCTGGAGTGCAGTGGTGCGATCTCACCTCACTGCAACCTCTGCCTCCTGGGTTCAGATGATTCTCCTGCCTCAGCCTCTTGAGTAGCTGGACCTACAGGCATGCACCACCATGCCTGGCTAATTTTTGTATTTTTGTAGAGATGGAGTTTCACCATGTTGACCAGGTTGGTCTTGAATTCCTGATCTCAAGTGATCTGCCCACCTTGGCCTCCCAAAGTACTGGGGTTACAGGCGTGAGCCACCATGCCCAGCCCTCACTGTGATTGATTTGCATTTCTTTAATGATCAGTGATGCTGAGCTTTTTTTCATGTTTGCTGGCTGCATAAATGTCTTCTTTTGAGAAGTGTCTGTTCATATTCTTTCCCCACTTTTTGATGGGGTTGTTTTTTTCTTGTAAATTTGTTTAAGTTCCTTGTAGATTCTGGATATTAGATCTTTGTTAGATGGGTAGATTGCAAAAATTTTCTCACATTCTGCAGGTTGCCTGTTCACTCTGATGACAGTTTCTTTTGCTGTGGAGAAGCCCTTTAGTTTAACACTTGGCTAATTTTTGTATTTTTAGTAGAGACATGGTTTCACCATGTTGGCTAGGCTGGTCTCGAACTTCTGACCTCAAGTGATCCACCTGCCTTGGCCTCCCAAAGTGCTGGATTACAGGCGTGAGCCACTGCACCTGGCCCCCACACCATTTCTTTAGCAGAAACAACTGCTATCCTGGTGATGGTGTTAACACTTGACAACCGTATTTTTGTATGTATACATATTCACAAACAACACATAGTGTGATTTCATGTATTATAAGAAGTATATAAGGCAACACCATACATGAAATTTGCAACCAGTAAATGAGAACCTTACCAGGTAACTTATATGTTGTCCTTGGGGTAGGTTTGGTTTATGCAGAGCTGGTTTTTGCACTTTACCGGGAATAATGTGCTTTCCCAGGAATTGCTGGGTTTATGTTTAACTTTTAAAAATACCAAGCTGTTTTCCAAAGTGGCTAAGCTATTTTATATTCTCATCAGCAACATTTGAGGGTTTCAATTTAACCACATCCTCACCAATGCTTGATAGCTGTTAGTCTTTTAGATTATAACCATTCTAGTGGGTGTGTACTGATAACGCATTGTGGTATTAACTTGCATTTCCATAATGACTAAAGTGAGCACCTTTTCATGTGCTTATTAGCTATTCATATGTTTTCTTTGGTGAAATGTACATTCAAACCTTCTGCGCAGTTTTTAATTGGGTTGTTTATTTTCATATTATGAAAGGGTAAGAGTTCTTTATATATTCAACACAGTAATTCTACTGCTAGGTACCTAGAAGTAAGAATATATATCCACATTTGTATGTTGATATAAAGACATCATTCGAATGTCTATAGTGGCATTACTCATAATAGCCAAAATGTAAATGTTTATCAACTGGTAAATGAATAAAAAATAGTATATCCATGCAAATAATACTATATAGCAATACAAAGGAATGAAGTACTCATACATGCTACAACATGGATGAAACACTAAAACACACTAAGGGCTGGGCGTGGTGGCTCATTCCTGTAATCCCAGCACTTTGGGAGGCCAAGGTGGATCACCTGAGGTCAGGAGTTTGAGACTAGCCTGGTTAACATGGTGAAATCCCATCTCTACAAAAATACAAAAATTAGCTGGGCATGATGGTGGGTGCCTGTAATCCCAGCTACTGGGGAGGCTGAGGCGGGAGAATCGCTTTAACCTGAGAGGCAGAGGTTGCAGTGAGCTGAGATTGCGCCATTGCACTCCAGCCTGGGCGACAGAGTGAGACTCCACCTCAAAAAAAAAAAAAAAACACTAAGTAAAAGAAGCCAAAAGATTATATATTGTATGAATCCATTTATATAAAGTCAGGAAGGCAAATCTATAAAGTAGTGGTTGCCTGGGGCTGTGGGTGGGTATGTGGAAGCTTTCTGGGGTAACTGAAATGTTCTAAAACTGGATTGTGGTGATGGCTGTACAACTCTAAGAATTTACAAAAATTATTAAAATGTGCACTTATACAGAGTGAATTTTATGATCTAAAATTTACATCCCAATAAAGCTGTTTAAAAACAAACACACAGACAAACAGAAATAATACCAACCATAACTAAATTCATGTAGAAAGTAGAAGAGAATTCTTTTCAACTTTTTCTTTTAGGCTGGCAAAACCGTGATACCAAAAGCTGACAAAGACATTATTAAAAAAGAAATTTATGGACAAATATTCCTCATGAACACAAATGCAAAAGTCATTAACAAAATATTAGCAAATTAAGTCTATTAATAAAGAACAAGCTTAATACATCATGACAATATGGGGTTTATCTCATATGAATTCAAGGTTGATATAACATTTGAGAAAAAATAGAGTTCACCACATGTGAACGACAGCCCTCCAAAAATATCTATGCCCTAATAATCCCTGCAACCTGTAATTATCTTGCATGTCAAAGGGAAATTAAGGTGCCAAAGGGAAATTGAGGTAGCCAATGTAATTAATCAGCTAACCTTAAAATATGCAGATTATCATGAATTACCTAGTTGGGTCTCATGTAATCACAGGGACCCAAGTGTGGAAGAGGGAGGCAGAAGAGTATCAGAGTGATGTGGTATGAGAAGGACTCCACTGGCCATTGGTGGTTATGAAGATGGATGGGGGCCATGAGCCAAGGAATGCAGGCAGCCTCTAGAAGTTGTAAAAAATACAAAAACTAATTCTCCCATAGACCTTCCAGGAAAGAACACAGCCCTGTTAACACCCTGAGTATAGCCCAGAGAACCTCATTTTGTACTTTTGAATATACAGTAAATTTGTGTTAAGTCACTAGCTCTGTCGTAGTTTGTTACAGCAGCAATAAGAAATCAATATACCACATTAACGAAATAAAAAATTATATGGGCCAGACGCGGTGGCTCACACCTGTAATCCAAGCACTTTGGGAGGCCAAGGCGGTGGATCACCTGAGGTAAGGAGTTTGGGACCAGTCTGGCCAACATGGTGAAACCCTGTCTCTACTAAAAAATACAAAAATTAGCCGGGCATGGTGGTGGGCACTGTAGTCCCAGCTACTCAGGAGGCTGAGGCAGGAGAATTGCTTAAACCCAGGAGGCGGAGGTTGCCAGTGAGCCGAGATGGCGCCATTGCACTCCAGCCTGGGCAACAAGAGCAAAACTCTGTCTCAAAAAGCAAACAAACAAACAAGCAAACAAAAATTATATAATCACTTTAATGCAGAAAAAGCATTTGACAGAACTCAATACACATTCATGATGAAAACATTTTTTTTTTTTTTGAGACGGAGTCTCGCTCTGTTGCCCAGGCTGGAGTGCAGTGGCGCGATCTCGGCTCACTGCAAGCTCCGCCTCCCGGGTTCACGCCATTCTCCTGCCTCAGCCTCCCGAGTAGCTGGGACTACAGGCGCCCGCTACCACGCCCGGCTAATTTGTTGTATTTTTAGTAGAGACGGGGTTTCACCGTGTTAGCCAGGATGGTCTCGATCTCCTGACCTCGTGATCCGCCCGCCTCGGCCTCCCAAAGTGCTGGGATTACAGGCGTGAGCCACCGCGCCCGGCCGAAAACATTTTTTTAAACCAGAAATAGAAATAGCAGACTTTAAGATAAAAAGCATGATCAAATAAAAAAGGAGAGATTTAATGATGATAAAGTGTCCATCTGTCAGAAGATATAAAATTCTAAATTATATGCCACTAATAATATAGCCTCAGGGAAAAAAACTGGCAGAAATAGAAGGAAAAGGAAATTATAACTACAGTGGATGGGTTTTTTAAAAAATTATACTTTAAGTTCTAGGGTAGATGTGCACAACGTGCAGATCTGCCACATAGGTATACATGTGCCATGTTGGTTTGCTGCACCCATCAACTCATCATTTACATTAGGTATTTCTCCTAATGCTATCCCTCCCCCAGTCCCCCATTCCCCTACAGGCCCCAGTGTGTGATGTTCCCCAGCCTGTGTCCAAGTGTTCCCTCTGTTCAACTCCCACCCAAGAGTGAGAACATGTAATGTTTGGTTCTCTGTCCTTGTGATAGTTTGCTGAGAATGATGGTTTCCAGCTTCATCCATGTCCCTGCAAAGGACATGAACACATCCTTTTTTATGGCTGCATAGTATTCCATGGTGTACATGTCCCACATTTTCTTAATCCAGTCTATCATTGATGGACATTGGGTTGGTTCCAAGTCTTTGTTATTGTGAATAGTGCCACAATAAACATATGTGTGCATGAGTCTTTATAGTAGCATGATTTATAATCCTTTGGGTATATACCCAATAATGGGATTGCTGGGTCAAATGGTATTTCTAGTTCTAGACCCTTGAGGAATCACCACACTGTCTTCCACAATGTTTGAACTAATTTACACTCCCACCAACAATGTAAAGGCACTTCTATTTCTCCACATCCTCTCCAGCATCTGTTGTTTCCTGACTTTTTAATGATTGCCATTCTAACTGGTGTGAGATGGTATCTCATTGTGGTTTTGATTTGCATTTCTCTGATGACCAGTGATGATGAGCATTTATTCATGTGTCTTTTGGCTGCATAAATGTCTTCTTTTGAGAAGTGTCTGTTCATATCCTTTGCCCACTTTTTGATGGGGTTGTTTGTTTTTTTCTTGTAAATTTGTGTAAGTTCTTTGTAGATTCTGGATATTAGCCCTTTGTCAGATGAGTAGGTTGCAAAATTTTTCTCCCATTCTATAGGTTGCCTGTTGACTCTGATGGTAGTTTCTTTTGCTGTGCAGAAGCTCTTTAGTTTAATTAGATCCCATTTTTCTATTTTGGCTTTTGTTGCCATTGTTTTTGGTGTTTTAGACATGAGGCCTTTGCCCATGCCTATGTCCTGAATGGTATTGCCTAAGTTTTCTTCTAGGGTTTTTATGGTTTTAGGTCTAACATTTAAGTCTTTAATCCATCTTGAATTAATTTTTGTCTAAGGTGTAAGGAAGGGATCCAGTTTCAGCTTTCTACATATGGCTAGCCAGTTTTCCCAGCACCATTTATTAAATAGGGAATCCTTTCCCCATTTCTTGTTTTTTTCAGGTTTGTCAAAGATCAGATAGTTGTAGATGTGTGGTATTATTTCTGAGGGCTCTGTTCTGTTCCATTGGTCTATATATCTGTTTTGGTACCAGTACCATGCTGTTTTGGTTACTGTAGCCTTGTAGTATAGTTTGAAGTCAGGTAGAGTGATACCTCCAGCTTTGTTCTTTTTGCTTAGGATTGTCTTGGCTATGAGGGCTCTTTTTTGGTTCCATATGAACTTTAGAGTATTTTTTTCCAATTCTGTGAAGAAAGTCATTGGTAGCTTGATGGGGATGGCATTGAATCTATAAATTACCTTGGGCAGTATGGTCATTTTCACAATATTGATTCCTCCTATCCATGAGTATGGAATGTTCTTCCATTTGTTTGTGTCCTCTTTTATTTCGTTGAGCAGAGGTTTGTAGTTCTCCTTGAAGAGGTCCTTCACATCCCTTGTAAGTTGGATTCCTAGGTATCTTATTCTCTTTGTAGCAATTGTGAATGGGAGTTCACTCATGATTTGGCTCTCTGTCTGTTGTTGGTGTATAGGAATGCTTGTGATTTTTGCACATTGATTTTGTATCCTGAGACTTTGTTGAAGTTGCTTATCAGCTTAAGGAGTTTTTGGGTTGAGATGATGGGGTTTTCTAAATATGCAATCATGTCATCTGCAAACAGGGACAATTTGACTTCCTCTTTTCCTAATTGAATACCCTTTATTTCTTTCTCTTGCCTGATTGCCCTGGCCAGAACTTCCAACACCATATTGAATAGGAGTGGTGAGAGAGGGCATCCTTGTCTTGTGCCAGTTTGCAAAGGGAATGCCTCCAATTTTTGCCCATTCAGTATGGTATCGGCTGTGGGTTTCTCATAAATAGCTCTTACTATTTTGAGATATGTTCCATCAATACCTAATTTATTGAGAGTTTTTAGCATGAACTGGTGTTGAAATTTGTCCAAGGCCTTTTCTGCATCTATTGAGATAATCATGTGGTTTTTGTCGTTGGTTCTGTTTATGTGATGGATTACATTTGTTGATTTGCATATGTTGAACCAGTCTTGAATCCCAGGGATGAAGCCAACTTGATCATGGCACATAAGCTTTTTGATGTGCTGCTAGATTCGGTTTGCCAGTATTTTATTGAGGATTTTTGCACCAGTGTTTATCAGGGATATTGGTTTAAAATTCCCTCTTTCTTATTATGTCTCTGCCAGGCTTTGGTATCAGGATGATGCTGGCCTCATAAAATGAGTTAGGGAGGATCCCCTCTTTTTCTATTGATTGGAATAGTTTCAGAAGAAATGGTACCAGCTCCTCTTTGTACCTCTGGTTGAATTCGGCTGTGAATCCATCTGGTCCTGGACTTTTTTTGGTTGGTAGGCTATTAATTTTTGCCTCAGTTCCAGAGCCTGTTATTGGTCTATTCAGAGATTCAACTTCTTCCTGGTTTAGTCTTGGGAGGGTGTATGTGTCCAGGAATTTATCCATTTCTTCTAGATTTTCTAGGGTTTTTTTTTTTTTTTTTTGCATGGAGGTGTTTATAGTATTCTCTCACGGTAGTTTGTATTTCTGTGGGATTGGTGGTGATATCCCCTTTATCATTTTTAATTGCGTCTATTTGATTCCTCTCTTCTTCTTTATTAGTCTTGCTAGTGGTCTATCAATTTTGTTGACCTTTTCAAAAAACCAGCTCCTGGATTCATTGATTTTTTGAAGGGATTTTTGTGTCCCTATCTCCTTCAGTTTTGCTCTGATCTTAGTTATTTCTTGCCTTCTGCTAGCTTTTGAATGTGTTTGCTCTTGCTTCTCTAGTTCTTTTAATTGTGATGTTAGGGTGTCAATTTTAGATCTTTCCTGCCTTCTCTTGTGGGCATTTAGTGCTATAAATTTCCCTCTACACACTGCTTTGAATGTGTCCCAGAGATTCTGGTATGTTGTGTCTTTGTTCTCATTGGTTTCAAAGAACATCTTTATTTCTGCCTTCATTTTGTCATTTACCCACTAGTCATTCAGGAGCAAGTTGTTCAGTTTCCATGTAGTTGTTTCCATGTAGTTGAGTGAGTTCCTTAATCCTGAGTTCTAATTTGATTGCATTGTAGTCTGAGAGATAGTTTGTTGTGATTTCTGTTCTCTTACATTTGCTGAGGAGTGCTTTACTTCCAATTATGTGGTCAATTTTAGAATAAGTGCGATGTGGTGCTGAGAAGAATGTATATTCTGTTGATTTGGGGTGGAGAGTTCTGTAGATGTCTATTAGGTCTGCTTGGTGCAGAGCTGAGTTCAAGTCCTGGATATCCTTGTTAACCTTCTATCTCGTTGATCTGTCCAATATTGACAGAAGGTTGTTAAAGTCTCCCATTATTATTGTGTGGGAGTCTAAGTCTCTTTGTAGGTCTCTAAGGACTTGCTTTATGAATCTGGGTGCTCCTGTATTGGGTGCATATATATTTAGGATAGTTAATTAGCTCTTCTTGTTGAATTGATCCCTTTACCATTATGTAATGGCCTTCTTTGTCTCTTTAGATCTTTGTTGCCTTAAAGTCTGTCTTATCAGAGACTAGGATTGCAACTCCTGCTTTTTTTTGCTTTCTATTTGCTTAGTAGATCTTCCTCCATCCCTTTATTTTGAGCCTATGTGTGTCTCTGCATGTGAGATGGATCTCCTGAATACAGCACACTGATGGGTCTTGACTATCTAATTTTCCAGTCTGTGACTTTTAATTGGGGCATTTAGCCCATTTACACTTAAGGTTAATATTGTTATGTGTGAATTTGATCTTGTCATTATAATGTTAGCTGGTAATTTTGCCCGTTAATTGATGCAGTTTCTTTATAGCATCGATGGTCTTTACAATTTGGCATGTTTTTGCAGTGGCTGGTACCAGTTGTTCCTTTCCATGTTTAGTGCTTCCTTCAGGAGCTCTTGTAAGGCAGGCCTGGTGGTGACAAAATCTCTCAGCATTTGCTTGTCTGTAAAGGATTTTATTTCTCCTTCACTTATGAAGCTTAGTTTGGCTGGAAATGAAATTCTGGGTTGGAAATTGTTTTCTTTAAGAATGTTGAATATTGGCCCCACTCTCTTCTGGCTTGTAGGGTTTTTGCTGAGAGATCTGCTGTTAGTCTGATGGGCTTCCCTTTGTGGTAACCCAACTTTTCTCTCTGGCTGCCTTTAACATTTTTTCCTTCATTTCAACCTTGATGAATCTGACAATTATTGGTCTTGGGGTTGCTCTTCTCGAGGAGTATCTCTGTGGTGTTCTCTGTATTTCCTGAATTTGAATGTTGGCCTGCCTTGCTAGGTTGGGGAAGTTCTCCTGTATAATATCCTGAAGAGTGTTTTCGAACTTGGTTCCATTCTCCTCGTCACTTTCAGGTACACCAATCAAACATAGATTTGGTCTTTTCACATAGTCCCATATTTCTTGTAGGCTTTGTTTGTTTCTTTTTACTCTTTTTTCTCTAATCTTATCTTCTTGCTTTATTTCATTAATTTGATCTTCAATCACTGATATCCTTTCTTCCACTTGATCGAATTGGCTATTGAAGGTTGTGCATGCATCACGAAGTTCTCGTGCCATGGTTTTCAGCTCCATCAGGTCATTTAATGTCTTCTCTATGCTGTTTATTCTAGTTAGCCATTCGTCTAACCTTTTTTCAAGGTTTTTAGCTTCCTTGCGATGGGTTAGAACATGCTTCGTTCGCTCAGAGAAGTCTGTTATGACTGACCTTCTGAAGCCTACTTCTGTCAACTCGTCAAAGTCATTCTCTGTCCAGTTTTTTTCCGTTGCTGGCGAGGAGCTCTGATCCTTTGGAGGAGAAGAGGTGCTCTAGTTTTTAGAATTTTCAGCTTTTCTGCTCTGGTTTCTCCCCATCTTTGTGGTTTTATCTACCTTTGGTCTTTGATGTTGGTGACCTACATATGGGGTTTTGGTGTGGATGTCCTTTTTGTTGATGTTGATGTTATTCCTTCCTGTTTATTAGTTTTCCTTCTAACAGTCAGGTCTCTCAGCTGCAGGTCTGTTGGAGTTTGCTGGAGGTCCACTCCAGACGCTGTTTGCCTGGGTATCACCAGCGGAGGCTGCAGAACAGCAAATATTGCTGCCTGATCCTTCCCCCGGAAGCTTCATCCCAGAGGGGCACCTGCCTGTATGAGGTGTCTGTCGGCCCCTACTGGGAGGTGTCTCTCTGTTAGGCTACACAGGGGTCAGGAACCCACTTGAGGAGGCAGTCTGTCTGTTCTCAGAGCTCAAACACCATGCTGGGAGAACCACTGCTCTCTTTGGAGCTCACCTGGAAATGCAGAAATCACCTGTCTTCTCCATCGATCACGCTGGGAGCTACAGACTGGAGCTGTTCCTATTTGGCCATCTTGGAATGGACCCCCCTATAAAAAAAAAAAAAAGGAAATGGATGTTTTTAATACATCTCTCTCAGTAAACCTAAGTAAAGATGTAAGAGATTTGAGAAACAAGACTAACAAACTTGAATTAATGGACATATGAAGAAGATTCCACCCCAAAATGTCAGAATATGTCCCTCTTCAAATACAAGTAAAACTAATATTGGCTGAGCATGGTGATGACGTCTGTAATTCCAGCACTTTGGGAGGCCAATGTGGGCGATCATTTGAGGCCAGGAGTTCGAGACCAGCCTGACCAACATGGCAAAACCCCGTCTCTACTAAAAATACAGAAATCAGCTGGGTGTGGTGGCACGTACCTGTAATCTCAGCTACTCAGGAGGCTGAGGCAGGAGAATCACTTGAGGGGGATAGAGGTTGCAGTGAGCTGAGACAGTGCGGCTGCACTCCAGGCTGGGTGACAGAACAAGACTCTATCTCAAAAATAAATAAATAAATAAATGAAAATAAAACTAATATTAAACATATGTTGAGACACAAATGCTCAACAAATTCAAATGAATAAAATAATATAATCCTTGACTGAGTAGAATTAAACTAGAAATACATTTTAGATGGTATTTAAAAAAAATATCTAAGTGTTCGGAAATTAGGCAATACACTTGTAAATACACTTGGGTGAAAGAAATAAATCACAATTGAAAGTAGAGAATATTTTGAACTGAATGATCATGAAATGACTACACTCTTGGTGTGCAATTGAAGTTGTGCTCGCTGGGAAACTGGTAGCTTTAAATTTATATTTTAAAAAAGAAAAGCATTGAGAAAGTAAATGATCTAAATACTTATTTTAAAAAGGTAAGAAAGAGCAAACTAAACGTCAAGAAAATGGAAGGAAGACATAAGGAGTAGCAATTAATGAATTAGAAAATGAATGTTCAATAGAGAAAACAACAAAATCAAAAGTTAGTTCTTTAAAAAGGCTAATAAGATTGATTGAACCTCTGACTAGACTTATCAAGAAAAAAATGTAAAGATACAAATTACAAATATCAGGAATAAAAATAATAAAAAGCAAACAAGTGCAGATCTTACAGACAGTAACAAAAAGGCATCAATAACTCCTTGCCAACAGCTGTAAACATTTAAACACAATGGATACATTCTTTTAAAAACTCATCATACAAAATGGACACAAGAAGAATTAGAAAATCTGAAGAGTCATAAATAATTTTAAAACTGATCCTTAATTGAAAAACTTCCTACAACAAAAGTATCAGGCTCAGATGGCTTCATCAGTGAATGTTTCCAAATATTTAAGGAAGAAGTAAGCCTATACAACAAACTCTTTCAGAGAATGACAAAAGGGGAAATAATTCTCTTCTCATTTTATAAGACCAGCATAACCTTGAAACCAAATCTGACAAGGACATTTCAAAAAAAGACAAGTACAGACTCTCTTATGAATATAGATGTTAAAGCCCTAAACAAATTATGACCATATCAAATGATATATAAGAAGTGATATATAAAAAGAATAATCTATTATGACCAAGCTGAGTTTATTCCAAGCATGCAAGTTTTGTTTAACATCATCTGGAATAGTGAAATATTGAGCACTTTCTCCCTGAGATTGGGAACAAGAAAATAATACCTACTACCATCATAACTTCTACCCAGCACAATCAGATCAGGAAAAGAAATAAAAGGTAGAATGACAGAGAAGAAAAATTACTTATTCATCACTTCATACCAGTCAGAATGGCTATTATTAAAATGTCAAAAAAAAAACATATTGGCAAGGGTGTGGAGGAAAGGGAATGCTTATACACTGCTGGTGGGAATATAAATTATTTCAGCCATTATGGAAAGCAATTTGGTGATTTCTCAAAGAACTTAAAACAGAAATACCATTCGACCCAGCAATCTCATTGTTGGGTATATCCCCAAAGGGATATTAACTTTTCTACCATAAAGACACATGCATGCGTATGTTCATTATAGCACTATTCACAATAGCAAAGGCATGGAATCAACCTAAATACTCATCAATGGTAGACTGAATAAAGAAAATGTGGTACATATACACCATGGAATACTATGAAGCCATAAAAAAGCATCAAATCATGTCTTTTCAGAAACATGGATGGAGCTGGAGGCTATTATCCTAAGTGAACTAACATAGGAACAGAAAACCAAATATCACATGTTATCACTTATATGTGGGAGCTAAAGATTGAGCACAAAGAAGGGAACAACAGACACTGGGGCCTACTTGAGGATGGAGGGTGGGAGGAGGGTGAGGATCGAAACACCTATTGGGTACTATGCTTATCACCTGGGCGACAAAATAATCTGTACATTGCCAAACCACCATGACACTCAATTTACCTACATAAAAAACCTGTACATATACCCCTTAACCTAAAACAGAAGTTGAAAAAAATAATTATTCACAGGCAACATGATTGTGTGTGTAGAAAATCCAAAAGGACCTCCCTATAAATGATTAGAATTAATTAGTAAATTTAGTAAGATAATTGGATACTAGGTCAATGCATGACAATAGTTCTATTTCTACTCATTAGAAATAAGCAATTAGAAAATTAAATTAAAAATTTATATCATTTACCACATTATCAAAAATATACCTGCAAATACCCAGAAACATATCTAATAAAAGATGTTCAAGACTCCACAAAAATCTACCAAGCATTACTAAGAGAAAGCGGGAATTTGCTCACTCTAGAGTGGAAGATGGGAAAGGAAGAATGGGGCTGGAATAGCTCTCAGACGTCCAAACACAGTGCCTAACAACACATCAATACTTGGCATTTACATTATTATGGCCATGTAAATGTCAACATACAGTACACTACAATTACATTTACTTTCTTTGTACAACTTTTCCTCATGGAGCTAGCATTTGCTTAGTTTTTTGCATACCTTTCACCAGATGGTCCTCCAAAGTCCTTAATGGCACTATACAATTCCCTCAATAAAGTCAGCTACATCAGGTAACCACTTTATCAGTCTCATTTTATTTTTTCCTATGACATACCTCCTGGACAGGTCTGCCCTGCTCCTGTCTGGACTGTGTTCATCCTGCTCACTGCACAGCTGTTCTCCAGACACATCCCATTACTATCCTCTTAGGAATTCCCTTTGTCTCTTCTTTGTGAAGGAGCTTCCTGGTTCCAAGCAGACCTCTTTCTTGGTCTCTGTCCCTCACTGGGTGGAGCACTCCACCAGAGAGATGGCTCATGAGAGGCAGATTTTCTCTGAGACCTTGAATGTTTCTAAATGTTCTTATTCTACTCTCACCCTTGATTGAGATTTTAACTGAGGATAAAACTGTAGGTAGGAAATTATTCTGCAGAATGTTGAAGGTATGTCACCACTGTTTCCTCACTTCCAGCATTGCTAGTGTGAAGTCATTCTGATTCCTCATCTGTTGCAAGTGACTTGCTTTATTTCTTCTCTGGAAGACCTGTTTGTCTCTAGTGATCTGAAATTCATAATCACAAGCCTTAGAGTGGGTCTGTTTTCATTCACTGCTCTGTGAGTGTCCCACAATCCTGGGAAATTCATTGAATTATGTCTTTAATAATTTAATCCTCAGCAGATTCTGGCGCAAGCTAGGCATGGTGACAGTGTTTGCTGTTGTTATGATTCTCTTTGTGGAGCTCCTGTAGGTCAGACATTTTCCTCAGGTCTGGGGATCTTTGGAAGTCTTCTCAAAGTCCTTTTTAATATTGAGATACAGGACAGGCACAATGGCTCATGCCTGTAATCCCAGCACTTTGGGAGGCCGAGGTGGGTGGAGTGCTTGAGCTCAGGAGTTCAAGACCAGCCTGGGCAACAAAGTGAGACACCATCTCTACAAAACAAACAAACAAAAACAACAAAAAAAACAAAAAAAATTGGTCGGGTGTGGTGGTACATGCCTGTAGTTCCAGCTACTTGGGAGGCTGAGGTGGGAAGGTGGCTTAAGCCTGGGAGGCAGAGGTTGCAGTGAGCTGAGATCATGCCACTACACTTTAGCTTGGGCAACAGAGCCAGAGCCAGACCCTGTCCCCCCAAAAAATAAAATAAAATAAAACCAGACTGAGATACTAAAATGCTCTATTAGCTATCTACGGCTGTGTAACAAATTACCCCCAGATTTAGCAGCTTCAAATAATAAGTTTTCTGTGACCTTACAATTTTTCAGGGTCAGGAATTTAGGAATGGCTAAAGTGGGTGGTTTTGGCTCTGGGTCTTTCATGAGGTTCCAGTCAAGAAGCTCACCAGGGCTGCAAAATCCTCACAGGAGCTGCTTCCAAGATAGCTCACTCACATGGCTGTTGGCAGGAGGACTCACTCAGTTCCTCAAAATGTGGGCCTCTCCAGAGGCTGCTCGAGCATCTTTACAACTAGCAGCTGGCTTTGCTGAGAGCAAGTGATCTGGAGAGAATAAGGAGGAGGCTATAATGCCTTTTATATCCTAGTTTTGAGTGTCACACACCATCATTTCTGCGACATTCTATTTGTCAGAAGAGAGTCACTAAGTATGGCCTGCACATAAAAGGATGGGAATTAGGCTCTTCCTTTTGAATGTAGGAGCACCAAAGAATTCATGGACATTTTTTCAAACAACCACAAATGCCATCTGCAAACTGGTGTGTGTGTGTGTGTGTGTGTGTGTGTGTGTGTGTGTGTGTGTGTATGGAGGAACTGACTGACTGGCTTCCCAAAGATGGGCAAATGGGGTGCTGGTCTTTTCACTGGGGTGGTGGTTACAGATGGTACCTGTAGGCCTTTTTTCTTAGGTTGATCTGTTTTCTCAGTGATACCCTCCAGTTTTTGCTTTGAGGACAAAAGTCAGCCAGCCAGGTTTGGGGAGTTAAATAACATCAGGGTTTGAGGTGGTCTCACCATTCAGTATGCAGATTGTATTTTTGAAAACAATTCATTAATTTTTTTAACTATTAATTTTCTTCATGTGGTTTCGTATGTTGATTTACAGCTCTCTCGAGTGGAAGGTTTTCTTTTTCTTTTCATCTGCTCTTTTGGCTCCCTTCCGTGTCTGAGTATATTGCAGTTGCTCCTACCTAGTCCCCGGAACCCTCAGACTAGAGCCAGGCTTTGTACTGGTGATTCCGGGCTCCCACTACATGGTTGTCCCATCATATAATAGACAACTCACTGAGCCCAGTGGGTGGATTGGCTCAGCTGCCCTAATTTAAGGCAGTTTTGTATAGGTAAGGCCTTAACATAGGTGTCCAGTAATGGACAGCTGCCTCATGGAGTGGAGAGCTCCTGGTCCCTGGAAGGATTCTAGGAAAGACTGGGTGATTGCGTCTTGGATATGGGATTTCTGCATTGAAATCAGTGATTGCCACAATTTTATGAGGGGCTTGAGACTTTTGGATTCCTTAGGGAACAATACATCAGTGTCATCCTCATTATGCTGATGATGACTGATGCATCGTGATGGTAGCCAATAATTACTGAGTACTTACTATGTGCCCGGGACTTTTCTAGTCATTGTACCATATGTTAGCTCATTTAATCCCCATAAGAAGTGTACACAGTAGGTGCTATGAGTATCCCTGTTTTACTGATGAGGAAACAAAAACAGGGAGGTTCAGTAACTTGCACAAATCAGCTGGGAGCTGGCAGAACTGGGGTTAGGAATCAGGCGGTCAGCTCCAGGTGTGTGCTCTTAGCTGGCACACTCTCCTACCTGCTGTCAAACAGGGGCTGAGCCACAGGCTTCCCCAGGCTCATGACTGCCAACGCTGAGGAGGAGGAGGGGTCCACAGGGCTTCTCCAAGTGAAATCAATGTGTATAGAGGAAAACTCGAGGCTTCAATCACACATTAATGGCTCCTGACCACACAAGACAGATTTCAGTCTAACAGGGGACCAGTGGCTAAGAGGCCATCTTTCCAGAGGAAGCCCATTCACTTCTTTTAAAGATAGACTTTAACACTCTTGTTGAGCTTTAAAAATGTCAAGTGAAGCTTTCACTGCCAGAGTGGATGCCCTCCCACAATCAGGTTAACGTGTTCTCTCCACTGTGTTGCTCCTGGGAGATGGAGAAGGGGATCTGATACTCATGAAATGAATGCCAAAAGGTTCATGGTACCCACACTTGCCCAGTCCCTAGGGTGGGGCTATCCCAAAGGGCATAGGAGGAGGGGACAGCCTTCAAGTGCTGCCAGTATCTTGGCTTCATTTAACTTTTTAAATAGAATAAAATGGTGGATGTTAATTTCCAGATCTCCTTGGTGTTCACATACATTCAAATACAAATATAAATATGAGCAAAGTGTTCACTAGGAAATCTGTAATCCCACCGTCATTTTGTTCTAAATAAACGCTTCCTCATTTTTCCTCACCACCATCCTTTACCCAGATGGGAGCTGCCAGGGGCTCCCCACTCCTAATATCTGCACTTCGTCAGTCATTCAGCCCAGCTGTTCTTGTGTACTCACAGTTGTGGCTGCCCCTCTGCCCTCATGCCACCAGCCTCTCCATAGCTGCCCCTGCCACCATAAAGGGGGACGTCACTGCCTTGGTCCCTGCACAGCCAGGGCGAAATGATGGCTGATTCGTTGTGTCACAGAGGCAGTCAGCCATTCCCCCTGATAGAAACAAAGCAATCTCGGCACATGCTCAGGGCGGGCGGATTCCCCCGAGAAGAACGGCACTCCTCCCATTGATTGGTTGCCCATGCACTGATTGTTTCCCAGAGGCAAACACCATGAGCACTCCCAGCCAGGTGGCAATTTTTCTCCTCTTGTAAATATACATTTCCCACAGGGGCAAAGGAGTACACTGCTGTGCATATGCTTTCCTAGTTGAGCAAAAGAAGGAAATGACTATTTAGGATGTTGTAACTCAACAGCTGTTTTGGTCAACAGCCATGTAAACAACCCAGAGATCTATCATTTTGTTTTTGAAATGACAAGGCAATGTTCACTTCAAAAATTTACTGATCACTTATTCTAAATGCAAGGCACTGTTTAATCATGGAGATAAAAGAGCAAACACACTCAGCCTAGGCTCCTTCTCCCTAGAGTTGATATGCCTGTGTGCATTTGTGTCCTCTGAGCTGGGTGGCATGCATGTTGCGTGGAATCCTCCTGGAGCTCAGGTGAGGTCAGGAGGCCCCCAGCACATCCTGGGACCTTTGGTTTGAAAGCTGACTGGTTGTCAGTCCATGGGCTAGCTTAATGGGAAGCCAGTGCTCCCCACTGGTCTGAATAGCCTCTGATATGGTTTGGCTGTGTCCCCAACCAAATGTCATCTTGAATTGTAGTTTCCATAATCTCCACGTGTCATGGGAGGGACCAAGTGGGAGGTAATTTAATCATGGGGGTGGTTACTCTCATGCTGTTCTCGTGATAGTGAGTGAGTTCTCACAAGATCTGATGATTTTATAAGGGGTGTTTCCCCCTTTTGCTCAGCACTTTTCCTTGCTGCCGCCATGAGAAGAAGTATGTGTTTTCTTCCCCTTCTGACATGATTGTTAAGTTTCCTGAGGCCTCCCCAGCCATGCTGAACTGTGAGTCAATTAAATCTTTTTCCTTTATAAATTACCCAGTCTCGGGTATGTCTTTATTAGCAGTGTGAGAACGGACTAAACAGTCTCCTTCATTATTTTGGTCTGAGCCCTGATTTAGCTACCTTTAAGCTGGGATTGGCAAATACATGGCACACCTCACCCTTCAATCCATTGTCTATGGATCACTAGCTAGTCATGACACTCTTTCCTAGTGAACCCAGTTGTGGCCTCAGAATCTGTCTAAACCCAGTACCCCTGGCAATGATGACTAAACATCTAGAGTGCTGGTTTAATTGGAGAGAGGGAATCTCTTGGTGGGCCCTGTCTAGGTGGCCTTCTCATTCTCAATCCTTCATGGCTTGGCTTTGCCACTGGATACACTGGATACCACTGGATACCACTTCGTGGTGCTTTGTCTTTTTTACACTTCATCCTGCAGGGGCTCCTCTTCAGAGGATCAGCCTTGAGGACAACTGTGCTCAAAGAAACCATGAGTTTGAGTGTTCCCTGGAGCATTACTTTCCAATATATCAACGGTCTTCAAGACAGCCCCACATACTCAGGCTTTGCTGTAGAAGATGTTAATGCCTTTAGATCCTAAATAGCTATATTTGCCATTTTGCAGCTCTTTCCCGAGAAAACAGGTTCTTCTGGGGCTTTAGAAGCTTTCCCGTGGAAAGGTTTGTTTGTTGGTCTCTGGGTGGGTGGGTGGGAATGGGATCAGCAGGTGCCCTCAGCTAAATTTTTATGTCACTCTGGGTTAAATAGAAGCATCAAGCTTAGGTTATATAATCTTCAAACAGGGCCATGGGGAAAATTTGGAGCGGGAACAAATCTAGATAAAGGAAAGAAAATTCCATTAAAACTGTTCACAGCCAAAGAATGCCTGACAACCCTCTGCTACCCACCTTTACAGGCAGGGTGGCCATCCTTCTCTAGTCAAGACCAAGTCCTACTTTCAGGACTTGTTCTATCTTCCAAGTAGTCAGTATGTGTCCTCTTTTAGATGCTGGACTTGGTAAAGGGCCTCTTCCTTTGAAGACCACTGTTAGCTGCATCCTCAGCCTCCTCCAGGGTGGTTACTTCACCCCACATTCCCAGCCCTCCCCAGGATGTGGCCCTCCTCTGAGAGAATCTTGGGTTCCCCTCCTCAATGTCCAGTATGTGGCATACAGAGTTGGGCAAAAACACAAGGGCTAGACCTGGTGAAATGGGAACATGCTTTGACAAATGCTCAGTGGATGGTTATGGACTGCTAGGCAGTAGTACTTTCCTGGCCCTGTCTTCCTAGTCTGTCTTAGTTTTCCCAGTGAAACACTTGCCAAGCGTTTACCAAACACCTACTGTGTGCCGAGGAGCAGAACCAAAGCATATATATTCAAGGAATTCACATCCTAGGGGCAGAACCTCCAAGTACTTCCTGAATCCCAGAATCTTGTAGAAGGTTCTGGGTTAACAGATGAGCAACAAAGTGTGACATGAACATGGAAGATAGGCAGATAATTCCCCATGGCTTGGGCAGTGGGAGGACTAGGAAGGTCTGACAGAGTGGTGGGCTGGCCTGATCCACAAAGGCCAGGCAGGGCTTCCTCAGGCAGGAAAAGACGTCCTGGCTAGAAAGGACAGCATGTATAAAGCACGCTGGTGGGAGGTACATGGACTGCCTGGTGTCACATGGTTGATGATTCTAAGGGGCTCTCAGGGAGAGTGATGGGAGACAAAGTGGAGAAAGCAGTGTGAGGCCAGAGTGGGGGTCTAGTCTCATCCCTGAGCAATGGGGAACCATTGGTCGGTTTTAAGTAAGAGTGCAGCATGGAGCGATCCTCTTGGCTGTTGTGTTGAGGCTTCCCTGGATGGCAGGGGCAAGAGGGAGAGAAGGAGAAATAAGAAAGAAGCTGCCTTTCATCAAATTAGTCCACAACACCTTGAAAGTGGGCCCTTGGAGTACATATTTCTCCTATGTAGAGGCCGCTGTCCCTTCCACAAACCATCTTGTGAAGACTTTTCAGTGATTGCTGGATCCCAGATGGCTTTGGGTATGCTGACTGCACACACAGAACCCTCACCCAGTCTTTCCTGAACCCTCCATAGCATAGGCAAGTTAACTTGTGTGTGCTGCACAGGTCTCCCTTCTGGAAGAAGTTGCTGATTCTCTGCAAGGAGTGCAGGTCGCGGAGAGACTCCAGGTGTTAGCACCTTCAAGGTCTGCCTGAGCTTTTGAACTGAGGCCAAGCTCTTGCCAGGCAGCCCCAGCAAGTGGCTGAGCATGATGGTTTCTCTAGGGCCTGGCCATTTCTGTACAGCTCCAGACTCTTCTAATACAAATCTTTGTTTTGGAACTTCCTGTTGGGTTGGCTGGGACTTGGTCAGACTTGCACCATTGTCTGAGCTTCTCTCTGACTCATCCTGCTTCCCCCCTCCCTTTTAACTTCCACAGGTATTGCCTCCAGCACACTGTTTACATTCCTACTGTGTCTCAGCATCTGTTCTCCTGGGAATAGAACTGGTCCACCTGAACATATGATCTGTGCTGCTGTTGGTGCAGGAGGACAGGAGGGAAATAAGCTGGAAGCCATGGATGTGGAGAGTCTGGCTTCAAGATGGAGCTTGTTTACCTGCAGGTAGGGCTCCACCTCTGCACCCCATTGAGTCCCCCGCCTGGCTGTGGTACGAAGAGCCACCCTGCATACCCTCACCCAGTAGTGAAGTAGGCCGAGGCAGCCAGTGTGGGGTCCAGCGAGTGACATGCATCATCGAAGGTGCTTATTATTTTGATGAAACACAATACATTTCTTTCAGCCCGTAAAATCAAAGGTGTGCAAAAAGGCTGTTTTCAGGGTGTAAAACACCCCTCGTTTCCCTGTGGTGGTGCATAACTATTATGCCTCTGGGGCCTTTGTGCATTTTTCGGGCATGAGTGACACGAGGCTGACTGGGTGGCCTTGGCACCTTGTCTCTTTAGAGAAAAAGGAGACAGTGCTTCTTTCCGATTCCCTATAAAAACCAGTTTTTTGTTGAAGACCTGCCTTTCCCGCTAGTGCCTAATACCAATTATGTCTTTCCAGAGATGGTGAGATTGTTCTGAAAGGATTTCTTGGAAACCTTGTCTTAACAACCCTATCGTCCTAGTGTGATAAGAATATATGAATGGGAGGCCATTGTGGACAGTAATAGGGCCGGGAGGCTTCATCTCCCCATGGAAAGTATAAGACACAAACAGTATAGCTGAGATCATGAGGACCTGGTTTGTAGCAGGTCGTGGGAAAGGAGAGAAGGTGGAGTTGGGAGAGCAGGTGGGAGGTGAGACACATCCAGAAGGGACTGGGTTTCATCACCAGTGACTGCCATGAGTCTAACTTAGTTATCTGGTTGGATAGGGATGCATTTACTGAACTGGGGACCCAGGAGGAGTTGGGAGTAATTTGAGGGAGAGAAGTAACTCCAGTTTAGCATCTTTTGACTCGGAGATGCCTGTGGGACACCCCAAAGAGGACATCCCCGTTAACTTTCAGTTTCCTTTAGTTCTGCTTGCAAAATCAGACAGAACCAGCATCCTGTCAGAGGCTGTTCTTCCCCTTTGGTCCCTCTGCTGGGCTTTCTCCAGCCCCTTGCCCTCAGGCAAGAGAGGAGCCAGCAGTGCAGTCTGCCAGGGGCTCCAGGGGCAGGCTCTTAACACAGCAGGGCCCTTCAGATGTTCCACAGCAGGGCCCTTCAGATGTTCTGTAACTGACAACCCCAGGCCCACTGCCTGCCAGCATCTGTTCACAGAGACACGGCATCACAAACTCTCCGGACTGGAAGGGACATTGGAGGTCATCCACTCCAGCTTTGGGGATGGCATTTTCAGACTGTTCTAATAACTCAAGAGCTACTCCTTCTTTTGTGTGGAAGACTGTTTCTTCTGACTTCCTCTTAATATGCTGCCGGGTCTCCTTCCTAAGGAGAAGCATGCTGGGCCTCGTTTTTGTGGATCTAGCAGCGAGAGACATGACGAAGCCAGATTTGGGAACACAAGTTCTTTTTGTCCTTCACACTACAGCTACGAGAATGGTCTCCATGGTTACAGCAGCTTCTCAGAAATGTCTGGATTTTTCATTTTCTGTATTTCTCTAAATGTCTAGTTTATGAATAATCTGCTTAGGTGACCGGCTGGAAAGTTTCTGCATGTATATGAATATCAAGAAGTACATATTTATATACATTCAAAAGAAAAGTAGGCTGATAGGCATTTTTGGTAATTTTTTTTCTCCCACTGTAAAAATAAATTAGGATTGACTTTAAAATTTTCAAGTTAAACAAGATTCAATGAAAGAAACAGTGCCTTCGTGTTCTTCAAAGGCATGTGAACCATAGAGTGGCTGGAGCTAACCTGATTATGTTTTCTTTAATGTGAAATAGCTATTTGCCTGACATTCCATTCGCATCTCACCGTCGCATTCAACTGGCTGGGACATTGATTTTTTTCTAGGGCTTCCTTTGAACATGAAAGCATTTTTCCTGTTTCTCTCCATTTCCCACCTTGTGAGATACATGATAAGAATGAATCGATAATTACATTGTTGGATAAAAATGAATATAAATTTTATTGAAAAACAACACCAGCAACAACATGGAGAAAGCATACTCAACAGCCACCGGCCCACACAACTCAATGCACACATTATGAGAAGTAATCACCTCTTTCAATTGCCGACTACTTACTCCAAATGAAAAGAAATTATAGACCTAAGATAAACTGAGGCGGGCAATAGAGGCACACCATCTTCGAAAATTTTGCCAATAGCAAATGATGTAGTGATGCTGTTAACCCTCTGTTTGCTGCAGGCAGACCAGGATATCTCAGGAATTAATTGGTTTGGAGAGGAGAAAACCCACTCCTTCTAGTGAACATGGCATCTAAAACCTCAGACCACTGGGAAAACTTTTCTCCTTTTCAAGTCCTTTGAGAAGAGGATTTCACAAACTTTCTTGGCAACTTGTCCCTCCTGCTTAACAACAGGAAATAGTTCTTTATGTCTAGCCGAAATCCTTCATGCTTCAGTTAGTCTATTTATTTACTTTTAATCTTAGCAGGCAGTGAGGAGGCTGTCCTGGTAGGACAATGTAACATATGGGGAACTCACAATGATCATAATCAGATTGAAAATGGAGTCCAGCTGAGCTATGGCACTTCTGAAACAAGCTGGAAAGAAGTGTACTGAAGTTGTGGTTGTAGTGCCTCTGCCCACCACTCCTCCACCCTCGGTTCCCTTCTGCCCTGTGGCCTGGGGGCTGCCATCCTGAGAATTGCAAGCAGATACTTTCTGAGTTTGATCGGTTCCAATCCTTCAATGGTATAGTAATGAGTGTAGTCACAGCTGTTCCATCCAGTCCTATGTCAAGTGCTTCTGTTTCAAGAAGTTATTTCCAGGCAAAACAGTCCCATCACATCCCTTGTCTTTTCAACACACCAGGTTGTCCCCCAGGATGCCCTCACAGCTTGTGCGTGACAAAGATGTCCTCCGTGTACACATAAGGTAGCGCTGAGAAGCCACGAGAAAGCACCTAGTGATTTTAACATAAACATTTCCACAGCATTTTCAAGTTCTGCGAAAAAGCCCGGTGATAGATCAGCCTCGCGGTGTGCAGCGCCGGCAGCTCCGCACTTCGGACACCTGGGGGCGCCCGTGCCATTCCGCCGGCGACTGGGACTCGTCGCCCGGGAAACAAAGATGGGGATTTAAAGAAAAGCCTTCAAAATGCAACTCCGAATGTCTACCCTGAGCAGCATGCGTGTAAAAATTCATGAAGATTAGATTTCATTTCATGTATTTTTACTTCAGTGGAAAGAAATGCAGGTGATTTTCTGACTGCGCCTACAGCTGTCTTTACAAAGGGGGTGCCTAGTTAAACGAGAGGGAGGGGCTTGCTGATGCCCTGCGGTGCTTTGAGGGGCGGGGCCTCCCTCTCTGGTGCTGGGGACAGCTCCTATTTTGCTGGGTGGCATTCTCTGCAATGCTCCAGGATGTATTGATTAATTATATTGCATATCGAAAAGGTATGGGGGTCTCCAGCAGGACTAAGCGAGGCAGCCAGCGCGGGGTCCAGTGAGTGACATGCGTCATCGAAGGCACTTATTGTTTTGATGAAACAAACACATTTCTTTAAGCCCATAAAATCAGAAGTGTGCAAGACGGCTGTTTTCAGGGTGTAAAACTCCCTTTGTTTCCCTGTGGTGGTGCATAGCTGTTATGCCTCCGGGGCCTTTGTGCATTTTTCAGGTGTGAGTGACACGAGGCTGGCTGGGTGGCCTCGGTGGCAGAGACTGCGGAGGGCGCAGGACCTGCCCAGGACAGTTCAGCCCCCCAGGGGAGACACCCCTTTTGCTCGAGGCCGCCGGCCTGTTGGATGATGGGCACCCTTGTGAGCTGGTTCTGGGCTAGGCCACCGTGCTGGGTGGCAGTGGGGACTTTTAGGGGAGGGATCCCGGGGGATAATGAACAGAAGTGTCTGGAGCCTGGATCTTCAGTCAGGCCTGGGCAGGGAAGGCTGCTGCTGCCTGGCAGTTTCCTCACCCTGTACTCTGGATGGCAGGGGCCGGGCCCCCTTGGTTCACCTCTGTAGCCCAAGCATCTGGTACTTCTGTGAGCATTTGTTGGATACAGGGATGTGAGGGTGAGTGCCACGGAGGAAGCTATGAGGGTCCCAGCTGGCCCTGGCTGTGGTTGAGCCTGGAGGCCTGTGGAGGGGCTGTGGGGAGAGGTGCCAGGCAGTGCTGGCTCTCAGGGGTTGGGGGGCACTGAGACAGCCAGGGGCCACGGAGCTGGAGAAGCCGGGAGTTCAGCAGGGAGCATGTCTGTGTGCCAGGATGGTTCTGCAGTGGCCATGTGGGGCCTCTCTCGCCTTTCCCTCTTATCTGCCCTCGCTGAAGTCAGCCTTTCCTCCGTTGCCATGGCAACGGCAGCCTGAGGCGCTGCTGAGGGCCAGCTGGGCAGCTGAGGCCTCTCAGTCTGTGCCTGAGCAAGCAAGGAGCCCTGAGCTGTCCCCATGCAAGGTGAGACTGGAGGGGGCTGTCTTCTCAGAGAAGGGAGGAAAGGAGACGGGATAGGATGTTTTCTCCGAGACAGGCACAAAAGCTGCTCTCGTGCAGCTGGAATTCTTCCCAGCCCTGGCTTTGCTGGTAGAGACACTGGGGGCAGGCAGAGCCCTGTTAAAGTGTGAGTCTCCTCGGCATTGCCGCACTGCACTACTCACCTGATCTGCGCCCAGGTCCTTATTCAGGGCTATCCACAAGACTCCCCAAGGGCCTGGCCAGCCTCTGGAGGCTCTCTGTGGAGGTGGGGCAGGGGCCTGAGGCCCAGGCTCTGTGAGGGCCTGGAGGGCACTCCAGGCCTTAGACTGAACTACCTGCCCTGTGTACTCCTCTCAGAGCAGAGCTGGAGGTCTTACACCCTCAGACCAAGGCTGCAGCTCTGCCGACAGTGTCCCTCCCACCTGCACAGCCACAGCGGGCATGGGCTGCTCTTTGCTTTGCAGTCTCCTCACAACTTTCTGGTTGTCACATTCCTGACTATACTTAGGGATGTTGGAGACGATCAGCTTCCAGCCAGTTGTGGGTCAGCTGGCTTCCTCACCACACCCTTTTTCTTGGGCTCTTGAAGAACAAGAAGTAGCTAATGAAGAGGCAGCAGGATGCAGAAGATGATCAGGTCTGGGAGGAGAAGATAGTCCAAGATTCCCTGGGGGCTCGGAGCTGTCGAGAGGCACGGTGATATTGCTTGAAAGGGGCTCTGTGATTCAAGGACAACCCAGCCTTGCAAATCATGTCCCCTTGGGCATGGAAGAGAATTCTCTAAGCATCATGTGAAAAGCTGTCAACCTGGGCAATATCCCTGCTTTCCCTCATCAACCCTACAGCAACAACAACAGCAGCAGCACTAATACGAGAAGGGGCATCTGGATGCAGGTGTACAGTTTACAATACCTTAGATTTACATAGCACCTTTTCCTTCTAAAGAGCCACTGCCTCTGCCCCCTCAGTCACAGCCACACCTGAGTGAAGCCTTCAGAACACAAAGATCACAGCTCCTGTGGCAGAGGTGGGACACTGAGGCAGAGGCCTAGAAGGGATTTCATGCAGACTCAGTGGTGTCCAGGGCTCCCTGCACTTCCTTCGAGCCCTCCCTGGGGAGGTCTGGCCTTGGCCCTTTGGGAGGGTAAGACCGGGGCACAGCCCTCACTGGGCATTCACTTTGTATTTCAGGATGTAGGAGTAGAAATTGTGGTTGGCATTCTCCAGCACCATGACATAGACTTCCTGGCAGCCAGCTGTGCTGCAGCTTCCCTCCCAGTAGCCCTCGTGGTTCAGGGTCAGGGGCCATGTGTCCTGCCCCTTCACCAGGACTTTGGCAATACCATGCAGCTTCAATTTGAATGGGACATTCCGGTTGGCAGGAAGCACACCTGACAGAGGTTCCAGCAGCTCATTGTCCTGTCCCCAGTTGCCAAAGCTCTCAGGGAACATGGGCCAGTTCACCTTGGTGTTGGCACAGCATACAAGGTAATTAAAGACGAAGATGTAGTTTCCTGGTTCCTGCCTCTTCTTGACAAAGATCTTGAGGGCAAACTTGCCTGCATGGGGCAGCTGGACTTTCAGCTCGGTCTGCTTCTCCCGGTGCAGCTGGAAGATGTAGCGCCGCTGTGTCTCCTCAGTGATGGGGCCATCATCCCCGTGGAGGGAAGCCAGGACATTAATGCCCTCCTCCACGCTGAAGCTGATGGAGCAGCGCCCGTCGCTGGTGTGGATGATAGGGTCAGGGTGGGAGGGCTTCATGATGCCCATCTGCTCCGAGAACCAGCTGGGGCCCACGGGCTGGTGAAGCTCAGCAGGCAGCTGGACACCCATGTCCACATAATTGCACTTGAGCGTGTACTCCAGCACTGAGCTGTAGATGTCGGAGTTGCCCTTGGCAAAGATCTGCAGCTTGTGAGTGCCCATGGTTGGAGGGTACACCTCCAACTTCATCCCATTCTTCCTTAGGCTCAGCAGCCCATGCTCTTGCTTGCCATTGAGCATGAACATGAACAGCGTCGGGGCGCAGCTCTCAATGGTGACCGTGGCCTTCCCATTCACTGAGGAGAGAAAGTCAGGGTCAGCAGAGATGGGTCCAGCACGTGCTGATGTGCTGGTAAATGTTTAACAACTGTCTCCCTGGGAGAAAAACGTCCTGACTTATAGAGCTTGTCTATTTCCACGGTGTTAATACTTTCACCACAGTCCATTTCAAGCAACCAATATGACTTCACTGAGCATGGCATCAGCCAGCGGCAGCACACCGCTGGAAGGGTTCCCTGCTCCCTTCAGGTGGTTTTCTTTGAGAGAAATGAAAGCTAAGGGGCCTCTAGAAAAATTTATCCCAAGCTGTATGTGTGCATCCTGCCCAATTGATTCACATTAGATGAAGGTTGCCTGTGTCCAGAGAGGGTCATGGGTCAGGAGGGGCACCATCTCCCCCAAGTCTCAGGTCTAGCTTGCACCTTGCTCCCTGTAGCATCTGTCTAAGTGTCAATGCTGTCATGTCAACGCATTGTCCTTAAAACTAGTGAGAATGGCTTCACTCCCTGAGACTGTGCATAGGAGGTTGGGGTGGGGCAGTTCCCTGATCCCCACCTCCCCCACCCCATGCTTCTCACATAGGTGTATCTTAGCCATGTTTCAGGAATGGGTCCTGAAGAGTCAGTGTGTGCACAGGAGGGTCTTTTGCAACCCCCACACTGCCACCCCCCATCTCTCCCCTTGCTCTGAAGTTTCATCTTCGTCTGTCCTGGTCATTGATTTTGAGGGACAGGTGGTCAGTTCTCCAGTCTTTGTAGCCCATGAGGACCCACCTGCCTGGTCCCTCCTGGCTTCCAGGGCCACAGGGAGGGACCGTGGCTTCTCTTAGAGCCTGGTCTTAATTCTCTCAGAAGCTGGTCATCTGCTCCCAGCCCCAGCAACCTCCCCAGCCCCGTTCACAGTTGAGTGCAAAGGAAGGAGAGAGGCTGTCTGATCCATGTCCCTAGGAACTTTCCCCTAGCTTGGACTCTTGGTAGGGGAGGCAGAACACTGTGCCTGGGCTCTAGGACAAAGGCCTTAATAGACTTCTCATTGAATCTGCATTCCATGCCAACTCCCACCTCAGGAATGGGAGAAGACCACATGGGCCAGCATGATGGGGAGGCTGCTTAGACAGCCCCTCTACCTTCTTCGTGGCTGTCCCAGCTCAAAAGCTGTCCCAACCCTGTCACATACTGCCCACTCCGCACCTGCCCTACACTCCCACACATCCCCCCACTGCCTCCATTTCCCCTCTGCCGGTCAGCTCTCTGGCACTGCAGTGACTTCCCTCTGCCCCCACCCTCCAGTGACTTCCTAATAACGAGGCCTCTCAGACCTTGGAGGACCTAGGCTGCTGGCCTCCACGCCTTCCTCTGAGTACTCTCCCCTCTTTGCGACCCCCACTCTTTGAGGACTGGCCCTCATCCCACTCTCTGAGCACTGCTTAACTCCAATGCCATTGCTTCCCCTTCTGTTACACTGAAATTGTGTGACTCTTGGTGCTTTCATGCTATTTTATTTGTCTACATGCTTTCTCTACTGCCTTCAGCCACTGCATGCCACATCTGTCCCATGGTAACCTCCAAAGGAAAGTGACCAAGATCAATAGAGTTGCTATCCCCTCTTGGTGAAAACCCTCCTCTCCCCTCACTTCTGAACCAGCTCAGTGGGCAGAAGCTACCTCAGCTCCTCACTGCTCACGGCCCCTGGTCCTGTTCCATCTCACAACTGGCTGTGAGTCTTTTCTGCACAGTGAAGCCCAGATCCCCCTGAGATTCACCTTTGATTGTGGAGCACCACCCAGCACCCCACACAGCAGCCCCAGGGCTCCTTTGAAAACGTCCACCTGGCTACTCCTGGGCTCACGGCAGAGCCCTCAAGCTGGAGACCCGTGGAGAAGCCTGTCTCTTCCTGCCTCGCCAGTATCAAGCACTCTCTCAGATCCTCCAAGGCCACAACCCTTCATGCCTCAGGTTCCTCCTACCCTCTCCTCCCTCCCCACCACTTCCCCCAAACCTGGATAAGGCTTCATGGTAATGTCCCCGTGGCAAAGCAGCCCACCCGGACCCCTCAGCTGAGGCTGAGTTCCCTGGCAGCTTCTCTCCTAGCCCTGGCTGTCCTTCAGGGAACGTTCCACTGCTGTAATTCATCATGTGATCATTTTTGTGTAGTGTCCGAACTCCTTGCTGGCCTGTGGGCTCTGTGGTGAAGGGGCTAGCCTGTTTCATTTCCTGCCACGTCTTAGTGCCTGGTTGTGGTGCCTCACCCAGAGGGTTCTTGCCAAAGGTGTGTTGAATGACTGGGAAGACTTGAAATAAAGGACTAGCCACCCCTGCAGACCTCTATGGGAGTCCACGGCTCTTCCAGTCCCCTCTTCCTCCTCCTCCTCCCCTCTCCCCTCCACGGCACTCTCCTAGAGCCTGGCAGCTTTCCAGCCCCTTATCTAGGTGCCCTCTTCCTTCCCTTCCTTTCTGCTCATCTCAGTTTCCCTATTTTGTTTCCTTCCCCTCCCCTCTCTTAACAGAACTAGCTACCACAAAGAAATACTCTGTACATAAGTATCAGATATATGGAATCATATTTAGGTTTAGATTTCTATAAATTAAGGAATCTGGTGTTTATATTTTTATGTCTCTTAAAAAGGCAAACTCCACTCAATGACATCAGTTTGGTGTTGCTTTGACCTGGTCAGTTCTTTCCGATATTTCCACGGCCTATGATACATTGAACAAGCCCTGCATCTGTTGTAAGCACAGGAAATGGATTCTCAAATTGAGCAACTTCACGCTGTTATTTTAGCTGCAGGAGCTGCCAGGTATTTGGAGTTGGAAGAGTTTGCAAGAGCTCAGCAACTTGGCAAAGGAAGTCATTGTGTGGTGGAAGGGACAAGTCAGTTGGAACTAACTTGGGGACACCTGTGCTCCCCGCTGCCCCATTGCCCTGCAATGTGGGTTGGAGCTCCCCAGGGGCTCTGGGCCCACCCACAGGCACCCTGTGCTAATAGTCAGTGTGAGCTCAGACCTCCTGTCCTGGGCGGATGGAGGCCCCAGTGGCAGAGACGGTGCCACCAGGCAGTCCTTTGCTGAGGTGTGGGAGGCTGGACTGACCCGACTTACAGGGCTGTGCAGCGTGCCCAGGCTGTGTGCCCAGCACTGGATCAGGTGCCAAGGCCTTGGAGAGGCATAAGAGACAATCTTCCAGAGAAGGCCCTGCTTTTTTGTGACCAGTTCTGGCCCTCCAGGGCAGCCCCCGTATGCCTCAGAGTGTGCAAACATACTCAGCTGCCATGGCTCCGTGGTGAAGGTTGGGAGAGCACATGTCAGCCCAGGCCAGCCATGGGAGATGGCTAAGCTGGGTATCCTATACTGCCCCAGGGGAGTGGGCTGGAAACGGCTGGGTCCCGCCTCCAGAAGGGAGGGGTACTGAGCCAGCCAGGCAGAGGTGCTGGAGCTTGGCCCTCATCCAGGGGTGCCTGAGTTTGGAGGCTGGGGGCTTACTGTGTCCCCGCCTCTCCTCTGCTGCCTAGAACATGTCCATCTCTGTCTAGCTACTAGGCCTGTTCTCCTCTCCCAAGACCCAGCTCAGTGGCCACCTCCCTAAGGAAGTCTGCCCCAACTCTCTGTCTTGGGTGGGACTGCCCCCACCTGTCCTGGGAGACCCATGTTGCTCCCCATCCTTGCTGGTTGGACCACCAACACCCAGATTCCAGCTCTGCTGAGGCCATGTATTCTCTCCAGCAGGAGTTGGGGAAGAGAACACAGCAGGCCAGTAGCTTCTGTTGGGGACCTGAGCCCAGAGGCTATGTGTAGCCAGGGTGACGTAGTCCTTTTCCCTGCTATGTGAACTGAGAGAGACTCACCCAGCTAGGAAGTGCCCAGCCCTGGCTTCTGTGACATGCCAGGCTGTGTGTTCAGCCTTCAAGTTCTAGGAAACCTGCAGCCTTCAGACACATCCCTTTCTGGGTTTATGCTAGTGTGAGTGAGCTTTTGTCCCTGCTGATGTGGCCTATGGCCCTTCCCTGCCCTGATGGCCTGGGCTGCCTCAGCAGCCTCCACTCATCCACATGCACACACAAGCTTTGTGCTAAGCTCACAAGCCATGCGTCTGGAAGGGCATGCCTTGAAAGCGCAGTCTCAGGCGGGCTCCTGGAGGACAGTGCGAAATGCTCCATTCCTGCTGCTAGCACACTGGCACCTGCTCCGGGCTCACCTGTTCTGATCATGGAAGTCTCTGGGTGGGCACTCAGCATCCCTTTGTTGTAGAATTCACTCTTGTGATACATGTTGTTCTCAAACTGCCTCAGAGATTGAGGAGGTTTTAGCAGCTGCCAGTTCTTGTTGTCTGGGAAGTGGTCCTCGATGAACAGTGCAGGGTGGGTGAGGAAGTAGAACTCATTGTAGCTGGAGCAGAGACAAGCTGGTTAGCAGCCAGCTCCATGCAGGGGAGGCAGGGGCCCAATACACCCACCGGAGTGGTCCTATGGACACCCTGGATGGGAAGAGGCACCATCTCCGACCCTAACATGGGCACTGGAGACTCCTCCTCAGTGGATGCTTCCAGAAATTGTAGTCAAGGCAGGGTCTGAGGTCCCTTCTAAGGGAAGGCCACAGCCTGCAACTGTGGTCTGCACTCAGTGCCCTAGGCTGTCGAGGGGAAAACTGACTGCCTCATGCTCAAAGACAATCAGAAGTTCAAAGGGGGGAAAGGCATAGCCTGTGGACCACGCAGTGGGGTCGTGGGAAGGCAGGGAGACAGAGTGCTTGAATTCACTGCCTCCATCTACCCCAACCTGTTTCTGTGCTGTGCAGCTGTGCTGGCGGGGACCTTTTGTGGCTCTCCAGGGCCGACTGGAGTGCTGCCTCTCTGGATGTCAGTAATGGGGATCAAGAGAAGAACAGAGAGGCCCTTCCTGAGATGGGGGTGGCTTTGCTCTGCCTAAGAGGAGCAGTGTTGAGAATAACAGAGGTAAAGAGGGTATCTGTGAGTACGCGAGCCCTGCGTGTAGGATGTGTGTGCACATGGCTTGTATTTGTCCCATGTGTGGGAGTGTCAAGATTTAAGGTGCAAAAATCGAGAGAGCACACTCATGTTTCTGAATAAAAAGGAATCTGAGCTGCTGATAACATCATGATCCATGAAGAATATTGTATGTAGCCTCAGGTTAAGGCCAGGATTGGCCAGAGCCCCAGAGGACAGAAATGCTCCAGTCCTCTGCACCCCGGCTGCCCTGCCCCACTGTGCCTCACAGTGACCCTGCACCGCCAATAGCACCCCTTCCCCAAAAACCACAGCCCTTTCCTCAGAAATGTGATACGGTCTCACTCAGACCTGAGAGGAGAAGGAGCCTGGTGTCTGGGCAAAGCAGTAAGAGATCATTCTGGCATTTGTGCCTGGTAATGTGGTCAATGGCCAAAGTCTGGAAGGGAACCTGCCAACAACTAAAGAAGGCTATTAGCCCACCTTTCCTCATGTGTGGTCTGGGGGCAAATGCTGCAGGCTTTCAGTGCTTTGGTGGAGGGAGTTATAGGGAGTCAGAGTGGGGAGTTTGTCAGTGGAGGGTGAGGTGACAAAAGGGTCTGGGCCCTCACAATTGGCCTGGAGCCAGCCCACTTCAGAGCCGAGGAGGAGTGGGCATGGGGCCTCCTGGCTCTCCTTCCCCTCCCGCTTGGTCTTCTCCACCTGCTGCTTCATGCTGCCTGGCACATCCTCCACTTCCACCTGCCAGACGCCCAGCAGAACTGAGACAAGTACTTACAGGAAGGTGAATTTGGAGGTGATGGTGTCCACCAGGCCGCTGCCCCAGGTGCTGTCCACCAGGTGCCATCTTCCCTCCAGGTACACAGCATTCCAGGCATGGTCAAACTCCCCCGAGAAGCTCTGCCCTGTCTGGTAGCCGAAACCCTTGGAGTAGCCAGGCACGGTCATACACTGCACTCCGGCGAGCCTGGGGGCAGGACAGGGGGTCTGAGAGGGGGATCCCGCTGTGGCTTGCCTCCAAGTCTGTCCATGGTCTCAGGTTTCAGGCATGTTTGCTGCCCATCAGTCCTCCCTGTCTATCCTTTTCCTTGCTTCTTGTACTCACATATAAACAGCCTTGATGGCTTTTATCTCGGGGCACTGGGGACAGGGAGATACAGTGCTGGCTGGTCCTGTTGGTACAGACTGGCTGCAGTCTCCGCTGTCTGCTCCTCCCCTGAGACCAACACCATTCAGATCACTTCTGAAATGTTCATCCCTAGAGCCTGCTTGACACGCTCCTCAAGCAGCTCTTCAGGAGGAAAAAATGGGGGCAAGCGTGAGGCTGGCTTCAAGAAAATAGGAGCAGGGGAAATGACAATGTTCCTGCAACAAAACCTACATGTAAGGGGCGAGCACAGCTGCTGGGAGAACCAGGGCGCTTCTGGACATGCGACTGAAGAGATGGGTCTCGTGACATGGGTGAGGTGTTGTGGGGTTGCTGGTTGTGAGGGTACAGAAGCCAAGCCCTACCCCCCTGCTATTCCTCCCAAGGATGCCTGCAGGGGAACCCCGGGGCAGGCGGTGGATGTCTCCAGCCCTGGCCCAGGGAGGACTGGCCAGCTGCCAGTTTGCTCAGGTCTGACTGGTGGGTCTGTCCTTTGTGAACATGGTGCAAGAGCCATCATGGTGCATTAAGGTCATTTGCTGACTGCCTGCCCTGGCCACAATTCTGGAGTCTCCTGTGGCTGTCCTGAGGGGAATGGAAATGCCGACCAGTCAACCTGAGCTTTGGGGTCCTTTTGACATTGTGCTCCTTCACTGCTCATAGTAGAGCTGGCACTGCTTTCTGGGAACCTGGATGGGAAGATGGGCATGGGTCACCTCTGGGGAAGATATAAAATGAGACATTTGGAGCTAAAACCCTGAGGCCCAGGCCTGGGCTGTGGGCACCAGTCCAAGGCCAAAGCAAGACCCCTGGGTGTCCTTTCATGGCCAGCTGGTCTTGCTCCTCAGCAGCCCTGCTCCCCTGAGGACAGCCAAGGGGATGGACTGTGCAGACAATTTCACTGCTAGTCTGACCTAGGGACATCCCATGCTAGCCCTCCTAGGGCCTTTGTGTAAATTAGAAAAGGTTCCCCTTCCTCAAGACATTTTCCTTGCACTCATGGAAAATTGGTGTAATAGATACACAACCTGTGAAACCGAGGATGTGCTTGATGCCCCTTTGATGGGGCTCCTTTGAGTACCACACAAGCTGCTCAGTCCCCAACTCAGTGGTGACCCTGTGCTGTACTCAGCTGAGCTGAGTCTGCAGTCCAGGGTGTTGGTGGGGTCTGTTTCAGTGAGATGGGCCCATGGGGCTGGGCCCTTCCACAGACCAGGGCTGCAGCCTCAGTTGCTCTAAACAAGAGGGCCACGGAGCCTCCCAGGGGAATGGGGTGAAATGGCCATGCATCTACTATAGGAATTGGGGGAATCTTCCTTGTAAAAATGAACATGTAATTTAAAATTAGCAAAATATTGGATTAAATATTACTAATACATATCACTTGCTGAGAGAGTCATTGGGATCAAATGTGATGTCCTGAGGGTTAACAGATTCTACTTTCCCAGCCATCAGTGTTTCTTCACATGCATGCAATGATGAGGTGTTACCATGTCTGCCTTAACCTCTGCTCACCTGTGGAAAGTCCGGGCCACTAGTGCTGAGGTTCCTTAGGGGCTTGGAAGTTTTCTAGCCCCCGCCCTTTTGCCTGTTGCTTCACAAAAGGAGGTTCAGGCCTCCTAAGCCCTCTAAGGAATCCCATAAGAACATACCAGCTTGGCTCTGTGGGATGGCTTCTGGGAGCACTTGAGGGCATGGGGACAGACTGCAAGAGAAACTAGATCCCAGTGTTGTGATTTTCTGCTGGCAAAGGCCATAAGCCACTCCAGGGCAGAAGGAGGCAGTAGCTGAGGAGACCGTGGAAGGAAGGGGAGAAGGGGCAGCCTGCATACCTGGAGTGCTCTCTCCTCATTTCTCTGCAGTGCAGAGAGCAGAAGGTGGTGGGGAGTGCTGAGGGGATGCAAGGCTGAGGGGGTTGTTCTCAGGATGAGGAAGTCTGGATGTGTTTATAGTCTGAGAGGAAACAGCTAGCAGAGAAGGACCAGAGGAAAGCAAGGCCAGAGGAGTGGGTAGAGGTGTAGGGGTGGGATAGACATTCTATAGGAGGTGGGGCCCCATCTACTCAGAGACTGGGTGAGGAGAAGAAATGTTGTGAAAAATATTTAGTGAGCTAAGCAGTGCCCCTGACACGATGTGAACTGACAACAGCATGTCAATCTCTCCAGTCAGCACAATGTCACGCCGATGCTGTGTGTGTGTGTGTGTGTGTGTGTGTGTGTGTGTGTGTGTGTGTTGCCTGCATGCACAGAGAAGGAGGGGCAGGGAGTGAGAGGGGGAGAGATGGCACAAAAGGCACCTGATCTTTTGGCAATGGGATTATAGGTGATTTTAATGTTTTTCTTGAAACTTCTCTGTATTTTCTAAATTTTTAATAATGATTATGTGTTACTTTGAGAATTGGAAAAAAAGCCATAAATACTACTTAAAATTATATTCTTCAGGAAATTACTTTCCATTGCTGCCTAGAATGTCTGTGCATATCACTTTCTAGGATGATGTGGAGGGATAAGGGGAGTCCTGGGAACAATGGGGCTTGGAGAATGGCTCGTTTTGCATTAAGGTGAACTGATTTAGCGGCGCTGTGGACCTCTGGACATGCTGCCCACTGATGCTTGTCCTCTGCTCAGAGCCACCTGGAGTCAAGGAAGGAAGGAGAGGAATTTAGCATTTGTGCAGCCTCCAGGCGGTGGGGTAAATCAGAATGGGTATGGAATGTCCTCCTGGGAGAAGCCATGTCCTAGGCCGTGTGCCCAGGGGGACATCCTGCCCTCAAGGGAGTGAAGTGGAGGCAAGATTGGAAAAACCAAGTCAGGGAGCAGCAGCGAGAGCCTGCCCCAGCCCTGGAAAGGAGAGCAGGAGGAAGAAGCAAGGGGCAGGGATGTCCACCTGTACTGCTCTGAGTGGGGGTGATGGCCCCTGAGCCAGGAAATAAGGTCACCTCCCAGGTCTGGTGGTCACCTCTAGAGTGACCTTGCCAGGCTTATCATGGGCAGAGAGAAATGTTGGCATTAAATGATCTCCAGGGGTTGATTCTTCTCTGACAGGCTGAGGAGAAGCTGGGAAGGCTGTGGGGAATGCCTGGGGCAGAAAAAAGATGAAAATATAAACTCAGTTATAAGCTTATGCCATGCTTGACTCTGATATGAGGATATTTTATTACCTGGCAGCAATGTGCCAGATGAATTGGACAAAGAAGGTCATAATGTAAAGCATTATTGTTAATATGCCATAATTCTCATGCAAAATCCTCTGTATGTATAAGACGATGATTGTGGAACCCACAGGAGTTTTGTCTCCAGCCACTCTTGCTAGCCAGGATGAACCACAACTCTTTCATGTCATCAAAAGATCACTGGCCGCACACACTGTGTATAAAGCACTGTAGCAGGGAATGCTATAACATGACATGGCACCATACAACGCAACACAATGTAACAACATAAAAAAATATCATATCCCCAAAATAAGGCTCAGTGGCTGCCCTAGATGTGCTGATAGTTGGAAGGAGGGTGGATATGGGAACTGTCACTGGAACTGTCTCCAGAACTTTGCTTATAAAATCCCAGTCTATAAGCAAAGACCTGGAGAGCCCAAAGGTGGAGGAATTAACTTTGCAGGCAGGAGCTGAGAGAGCACGGAAGGAGGGGCCGAGGACTAGAAACATTTCCACCTCCTGAAGAGCTCCGACCAGCCATCCCAGAGCCTAAAATATCACCCAAGGAGATTTATTTAATGACCTCAGACTGCAGAATCTTCGCTTCTACTTTACAGAATTGACAACCTCAATTTTGCCTCCATAGCTCATGGCTGATATATATCCCAAGCCACAATGAAAACATGGATGTAAGATGCCCTGAACAAGCTGCCAAGGAGCACCCTGGAGGATTTGGAGAAAGCTGCAGCCCCCACTCTCCAGCAATATCAGGGCTCAGGGACCCAATCAGAGAAGCCCCAAGGGCTGCAAAGGACCACATGGCCACCAAATGTGGCCTGATGGGAAGAGACTGAACAGAGGGGCAGCCAAGCAGAAGGCAATGTCATTACCTGGGTTACCCTTGATGAACCCTGAAGCTGCTGAGTCTTCTATGAATGCATTATCCT